>NT_187570.1:0-300230 GCF_000001405.40 Homo sapiens
AGCTTTCTTCTTTCCTCAGCCGGGAGGATTGCTGTCCTCCTCTTTATCATTCTCGTTTTTTTTTTTTTGTTTTTATGAGCCAAGCTCCACCAAATAACAAGATAAACTTTGTGTAAGACTTGGTAAGAGTAGAGTGTCTGACACCTTATTGTGCTATAACACTCAAAGCAAAAGCAAAATCGCCTATGACCAGAAAAGGGAGTCACATAGGAAATCTAGAAGACCTATTGGCTGAGAGACCTGCAGCCTCATAGTTCATTAGCTCTCCATAGCAACTCTCACATGAAATGAAGTCAGTGGTGTTTCAAGTGGTTGAAACCCTCTTTACTCTACTTCTAAATGTGAATTAATTAGGCAAGTTTACTAGCAGTTACTAGACCTCAAAAGCAAAATAATCAGGCATTATTCTATTAAATATTGGTCTCCATAACTCCTCTATTTTCTTTTGGAAAAGTTAGTTAGTCTAAGACATTTGGCATAAAGGCTATGCCAAAGCTTTGGTGGGGTCAGCCAGGAAGGATTCGTGGGGCCTCCTTGAAAATATTGCAATAATCTAAGAAATCTTCAACCTATTGCCCCTCAATACTGTTGGTCCCTTGTACTGGACTTTTCCCCTTAAGTTTGATTCCATTTCCTAACATTATCCTTCCCTCTTCCTCCTCAGCAACTAGTCTTCTAAATTAGAACTTAAACACAATGACCAGATATGACCCTGCAACAGAGCACGCCCTTCTGCATTGAGCATGCAATCATGAATCACAGGTATAAGACCCCTTGAACAGACATGGTTTTGGTGATTCTGCGTAGGACTTATTGCTTTTACCCAAGAAGATGATCAGGCATTCTAAGTAGATCAGAAAATTTTCTGGAGCTCTTGAATGTGTGTAGGCAAGAAAGATTAAGCAACCTGTTGCCTTATATGAGGCAAACTGTCTTCTCATATTTTCTTTTGAATTCAAGATTTCAAGGTTGGGGAAGGAGTGGGAAAGTAGCCATGGACATGTGAGAATGTGGATGATCCTTGTACATTGTCAGGGATGGTCAAATTCTATGCTTCATGTTGTTTGCTAAAAGACACTTTCCAAAGTTTTCAACAGAAAATATGGTGGCACACATGCCTATTCTTCGTGAACCCAGACATTTCTATCTAGTCTGTGATAGTAAATTTAAAAGGACGGCTTAGGGTAAATGAATCCTTCAAGTTATAAAGATGAAGGGCAGTTTTTGGACAATTCCCATTTTGCTGTAGGAAAACTAATCTGGAAGAAGTAAAAGGGAAAGATTGAAGTGGAGAGAACGGAGATAGAAAATGAGTTCAGTTGATCAAATTTTTGTTAAGCGCCCACTGTATGTGGGACCCTTACAAGGAAACAAGCAGACAAAGAAAAAAAAAAGGCATGTGATGGCCTTGCTCTTAAGAAGCCAGAGGCCAGTCACCTGGATTGCTACATATCAGGAAGATGTCAACAAGCCCCTACAATACAGCACTGGCATAGGATGAAGAAGAGGTTTCTTTCTATGAGATAAATAGCACACAACCAAAAAAGAAAGCCAAAAGATACACAAGGCTCGAAAACCTAAGGCACCAACCCTTAAGAGATCTGATTGTTGGTGGTAACTTTGGAAGGAAAATTATTATTAGGATTATTTTAGTACTAAGAGTTTTGAGCTGTCTATCCAAGATTGTCATCTGCACCTCTGCCTTAGGTAATACTGTGTGTGTGTGAGTGTGTGTGCGCGCGCGCGCACGTGTGTGTGCCTTTGCATGTGTTTGAAATATATTCTGTATCCCACACTCCACATAGGTTTGGGGCTGATCTGAAACTATACTCTTAGGGATGGGGTTAAGCTACTCTGTCACATTGTGAAGAGTTGATATGTAAGAGACTCTTAACCTTTTATAAATTACCTTTAAAATGTTTCCTTTTCTGTGAAGGGAAGAATAACAATTTGTAAACAAATGCAAAAATAACTTTAACTAAACAAAAGAACAGTTCGTTAGCCTTGTTATGATTAGCAGAGAGGATAGCTGCAGACACTGTAAAATCACTCAGCAACAAGATTTGACAAAACCTTAAATATGGCTCTATTTTTCCTGTTTTATAGAGGAAAATATTAAGGCTCTGGGAACTGAAGTGCTTTTCTCAACAGTGGAGTAAGTGTCAGAGTCAAGGCTGGGTTTTACATCCCAGCTTTCCCTATACATTCCACCCTATGGTTCTGTTGTGCTGTTCCTTTGTGTGACTCCATAAAGCCTGCTTAAAGGTGATACCATATCAAATTGTATTAACTCAGTAGCACATAACGCCAGGGAATTGATTTATAAGATGTTTATCCTTGTGGCGTTGCTGAAGACCCATCTGATTAGTAGTTATCAAGTAGTCATCCTGGATAAATATATGGGTTTGATTTTTAATTTTGAAAATGAAAAATATTTTAAAATATATGTCTTACATCCATATCCCAGGAAATTCTAATCAAGTTTTAAAACTTCCAAATTTAGATAAACTAATGGTTTTTTGTTTTAATTTTCTCTCAATGAAAATAGAAGAAACTAATTGGATGGAACAGCACAGCAGAAGCATTACTTATAGCCAAAAATGGGATACAACAAGACTGAAGAAGAAAATGCAAGACAGTGCTTAAAAAAGCAGTCTAATGAAAAGTGAGGTCTCCTCTGGATGTCCTTAGGTAGACATTGCAGCAGAACTGTAAAGTTTTTCTGGAAGGCTGGGGAAGAGAGGAGGAAACAGAGAAGGGGCAAGAGGAGAAAATAGAATGAGGCTCAGAATACCAAGCCTTAGTGCTGTCCCTATCGCCTTCCTCGCTAGATCACTGGGTGATCCTGCGCAAGTTTCTTCCTTTCCCTCAGCTCATTTCCTCATCTCTAATGTAAGTGACTAGACAGGATAGCCTATGCTGTTCATTGTAACTCTAACTTTTCTTCCCAAAGCAAATAGCTGGAAAAGACACTGTGCTTACAATATGCAACAAATAAAGACAAAAGATTTTTAGAAACCCCTAGTGTAACTTGAATTCTTACAAATAAGCAATGGTACATCATAATTTTACAAAGCCCTTTTGTGATTTCATTTTTAAAATCACGTCAAGTTTTATTTTACTTCATAATAAGATAATGGGAGATAAGTGTTAAATGGGTTCATGAAGGAATGTTTGTAAAAGACACAATAATCCAAAATAGGTAATTGTTATATTAGTAGTTCCCTTTACTGGGGGGGAACAGATAAAAGAGTGTTAGGAAAAGCTTCATAAAGTGGATTATATAGAATGTGCTTTAAAAGAGTTTGGTGTTTTATTGAGTGGGGAAAGAGCAATATGGGGAGTTATTGTTCAAGGGTTAAAGCTATACAAAATGAGTCAATTACAGAGATAGGCTCCAAAACATAGTACCTATAGTTAACAATGAGGTATTTTGTATTTAACAATTTGTTAAGAGGGTCGATCTTAGGGGTTCTGACAACAACAACAACAACAACAAAGGGACGTAGGAAACATTTGGAGGTGATGGATATATTATTACCTGGATATTGGTGTGGTAACAAGATAATATATATGTGCAAACTAGCCAAACTATATCCATTAATTATGTACTGTTTGTGTATAACAATTTTACTTCAGTTCCTACTATATTGCCTGGCAAACGATAGATGTATAAAGTGAGATCAATGATTATTGCATGTGCATTTCAAAAATAATAAAGAAAGCAGGTGACAATAAAGACATCCTGAATCTTTGGGAAATAAATAGCATTCACCTGCTTTCTCATCCATTGAGATATCACCACATTTATGTACTTGTGTGTCCCTGGAAGTTTCCTGTGGGAGATTTAGTTATTCTCTTTTCGTTAGGCTTTACTGACCAAGAACAAATCACAGACTCAGAGAGCATCATAAAAAGGCCTAGACCCACGATGCCCAGAGACTCCAGGCTCAACCCACATTGATGCTGGCCCTTCAGCCATGAGACTCCATTTGCTTCTCCTTATTCTCCTTCTTTTTTAAATTCTCTTATCCCCAGGTAAGTTGGTAGCTGATTACTATAAGGTTCTGCAGATCAGAAGGCTATATCTCTGGCCAGACAAGATACTAGAATCAGTCCTGTGGGTTCAAGAACCTAATATTTACAGCTTCACTAGGATTATAATAGGGAAAAATAGAAAAGGGACTCATTTAGCAGTAGCTCCTGTTGATAAGATTCCATCCATGTCTTTTGACCTAGTGAGTGGATATAATAATCGATGCTGCTGAAATTCAATCCTATCAGATGAAACTGCCTACATGTAAATTTCCATGCCCCACCAAGCACCTCAAGATACAAAGTAAAGATACAACAGAATGTGACCTCAATGAGATGCCTTTGCGGGACATGGAAATTTATATGTAGGCAGTTAGATCTGACAGGATTGAATTTCTGTGGCATCTATTATTATATTCACTTACTAGGTCAAAAGAGATGGATGGAATCCTATCAATAGGAGCTACTGTTTAATGAGTGTTGACAAATCTGAAGGTTTTATTTGAAGAGACAAACGGAAAAATTATAATCCTAGAATAAGTGAAAATTATATGAGAGACTTTTCAAAATAAATTATGTTGTATGCGGTTATGAATAAAAAATGATTTGCAAAGTGAAAGTGAAAAGTAGAAAGGAAAGTTAAAGGAACTTCAGACAAGTGAATTAATAAGGAGCAAAGACACCAAGAAGTGCTGCTCATGGTATATTACAGGTAACCACACAGAAATGGGTAACATAACTTTCGATACAAAAATGGCTAAAATTTAATGGGCTAAGCATGCATTTTGGGGGCTTCTGGGAAAAAAAAACAGCATAATAACCCTAAAGAAGATAAAGGGAAAATTATAAATACAAAATATAAATTAATGAAACAAATGAGAAAAAACTAGTATTTTTAAAAATGTTTTTCAAAAAGTCTAATACACTTTATAATAACCTGGCAACACTGAACAAGAGAAAATGAGAACATGCTTAAAATAACTATTGCAGGAATGAAAGGTTAATATCAAAACAGATGTTTCAGAGATCCAAATAATTTTTAAATTTGTGTATTATATTCCCTCTTCACTGTGTACCTGGGGATTTTCCTGTTGCAGTTCACTATATCATGACTGTGTCATTAATTTTGATGCTAGTAAATTATTACCATCAGCATACAAATATGCTGTTGTTTGTCTGATCTAAGAAAAAGAATATCCTTGCTTTTCTTCTGATGCCAGCTGTCCTCCCCTTTTTTGCTCTACTTTTCAGCAAAACATCTTAAAAGAGTTGTCCATACTCTCTGTCTTCAATTCCTCTCCTCTCATTGTTTCTTAAATATATCCCAATCAGGCTCTCTCCCCCTTTTTCGATCATGCTATTGACACCACTTTTGTCAAAGTTATGAATAATCTCCACATTGCTAGATCCAATGATCATTTTTCACTACAACTTTAATTGGCCTATTAGCAGCATTTGACACAAATAATCACTTCCTTCTTCATAGTATACTTTCTTCAGTTGGCTTCCAGGACGGCACATTCACTTGATTCTCAGCCTGTCTCACTGGAGCTACCACTTCGGCTTCCTTTGTTTCTTCCTCATCTTTTGCATCACACCTCCTATAGGAGACTCCAGAGCTCAGTTCCTGGTCCTCTTCTCTTCTCCCTCACCACACACTCTTTGGAGGGGCTCAGCAAGTCTCATCCCTTTCAATTCTCCTTTTGGACCTCCTTTTGAACTCCAGGCTTATAATAAATTACCCAACTGCATAACTGGTATATCTACTTGGACACTTGATTTCAAAAGTAATATATATCCAAAACCAAACTCACGATTTTCCCTCATAAACCTCTACATACAGGTTTTCTCTTCTTGCAGAGTGCCATGGTCAGCATTGGAGCTTCTCTTAGCTTTCCTGTCCACTTTCATCCTCAGCAAGCCTCTATCTCTGCACCTCAAGAATCTCTCAGGGCTCCCATCCCTTGCCCAACCACGGACAGTAGCTGCCTCACACTCAGTGAAAGACCAGAGAATCTACTTCTCTCAGCTACCTGCCCTCCCCTGTCTTCAGACCTCATCAGGCCTCTCTTCTTATGCACCTGTGAGAAAAGAGAGTGAAGGGGGGATTCTCTCAGCTCCCCAACCTACTCCCCAGTAACAGAGGATCTTCCCCGATTCTCACAGTGTGAACTTTACCTTTCTGTGACCTCAAATTGCAGCAGTTCCTACATGCCTGTCCCACAAAAGTGTCTCAGGTAGTTCTCCTGCTCTCCATCTGATCTTACCTAGGAGCACACAAGATAGGTCATGAAAAAACCATTAGTGGGGCGGGCGCGGTGGCTCACTCCTGTAATCCCAGCACTTTGGGAGGCCAAAGCACTGTAATTCCAGCATTTGGGATCACGAGGTCAGTGGCCAACACGGTGAAACCCTGTCTCTACTAATACAAAAAATTAGCAGGGTGTGGTGGCATGCGCCTGTAGTTCCAGCTACTCGGGAGGCTGAGGCAGGACAATCACTTGAACCCTGGAGGCAGAGGTTGCAGTGAGCCGAGATCGTGCCATTGCACTCTAGCCTGGGTGACAGAGTGAGACTCCATCAAAAAAAAAAAAAGGAAGAAAGAAAACAGAGAAAGAAAGAAAGAAAGAAAGGAAGAAAGCAAGAAAGCAAGAAAGCAAGAAAGAAAGAAAGAGAAAGAAAGAAAGAAAGAAAAGGAAAGCATTAAAGCATTAGTGAGTGAGTGAGTGTGTTTGGGCCCCTACTGATGCTAAATTATCACAAGCCCACATTCAGCCTTTCCACATTTGCTTGAGGTTCACTTGTTTCCTTCTTATCTCCATCAAGGGCAGCTTCCTCCTGCTTCTGCTGCTGCAACTCAGGTACACACAAATCATCTGTGGATCCGTTCTTTTTTCAGTAGGGCGTCATTACTCGGAATTTAAGTTAATTAGCTTTTTTTGAGACCTCAGCTCTGTCTTTTAAAATGAAATCTATGATCTGTAGATTATCCAGCTTATTCTCTTTGTCAGGGCAAGAGCATTTTTTTATAACTTTCTAAATTCTAAACAAAAGTAAAAGTTCACTTCTTTTCAGAATCCCCCCATGTCAGAAAGTATTACTATTATCATCAGTTTAGTGATATTTATGGAATTCCAAGTTGACTGTGAGATCAGCTTTTGGGTTAAATTCTTTCTTCCTGATATATAGCCTTTGAAATTTTATTTGCTGCAGATCTCTTTATAGTGAACAATTTTAGTTTTTATCTGTCAATTTCATATTGTTATTTTTGTTCTTGAAAGACAGCATTACTGAGTACCCAATTCTATAATAACAGTTATTTTCTCTCAACATTTGTTGATACTGGTTTACTCATTTTTAGTTTTTGCTTTACTATAATAATCAGATAAATATTATTTCATTGTAAATTGTCCTTTTTTCAATGTTTGTATGGTCTGGTGTTTGGTTTTAATGTTTTATAATTTATAATTTAATGTGAATTTATTTTTATATCATCTGTTAGAAATACATTCTTTGAATCAATGGATTTATACTTTTTCCTAATTTCTTTTTGAGAATCTCTTGAAATGGTGAATCCTCTTACACTTCTCTCCCCCCATATTTGAATTAAATGTTAGACCTGTGTTTCCATTCTACATACTGGGTATATCATTTAAGCATTTTTTTCTTTACTAATTATCCTGTTACCTATATGTAATATATCGTTAATAACTTGCATTTATTTTTAAATTTTTTTTTATTCAGACCTGCCTTTTTTTTTTTTTTTTTTTTTGAGACAGAGTCTCACTCTGTTGCCCAAGCTGGAATTCAGTGGTGCAATCTTGGCTCACTGCAACCTGCACCTCCCGGGTTCAAGTGATTCTCCTGCCTCAGCCTCCTGAATAGCTGGGATTACAGGTGCCCACCACCATGTTCAGCTAATTTATATATATATATATTTTTTTTAGTAGAGACAAGTTTTCACCATCTTGGGCATGCTGTTCTTGAACTCCTGACCTCGTGATCCACCCGCCTCGGCCTCCCAAAGTGCTGCGATTACAGGCATGAGCCACCACGCCCAGCCAGACCTGCCCATTTTTTCTATCATCTATGTTGTTTTACTATTGTTTTTACTTCTTTGTAATAGTAGATTGTTTCTTTAAACAATCGATACACAGCTGCTTAATTATTTCTCCATATTGACAATTTCAATACATTTAGTTTTCAAGAATTTAAATGTGCTATTCATTTCATTAACTTTTATTCATGGTGTCTTGCTTATCTGATCATTTTTAATACTGAACTCATTGCTCATCCTTAATCTGCCATCATTCTACGGTCTGAAATAAGAACACTATTATCCAAACTTCCTCTGTGAAACTGACTCAATGCTTTATCTCAATATAGAAGTTCCAGGATTAACAAACTGGAATTTCTGATGGCCCAAGAGTCAGTAGTACCACCATTAGCATTGCTGATAATAGCAGATCTTCCCAGAAGATCTGGGAAACCCTCACCCCCCTCCATCAGCTGGCCAATGCAAAGTGCCCAGTGCTCAAGCTCCAGTTCACAGACTATTTTTGTGTTTGAAAGAGGAGATATTTTAAGAACTTGCCTAACCGTTTTCAAGAACAGAAATGTTTCAAAGAGATCCTCTAAAATGTATTTGCTCGATAGCAGCAGTCATTTGAGAGCAGCTAACTTGCAGTCATGGCCAAAAGCCTAAATCTTTCTTTCATTGGAATCACACCTATTTTATATCTTTTGGAGATATCTCAGATTCAGATGTATGCATACTATTCTATGATTTTGGACACTACTATAGATTCTTCAAAATGTTACAACATTCCAGTGGTATTTTGGGAGGTATAGAAGGAGACGAAAAACAATGGGCTCAAGTCTCCCCTGACTTCTCTTCTTACAACATATTTCATTGTCCAGAACTTTTAGAACTATATTAATACAACATTGACAGTGGGTATTCTTCTTTTCCTTCTGATTTTAATAGGATTGAAGGAAGTGTTTTGCTATGAAATTGCTATATGGGTGGTATTCAGACAAATTTTGACTTTGTAAAGGCAATATTCTTTTCATTATTTTTAAATGTTTACCAGGATTCACAGTATTATTTTCAATTCCCCCCATTCAAAGGCATATTTAAATAACTTGATGAAAGGGGAATATTATATATGTTACTCTGCTATGGAAACAGAAAAACCACCACCAAATTGTATTCTAGATTCTTTGTATACCAATTGCACCATCTTTTTTTATCTAAGACATTCAATTCTTCCACAGGTGGGAGCACATGAATTAGCATCATTTAGTACTTGTAGTTTTCACTACTGACTTTCAGACTTATGGTGCCTAAAGGAAATAGAATGCTTCTAGCTGAGTTTAAAAGCTACAAATAAACAGAGGAAATATACACTATTTTGAACGTACCACTTGAGTGTTATGTGTGTATTTCAATATTATGTTGCTAATTTTAATTGTTCAAGGTTAAAGAGCTTAAACCTCCTCCTCATGCATTCCTGAATCATCCATTACTCCCACACATACATTGTTTGATACAGCATAAACCTAAGTAAGTAAAGATGTGGCAAAATGAAAAAATAAAATAATGTTATACCATTCTCACCTAGGAATGGCATCAGTAGACAGATGTGAATAAAAGTAATGTGATTATAATTTTAAAAATCATATTTAATAGGATACATTTATTATTGAATGAACATTAAATTACTTAATGTATAATAAATCATTAACACAATGAAAACTCTTAATGCACAGTGAGACGAAAATGAAGGTATTAACTGTTTTCTTCCTAATCCTTGCTTTAGTTGTTCTTTCCACCAGACCGTCACTTTATTCGAAGGATATTGTAATAGCACAAAGCCATTAGCTTTCCCATTAGAGAGATCTTCATTAAATTATCTTTGTTGTAATAAAGGTCATATGGAGGAAATACTGGTCTGAATACAATAATAAATGTTAAGCTTTCTAGTATTTTCCACTTTTAGATACAAATTGAAAGAATCATTTATAATGTCAAAAACACTTTTTTCTAACTAATATATTCTATGCCTAAGACACTATTAGCAATTAAAGTAGATAGATCAAATCTAAATGGGGAGAGAAAAAGTAATTTCTACTTATGTTTAAACAGATGAAAGCATGAATAAATCGAAAGCCTGAAATATTAGCTTGGGGGAATAACGTCACTTTTGGGGAGCAGCAGCAGCATATACCAGCCTTTAGCTCTACACCCTCCCCGCAAGAAAAATATATATAGATAGTTATGTACAAACCAAACTAGCCCTGGCAGGGTTCAAGGGACCATTTAAGAAACTATGGCAACACAGTGAAGCCAACAAAAAAAAAAAAAAAGAAAGAGAGAGAGAGAGAGTGAAAGAAAAAAAAATAGCCATATAGAAAAAACAGCTGCTGAAATCAGCATACCTGAGATGCCAGAAACATCTTTTTTGGCTAGAAACAAAAGCAGAAAGGGACTATCTGTATCAGCCACAAGGTGGAACCACCAAGGCCCTCAGTAACCCACTCTGGCAGAAGACACTGGCATTTTTTGCCACTGGAGTAAGCAACATCCCTTTCTGACAGAAAACCCAGAGAAAAAGATGAAGATGTACCATCTCCTCCCACATCCCTTTTCCCCACCAAAAATGCAGTGACTGTTGGGCCAAACCAGGATTGGAACTGCTACCTTTCTTAAACTGCATGTGTCTCTGACATATGAGCAGCAACCATGTCAAGAGCTCCCACATAAAAATGCTCATACTAAATTTATTCTGTTACTTAAGAGTGTTTATGGATTTACATTCCATTTGTGGACTAACTATCTCACTGGATCTTCTTTCCTGCAGTAAGAGGTGGTTTGGGTCCTGCGGAAGGTCATTGTCTCAATTTGTCTGGTGTTTGCAGAAGAGATGTCTGCAAAGTAGTAGAAGATCAAATTGGTGCCTGCCGAAGAAGGATGAAGTGCTGTAGAGCATGGTGGATTTTAATGTCAATTCCAACACCACTTATCATGTCAGATTATCAAGAACCCCTTAAACCTAAGTTGAAATGAAACTGAGACAAAATAAAAATACATCAAAAGTGAAGTTATTTGCATCTAAGAATATTAAAATATACATATTAAGTACTTCCATCTTGATAACTGTCTTGCATTTTCACTTATCAACATAAATGAATAAATACTAATTTCAAATATACCCAAGTACTATTTCTTTGTGAGTCATTAACAGATCTTAACAAAACTTTTAAAAATGAGAAAACTGTTACTTTTGTTTTCCAAGATAGTGGAATGAAGGCATTGTTAGTCTGCCTCTTGCACTTGGAAAGAGAAAATGGTGTGTAGAAACTCACACTGTGAACTTTCTTTCAAGAAGCTACACAGGAATTTAACAGGAAAATTGAAATAAGCCACAGACCATTTGAAAGAAACAGCAGGATGCAGCTTACACCATAAGCTAGGCAGAAAATTGTAAGTTTCCAGGGTGTGACAGGAGGGTAAACTGACTCTAAGATATACACTTCCACTGGGAAACCTATCAATCCAGGCCGTGAGGGAAGGCCTTAACCCTACTCAGCGCTGGGGCTGATTTAGGGAAGAGTGGTGAGTATATGAGGAGTGGCATTGGGATGTGCTTTGAATCTCCAGCACATTCCCAGTTTCTGGTAGAATGGAGGGAAGCCATTTCTGATTCTACCTCAGACAGGACCTCCTAGAAGTCTGCCAGCTAACTCAGATGGTGGTCACAGGTTGAGACAACCTCCCAACTGAAATGTGTGATATAATCTTGACAGGGGACAAACTCTCCAGGCCAGAACTGAGAGGTGAGTGGGAAGTGTGCTGCAGCAGCAAGCACAGGAGCTGGGGGCCCCTGCTCTGCAGGTGGATCAGGAAGGGTGTGGCCTGAAGGTTGCAGTTGCTGTCTCCATAGGGGAGAATTATGGTATGGGTCAGTTTTGAGTTCTGAGCTCAGACTTCTTGAAACTTAGCTAGCTACTCTCAGTGGAACACTGTGGGTGTGAGACCTGCCTTGCCAAGTGTGTGGGAGCTGGATGGGGCTTACTACCAAGCTGCTACTCCCCATTCTTCACATGGACTCTCCTTGTACAGAGGCAGAGACAGCTTCACTTCTCTCTGGAAAATTACTCCAGTGGCCCAAGAACTGCCTTCCAATTCCCACTGGAGCCACTGCTTGTCCCACACATAGACAGCCAGAGCATCACCTTACCTGACCTAGTTCCCACCTGGCTTTGCTCAACCACCTACCCTGGTAGATTAACACAAATAACAGAAGAAACTTTTAGAAGCTCTATGGCTCCACCTATTTCCTGAGACACCAGAGTGCCTCCCATGGGTAACATAAGGCAAGTCCAAATCTCACCACTACCACCACAGCTGGCAGTCTTTTGGAAGCACCACCTCCTGGCTGAAGGCCTACTGACAGTCCTTTACAGCATCTGCAGGTAGAATAACATAGCACCCAGGAAGGAGAAAAGTTGTGAGTGACCACAACTGTTACCATTGCTTGCATCATTCTGGCTAAGCAGGAGGCCATGAGTCTGTCCATGTGATGAGTTCATTACTACTACAACTGGCATTTGAGAAATCCAATACACAACACACTAGGACTATTTATAACCAAGGAATCTTTCAGAGTCTACATCACTCCCCTGCCATCCCCATCTGATCAGCTGCCGATACACACTGCTGTGAGCCTTGAGGACAGATTATATCACTGGATCCATTGCAGACATTCTTGAGCACCAGCATGGTGTGCGGCAGCCCCACTGGGTAGCCAGACCCAGAGAAGCAGCAGCAGCATATGCAGTAATCTGAATTTCAGTGACTCCTACTCTGAGGAAAGAGGAAGCACACCACATCAAGGGAGCACCCTGGGGACAAAATAATCTAGATGACCTTGAGTCCCAGAACATTCCACTTGTGGGAAGTTGTTTGGTGGTTTGTTTGTTTCTGCTTTTTTTTCCAGCAGAGGAACATGTGCATGCTGGGCTCAGCGAGGAAAGTCTGTAGCTATAGCTCAACAATCAGGCAGCCTTGATGCTCAAGAAGAGTCTTGGAGAATGGAGACTTATTTTCCATCTCATACACTACTGCAGACACAATAGTACTGTACTCAGAGCCAGTGTACTGAGGTGAGTGGCCATAAAACCTACTGAGACACCAGCCAGGACAGCTAAAGGAGTACTTGCATTACCACTCCCCCAACCCCAGGCAGCACAGCTTGCAGCTCCAAAAAAGACCGCTTCCTTCTGCTAGAGGAGATTAGAGGAAAGAGTAAAAAGGACTTTGTCTTGCATCTTGGATATCAGTTGAGCCACAGTAGGATAGGGCACTGGTCAGGGTCATGAGGCCCCCATTGTGGATGTAACTAACTGTTTTTTTTTTAATTTTATAGGCTGATAGGCAGAAGGGACTTGTCTCAAATAAGACTTTGGACTTGGAGTTTTGAGTTATGCTGGAATCAGTTAAGACTTTGGGGGACTGTTGGAAAAGCATGATTGGCTTTGAAATATATATAAAAGACATGAGATTTGGGAGGTGCCAGGAGCAGAATAATATGGTTTGGCTCTGTGTCCCCACCCAAACCTCATCTCAAATTATTATCCCCACACATCGACAGAGGGACCTGTAATCGCCATGTGTCGAAGAAGTTTACTTCATGTTATCCTCATGATAGTGAGTGAATTCTTAGGAGATCTGATGGTTTTAAGAGTAGGTGATTTTTGTTTTTTTTTCTGTGCACTCACTTCTCTCCCTGACACCTTGTGAAAAAAGGTGCCTGCTTCTGTCTTGCCTTCCACCATGACTGTAAGTTTCCTGAGGCCTCCCCAGCGATGCAGAACTGTAAATTAATTAAACACCTTCCCTTTGTAAATTACCCAGTGTGGGGTAGTGTCTTTACAACAGTGTAAAAATGGACTAATACAGGTTCCCTGAAATATTCTGAGTCCCTTTGGAGGCAAGAATCTCTTCATACCAGCATGGTATACTGATGAAGTACATCCTGATCTCATGGGCTGAGAAAGAATTTATACATACCATTTATGTGCCAGCAACTCTATGTGCAGGCTTTTGAGCCCCAGAATGGGCTTTCTTGCCACATCTAGTCTATCTAACATGTTTCTAAGCCAACTCAATATCTCTCATCCACACTGGGATAGGTCCTAAATTGCTGTCTGTTGCCCACCTGAGATAACGAGATGTTGTTAAATCAGGTGTGTGTGACCCAGATATGTCTATCTGGAGTGGCAGGAGAGGGTCTATCTGCTCACAAGAGTCTCTGCAACATTTTCTAAGTCAGTTCAGAAGCTTATTGATTCACCTTTGCAGGCAACATAGCCATGAGAAAGGTGTCCAAAAATTCCTGAACTTCTGGAAATTTTTAAAGTCTCCACAGGTGTCCAGAGGTGACTGTAGCTGTACTGAAAGTCACTGCCTGGATAACTGGCCTGTTAAAACAAATGCAAAATACACTAAGCCCACTAAGGATACCCAGAAGCCATGGTATTCAGTTAATTTTTGTCTTTCTTGCAGGTGGGAGAATACTGAGGATTATGCCTTCCTATAGCCAGTGAAGGTTATTCCAGTGCCTAGATGTACCAGTCAACACAGGCCATGGGAGAGCAGATGGCAGAAGGGCAGCCAGGTCCTTTCACTGGGGTTTACTGCTTGTCATGAGCTCTGCTGCTGGGCAGCATGTGTGATTTCTGACTCCTGCCATGTCCTCAAGAAGCCTTGCCCCATCAGCCAGCTGTCCTACCTCCTGAAAGCTGGTGCATGTTTGTTAGCATGGAGATCCAGAACAAGAGTCACTTTAGTATTTATCCATAGAGTCCCCATGTGTGCACATGCCTACCTGCAGGTTGTTTTTCCTATTTTTCTGAATGTTAATCTTTGCCTTCTGGAACTCAATATTACCCCATGTGGCCAAATATGGGATAATTGTCAGGGGAAACTGCTCTCTAGGTCCCAAGTCCACAGGGTTAGTATTATTATCAATATTAAAATTATTAATTATGGATATTAGTATCATAATAATCATCATTCCTGTTAATACTCATCAATATGTTTATTATTACTATCATTAAGATGGTTTATTAATGTTATTATTCAGTAATAAATGTTTAGTTTCTCCATTCACTCAGTCAAACTGGAGTCTGACTCCCGATATGACTATGGATATGACTGCATATGACTATGAGGGTTACCCTGCAGATATAGACATGAACAGCTGTCCCAGAGACAGCTCTTGCAGGCACTAATTGCTCTTTCATAGGATGAGTTCCTTACAGGAGAGAAGGGCTGATCTCCATGATGTGGTTTCCTCAGGGTCTCATTAAGGGCTGGTGATACAGGAGCACTTCCTACCCCTCTTCCTCATGTGAGAGTGGTACATTCTCTGTTGTCATGGCTGAGATGGCTCCATCTTGAACATATAAATTCCAGGTTGCAGAACCAAAAAAGCAAAAGAAGCATTGGATCTGCATAGGGAACTGCAAGCCATCCAGCAACCTCAGGACACACTCAGAAACAACCACGTGGACCACATCGCCCAAGCTCAGCTGCATGGCTCTCCGTTGGGCTAGGACGTGGACCTCTTCCACCAGGCTCAGCTGGAGTCCTATCCCTGGTCCCAGGACCACAAGGAGCATCTCTTTTTTTTGGAATCACACTGCTCCATTTGAAGGACAGCCCTCAGTTCTCTGTCTTCAAAAGAGGCTGCAAATGGTGCTAATTGGGAGGGAGCCGCCAGCAGCATCACCCTCTACAACTTTAAAATAAAAATGTCTTCCAGGGTGGGATATTATGCTGACCCTACCTAAAAGCACATTCCCTAGATGTTGCTTGTTGCCTGGAGTTTGAACAGCATTGTCCAAACTTTGCCATTGAAGAACAAGGAAACTTACCTGGGGTAGTTGCAGGTGTAGGACTAAATTCAGATGTGAAGATTCTTGAACTGGGGGTGTTTCTGTACCTGTAGAGATTGCAGACTGGGAAAGGTAAGTCTCTGGTCCTGCCAGACTCTCTAGAGGTTAAGAATGTGATCTGCAGAAAGACATGAACTAGCACAGGCAACTGTAGAACATCTGCCCCCAAGAATCATAAATGCCTTTTCACTCATCCTGTAGAATGCACTCTCTACTTTAATGATCATGTGGGATGTGACTTTAATTTCTAGGCATGGGGATTGATCTTAAGAAAAAGCAGGGAAAGTGCTTTACCTGTCCTGGGACTCTGCTCCACTTGCCAACATTTGAATGGATTCATTTGTGTGGTAGTCAAGCTACAGGAAATAAAGGGACCAGTCAGTCTTCCACACAATGACACAGAGGCCAATTATCACAAGTCCAAATCTCCATTTGTCACCCAGCTCACATTCCCGCTGTGGCACAAGGTCACATGCACTCGTGTCCAACTCCAAATAGTAGCTTCACATAGTATGTCAGCACTCTCCCATCCATCACCTCTTTTAGAAGGTCTTCCTCTGGATTGAAAATGGCCTGTGATAAAAGATAATGACCACAGGAAGCAGTTTTTTTTTAGGATCTGATCCACATGAGAAGATAGGACATCTAATTTGGTCTGAGGACTTTAGCTATGCTAATATTTAAGGTAACTGACCCCTGTGTCTATAGATTTACAAAGGGAATGGAGTGAGAGATGATGAAATCTGTTTTCTTTCCTAGTGAGTATGAGGAAGAACCCTTACATCATGCTCTCTGTTGCCTGTTCTCCATACAGTGCCATTTCCCATTTAGGGAGAAGACATGGATTGTCAGTGGGAGCAAGCCTGAGACATGCCCACTGGCAGCTCCCAGAAACCCCTGAAACCTGGCCACATCATGAAGTTTCAACTGTGGGTCTCATGCCTCCCTTGGTATCTTGAATTCAGAACATTTAATGTCATGGCAGGCCAGGGAACCTCCTCTGCTCTAGTTTGGCTCTCTATCGCATATTCACACACACACACAAACACACACACACAAAGTCACACACACTCACACATCAACCTACTGGCAAACCAAGGTAGAAACATACACACACACATACCTGCTCAATCCAGGCCAATATCCCTGACAACATCAATGCAAAAATTCCTAATATAATACTAGCAAACAGAATCCAGCAGCACATCAAAAAGCTTATCCACCACAATCAAGTCGGCTGCATCTTTGGGATGAAACGCTGGTTCAACATACACAAACGAATAAATGTAATTGATCACATAAACAGAACCAAAGACAAAAACCAGACAATTATTTCAATAGATGCAAAAATGCCTTTGATAAAATTCACCATCCCTTCATGTTAAAAACTCTCAGTAAACTAGGTACTGATGGAACATATTGCAAAATAATAAGAGTTATTTATAACAAACCCACAGCCAACATCATATTTAATAGGCAAAAGCTGGAAGCATTCCCTTTGAAAACTGGTACAAGACAAGGATGCCCTCTGTAACCACTTCTATTCAACATAGTATTGGAAGTTCTCACCAGGGCTATCAGGCAAGAGAAAGAAATAAAGGGTATTCAAATAGGAAGAGAGAAAGTGAAGTTGTCTCTGTTTGCAGATGACATGACTTTATATTTAGAAAACCCCATCATCTCAATTCAAAAACTTCTTGAACTGATAAGCAACTTCACCAAGGACTCAAGATATTAAATCATTGTGCAAAAATCACAAGCATTCCTTTACATCAACAATAGTCAAGCAGAGAGCCAAATCAAGAATGAACTCCCATTCACAATTGCTAGAAAGAGAATAAAATACCTAGGAATACAGCTAGGAGTACAAGGGATGTGAAGGACCTCTTCAAGGACATATGCAAACCACTGCTCAAGGAAATGAGAGAGGACACTAACGAATGGAAAAACATTCCATCCACATGAATAGGGAGAATCAATATTGTGAAAATGGCCATACTGCCCAAACTAATTTATAGATTCAATGCTATACCCATGAAGCTACCATTGACATTTTTCACAGAATTAGAAAGAACTATTTTAAATTTCATATGAAATCAAAGAATACCCCGTATAGCCAAGACAACTGTAAGCAAAAATAACAAAGCTGGAGGCATGACGCTACCTAACTTCAAACCATACTAGAAGGCTACAGTAACCAAAACAGCATGCTACTGCTGCCAAAACAGACATATAGACCAATGGAGCAGAACAAAGACCTCAGAAATAACCCCACACATCTACGACCATCTGATATTTGACAAACCTGACAAAAACAGGCAAGGGAGAAAGGATCTCCTATTCAGTAAATGCTGCTGGGAAAACTGGCTTGCCATAGGCAGAAAACCAACACTGGACCCCTTCCTTACACCTTATACAAAAATTAACTCAAGATGGATTAAAGACTTAAATGTGAAATCCAAAACCATAAAAACCCTAGAAGAAAACTTAAGCAATACCATTCAGGACATAGGCATGGGCAAAGGCTTCATGACAAAAATGCCAAAAGCAATTGCAACAAAAGCCAAAATTGACAAATTGGATCTAATTAAACTAAAGACCTTCTGCACAGCAAAGAAACTATCATCAGCATGAAAAAGCAAACTACAGAATGGGAGAAAATTGTTGCAATCTGCCCATCTGACAAAGGTCTAATAACCAAAGTTGACAAGGAACTTAAACATATTTACAAGCAAAAAAACAAACAACCCCATCAAACGTGAGCAAAAGATATGAACAGAAACTTATCAAAAGAAGACATTTATGCAACCAACAAATATATTTTTGAAAAGCTCAACAACACTGATCATCAGAGAAATGAAAATCAAAATTACAGTGAGATACCATCTCACACCCGTCAGAATGGTGATTATTAAAAAATTAAGAAACAATAGATGCTGGTGAGGCTGAGAAGAAAGAGGAACGCTTTTACACTGATGGTGAAATTGTAAATTAGTTCAACCATTGTGGAAGACAGTATGTCGATTCCTCAAGGATCTAGAACCAGAAATACCATTTGACCCAGCAATCCCATTACTGGCTATGTACCCAAAGGAATATAAATCATTCCACTATAAAGACACATGCACATGTATGTTTATTGCAGCACTATATACAATAGGAAAGACATGAAACCAACCCAAATGCCCTTCAGTGCTAGACTGGATAAAGAAAATGTGGTCCATATACACCAAAAAATACTATGCAGTCATAAAAAGGAATGAGATTATGTCTTTTGCAGGCACATGGATAAAGCTAGAAGCCATCATACTGAGCAAACTAACACAGGAACAAAAACAAAAAAAAAACAAATACTGCATGTTCTCACTAATAAGTGAAAGTTGAACATTCAGGAAACAAGGACACAGTGAGAGGAACAACACACAACACGGCCCGTTGGGGGCTGGGGGTGAGGGAAGGAAACTTACAGGATAAGTCAATAGGTGCAACGAACCACCATAGCAAAGGATACCTATATAACAAACCTGCTCATTCTGCACATGTATCCTGTAATTTTTAAATTTAAAAAGAGGAAATACATACATACATACATACATACATACATGCATACATACATACATACATATGTACATACTTTTGAAAAAAGTCTGTACAGTTCGGATCTTCATTCCTGGTAAGCCAAGGAACCTGGACAAACACCAGAATTCTGTCCCTCTGAGAATGCCGGACAGGTTTACCTTCATCAGCATAAAATTTTGGAACAAATGTGGTAACTGCAGGTTCTCTCCACAATGGGTAACTGAAAATTGAGGCAGTATTTCAGATCCTAAAAAACTGATGAAGTAATTCACCACACATTTGGGTTGTTTTTGACTTTTCCTACTATGAAGAGTGCTAGTAGGAAGAATGGTGTACAAGTATCTGTTTGATTCCCTGCTTTTAGAATCCTTTGCTTGTTTGTGGGTTTGTCTGTTCTTTCTTGAGACAGGATGTCACTCCAGTCAGCCAGGCTTTTCCAGTGTGTAATTTTTGTTGTTTCCTTTTGTCAAGTTTTAGAAGTTGTTATTTTATTTCTATTGAATTTTAAGGCATTTTTAGATATGTATTAAAACATTATCACACAGGCCGTGTGTTACATTGCAATTATTTTTATCGTTCTTTTAAGAAACAAAAGGTTTTAGCTTAGATATCTTCCAATTTGTGAAGCTTTTCTGATTTTGACTTTTTAAAAAATGCTGTCATATACAAGAAACCCTTGGATTAAAAATGCCATGAATATTTCTCTTTTCTTGCAGTCATAACTTAGGTGGATGTCATCAATTAGTCTCCGGGTTATAGCATGTTTTCTTGAAAGTGTTTCGCAATCTATTTTGGGCATTGAGAATTTCATCAAACTTAAGTGAATGTTTCTACATTCACTATTGAGGGGAATAGTCCCATCTGATGCTTTATTATTTGCATATCTTGCTTCCACAAGACCATTTCATGCAAAGACTTGTCTTCTCCCCAATGCCAGATCATTACAACATGATATGGAATCAACTGGCCAAAAATGGGAAGGTTATCTCTGGAATGTCTATTTGACTCCATTGATCTCTCCATCTTAATTAAGACAAAGTATATGCTGTATTAATGACATACCATTGCTGCAAATTCTCAAGTCAGAAAGTGTAGTTATAATTTCTTGTCATTTAGTCGCTGAAAGAATGATCTTATGTCACAGATGCACATGCTTGGAAGTACTTCTCAATGCATGCACACACATCCAGAAACAAACACACAAATACACACATACACACAAACTGTTTACTATGTACACAAATGTTAACTAGCATTGATTTACATGAAATAAGGCAAATGTTTAGCCCCTATCCTAACCCGGTTCCACTCCTATCATATTTGCCCATAATACTGACAAGTAAATCGGCTTCAAATCTTCCATAATCACAATGTAAGCTGTGTCCATTAAATTCTCTGAGGAATGCAAGAGGATACAACCTAAGACAAAAAAATTAATTGAATCCTGATATTTCATTAGTAAACAGGGTAATTGATGGATAAATGTAATGGTCTCGGTGGGTGGACAGTAGTTATATAAGGGCTGATGCAGCAAGATACTTAATTATTTAAAGGCGTTTGAAAGAAATTGAAACACAAGAGTGGGTGTATTCAACTAAAATAAAATCAGAGAGCCCTAAAATAAATCCATTTTGCGGGTAAAAAAATGGCATTAGAGGAGATTCTGGGTCAATCATCCAGCTGTGAAAGTTGCATCTTGGAAGCAGGATCCCTGTAATGCAACGATACTTGTTTATCAGTGGTGGTCTTTCAGTGGAAAAGATTTTGAAGAATGGACCCTTCCTTTTGTGTATTTGACAATTAGATTTCATGCCAAATCTTGGGTTTTAAACTCTATTTAAACGTTAACAGAATTAAATAAAATGGCGAAAAACCATGAGATTCTTTGATTTGGAATCGTCACATATGCATTTCTTGTTAAGTACAGTTATCAAAGATGACCTACCGGAGAGACACAATTGTGGACAATGGCCCGTTACTTTTGTATGTTTGCTGATTAGATTTCATAGTCCATTTCTCATTAGGTACAAAGATCAAAGTTGACCTACACAAGAGTAGAGAGGTCCAGGACAGAACTCAGGGCTCCGCAGAACCACAGAATCTTGGGTGTAAGATTGCTCAAGAACAAAAATGTGCTTATTCAGAGTGTTTCTGTGTGACATGTGTGTCAACTACAGTGCAATGAGCATGACACGCAGGCAGGATATCAATACGGCTCACCTCAAAAGCAGTTATGAGCATTAAAGGACACCCATGCCTAGGTCCCGCTTAAAGAGATAAGACTCTCCCACACCCTGTGTGAAGCCACGGCATGTGGATTGCTCATGCTTCTGGGGATCATTCTCCTGAAAATGGTGGCTCCTTTCTCACTGTGGAGCATCTTTGTAAGCAGTGTCCTTTCTTCCCCCAGGACACTTTACTTCAGGCACAGGAAGCCTTCTGATGGAGCACACCTGGCCCATGAAAAGACAAGGGAAAGAAATGGGGCCAAAGGTCACAGTCCTCTCATTCCATCATCCTCCTTAAAATCATCCTAATTTCATGGGCCCTGAAGCCAGGGCTGTTTCTTTAAAACTAGAGGCCTTGGCGCCGTGCCTCAATTCTGCCCTGTTCCTTACTGTCTAAGAAAGGTTGGGAAAATCCCTAGAGCCAGGATCTTCATTCCTGGTAAGCCAGAGAGCCTGAAGACACACCCAAATTCTGTCCCTCTTACTTCAGGGAACATGTCCACTTTCGTCAGCATTACAATTTTTGCACCAAATGTGCTAACTGCAATTCCACCATACAATGCATAAATGGAAATGGAGGGAACATCTCAGATCCTGAACAATCGATGCGAGAATCCAGGAGATACACGGCTGATTTTTGCGTTTTCCCTGTGAAACAAGGGCCAGTATTAAAAATGGTATGCTATCCTCTGTTTCACTCCCTGCTTTTAAGTCTCCGATGTTTCTTCTTAAGACAGGGCCTCACTTCCTTCCCCCTGACTTTTCTACGGTATAATTTTCGTTGTTTGCTTTTGTCAAAATTAGAACTTTTTATTTCATCTCTATGAAATGTTGATCCATTATCACATACGTATGGAAAGACTATCACCCATGCTGTGAGATACGTTGTTTTTATTTTCATCAATTCTTTAATAAACCAAAGGTTATAGTTGGGATACCTTCCGATTTCTCTAGTTTTTTGTTTCATGTTTTCTTTCTTTTTTTTTTTTTT
This sequence comes from Homo sapiens, assembly GCF_000001405.40. NCBI lineage: Eukaryota > Metazoa > Chordata > Mammalia > Primates > Hominidae > Homo > Homo sapiens. The sequence goes on from NT_187570.1 coordinate 22,798, forward strand.
TTTTTTGAGACGGGGTCTCGCTCTGTCGCCCAGGCCGGACTGCGGACTGCAGTGGCGCAATCTCGGCTCACTGCAAGCTCCGCTTCCCGGGTTCACGCCATTCTCCTGCCTCAGCCTCCCGAGTAGCTGGGACTACAGGCGCCCGCCACCGCGCCCGGCTAATTTTTTGTATTTTTAGTAGAGACGGGGTTTCACTTTGTTAGCCAGGATGGTCTCGATCTCCTGACCTCATGATCCACCCGCCTCGGCCTCCCAAAGTGCTGGGATTACAGGCGTGAGCCACCGCGCCCGGCCGTTTCATGTTTTCTTAAACTGCCATCGCACATCCGAAATCATTCACTATACAATGTCATGACCATCTCTCTTTCCTGGCAAACATAAATTTGGGGATTGTCATCAATTAGTCTCTCAGTGACTGCATGATTTCCACAAAGTCTTTCACAGTCTACTTTGTGCACTGAGTATCTCTTCAAACTTCAGTGTGTTTCTACCATATGATGCTTTATTATTTGGCAACCTAGCTTCCAAAAGAGCATTTCATGCAAAGACTTGTCTTGTTATCCACTGGCAGCTAATTTCATTCGGATAGAGAATCAATAGGCTGAACGTGGAAAGCTTATCGCTGGAAGGTTTGTTTGTTTCCACGGATCTCTCCTTTCTTATTAGGGAAAAAAATACGCTGTGCTAAATACTATACTTCATTGACTATTCTCAGGTCAGAAAGCGCACTTCCGACTTCTTCTCTTTCCGTCGCTGAGAGGATGATGGTAGCTGCCAAAAGCACATACTTGGAGGTTCATCCCAGCACAAACACACACACACAAACACACAAACACACACACACACGGCTTCATAGGTAAAGATTTCTTCCCTGACATTGTTTTACCTAAAATAAGGCAACTGTGTGGCCACTGTCCCAACCTGGTTACACTCATATTACATCTGCCTATCATCCTGAGGAGTAATGTGATTCAGGTGTTCTAGAAGTCATGATGTGGGCTGTGTCTGTTGAATTCCCAGCGATGCAAGGGGACACACCCTGTGACTCATTCCTTAATTAAATGCTGACATTTGATTGGCTTATCGCGCACCTGATGAGTGGGTGAGGTGTTCGCCGTTGGTGGGGGTGAGTTATATAAGGGCTGATGCGGCCAGAGAGCTCGTCATTTGAAGACTCTCTCGGAAGAGATAGAGTCTTTCTGCAACATAAGGTCCCAGCCGAAAAACCTTGTGATCCTTGTTCCGGGCGACATGGAGGACGACTCACTCTACTTGGGAGGTGAGTGGCAGTTCAACCACTTTTCAAAACTCACATCTTCTCGGCCAGATGCAGCCTTTGCTGAAATCCAGCGGACTTCTCTCCCTGAGAAGTCACAACTCTCAACTGAGACCCGCGTCGACTTCTGCGATGATTTGGCGCCTGTGGCAAGACAGCTTGCTCCCAGGGAGAAGCTTCCTCTGAGTAGCAGGAGACCTGCTGCGGTGGGGGCTGGGCTCCAGAATATGGGAAATACCTGCTACGTGAACGCTTCCCAGCAGTGTCTGACATACACACCGCCCCTTGCCAACTACATGCTGTCCCGGGAGCACTCTCAAACATGTCATCGTCACAAGTGCTGCATGCTCTGTACCATGGAAGCTCACATCACATGGCCCCTCCACATTCCTGGCCATGTCATCCAGCCCTCACAGGCATTGGCTGCTGGCTTCCATAGAGGCAAGCAGGAAGCTGCCCTTGAATTTCTCATGTTCACTGTGGATGCCATGAAAAAGGCATGCCTTCCCGGGCACAAGCAGGTAGATCATCACTCCAAGGACACCACCCTCATCCACCAAATATTTGGAGGGTACTGGAGATCTCAAATCAAGTGTCTCCACTGCCACGGCATTTCAGACACTTTTGGCCCTTACCTGGACATCGCCCTGGATATCCAGGAAGCTCAGAGTGTCAAGCAAGCTTTGGAACAGTTGGTGAAGCCCGAAGAACTCAATGGAGAGAATGCCTATCATTGTGGTCTTTGTCTCCAGAGGGCGCCGGCCTCCAAGACGTAAACTTTACACACTTCTGCCAAGATCCTCATCCTCGTATTGAAGAGATTCTCCGATGTCACAGGCAACAAAATTGCCAAGAATGTGCAATATCCTGAGTGCCTTGACATGCAGCCATACATGTCTCAGCAGAACACAGGACCTCTTGTCTATGTCCTCTATGCTGTGCTGGTCCACGCCGGGTGGAGTTGTCACAACGGACATTACTTCTCTTATGTCAAAGTTCAAGAAGGCCAGTGGTATAAAATGGATGATGCCGAGGTCACTGCCTCTGGCATCACCTCTGTCCTGAGTCAACAGGCCTATGTCCTCTTTTACATCCACAAGAGTGAATGGGAAAGACACAGTGAGAGTGTGTCAAGAGGCAGGGAACCAAGAGCCCTCGGCGCTGAAGACACAGACAGGCGAGCAACGCAAGGAGAGCTCAAGAGAGACTACCCCTGCCTCCAGGTACCCGAGTTGGACGAGCACTTGGTGGAAAGAGCCACTCAGGAAAGCACCTTAGACCACTGGAAATTCCTCCAAGAGCAAAACAAAACGAAGCCTGAGTTCAACGTCAGAAAACTTGAAGGTACCCTGCCTCCCAACGTACTTGTGATTCATCAATCAAAATACAAGTGTGGGATGAAAAACCATCATCCTGAACAGCAAAGCTCCCTGCTAAACCTCTCTTCGACGAACCCGACAGATCAGGAGTCCATGAACACTGGCACACTCGCTTCTCTGCAAGGGAGGACCAGGAGAGCCAAAGGGAAGAACAAACACTGCAAGAGGGCTCTGCTTGTGTGCCAGTGATCTCAGTGGAAGTGCCGACCCACACGTAGGGGAGAAAAACACACACACACACACACACACACGGTTTCATAGGTAAAGATTTCTTCCCTGACATTGTTTTACCTAAAATAAGGCAACTGTGTGGCCACTGTCCCAACCCGGTTACACTCATATTACATGTGTCTATCAGCCTGAGGAGTAGTTTGATTCAGGTGTTCTAGAAGTCATGATGTGGGCTGTGTCTGTTGAATTCCCAGCGATGCAAGGGGACACACCCTGTGACTCATTCCTTAATTGAGTGCTGATATTTGATTGGTTTATCGCGCACCTGATGGGTGGGTGGGGTGTTCGCGGTTGGTGGGGGTGAGTTATATAAGGGCTGATGCGGCCAGAGAGCCCGTCATTTGAAGACTCGGAAGAGATAGCGTCTTTCTGCAACCTGCGGTCCCAGCCGAAAAACCTTGTGATCCTTGTTCCGGGCGACATGGAGGACGACTCACTCTACTTGGGAGGTGAGTGGCAGTTCAACCACTTTTCAAAACTCACATCTTCTCGGCCAGATGCAGCTTTTGCTGAAATCCAGCGGACTTCTCTCTCTGAGAAGTCATCACTCTCATCTGAGACCCGCGTCGACCTCTGTGATGATTTGGCTCCTGTGGCAAGACAGCTCGCTCCCAGGGAGAAGCTTCCTCTGAGTAGCAGGAGACCTGCTGCGGTGGGGGCTGGGCTCCAGAATATGGGAAATACCTGCTACGTGAACGCTTCCCTGCAGTGCCTGACATACACACCGCCCCTTGCCAACTACATGCTGTCCCGGGAGCACTCTCAAACGTGTCATCGTCACAAGTGCTGCATGCTCTGTACTATGCAAGCTCACATCACATGGCCCCTCCACAGTCCTGGCCATGTCATCCAGCCCTCACAGGTGTTGGCTGCTGGCTTCCATAGAGGCGAGCAGGAAGATGCCCATGAATTTCTCATGTTCACTGTGGATGCCATGAAAAAGGCATTCCTTCCCGGGCACAAGCATTTAGATAATCACTCTAAGGACACCACCCTCATCCACCAAATATTTGGAGGGTACTGGAGATCTCACATCAACTGTTTCCACTGCCACGGGATTTCAGACACCTTTGACCCTTACCTGGACATCGCCCTGGATATCCAGGCAGCTCAGAGTGTCAAGCAAGCTTTGTAACAGTTGGTGAAGCCCGAAGAACTCAATGGATAAAATGCCTATCATTGTGGTCTTTGTCTCCAGAAGGCGCCTGCCTCCAGGACGTTAACTTTACACACTTCTGCCAAGGTCCTCATCCTTGTATTGAAGAGATTCTCTGAGGTCACAGGCAACAAACTTGCCAAGAATGTGCAATATCCTGAGTGCCTTGACATGCAGCCATACATGTCTCAGCAGAACACAGGACCTCTTGTCTATGTCCTCTATGCTGTGCTGGTCCACGCTGGGTGGAGTTGTCACAACGGACATTACTTATCTTATGTCAAACTCAAGAAGGCCATTGGTATAAAATGGATGATGCCGAGGTCACTGCCTCCGGTATCACTTCTGTCCTGAGTCAACAGGCCTATGTCCTCTTTTACATCCAGAAGAATGAATTTGGAAGACCCAGTTACAGTGTGTCCATAGGCAGGGAACCAAGAGCTCTTTGCGTGAAGGCAAGTGAATTGTGTGTGAAATAAAATGTCATGAATAAATCTTGCAGTGGAGTATTTATTTGTCTCACTTTGTAATCAGTGAATGAGCTTTAACCAATATCAATGCCTAGTGCCTACCCCCCAGAGATAAGAACTTCCACTCTCTTATGTGTAACCATGGCCTCTGGATTGCTTATGACTCTGAAGATAATTCTCCTTTCCCCCAACGTTTCAGAATCACTTCAGGTGGTGGTAACAGATAACACATCAGTCCCTTTCTCTCTCTTTTCTCTTCACTCAGGAAAACTCTCACTGAGACAAAGGAAAATCCTATGGTTTACTGGGGAGGAAGAATTCCCTCAGGAGTGAAATTGGTGGCTCCTTCCTCCCTGTCAAGTCTCTTCCTCAGGATTGCCCCTTTGTCTCTTCAGGACTCTGCTCATCAGGCCCGAGATGCCCCCTGGTTGTGCATACCTGGCCTGTGAAGAAATAAGAGGAAGGAATGGTTCCAAAAACCATACTATGCTCACTCCACCATCGCCCCTGACACCATGCTGACTTCATGAGCCCTGGGTCAGAAGCTGTTTCTTTACACCACTAGGCCTTGCCTCATGGCCTAAAGACGTCCCCATTTCTTACATCTTATAAATTTTGACAAAACCCTCAGAGCCTAAATCTTCATTCCTCATAGGCCAAAGGGAGATACACCAGAATTCTGTCCCTCTGAGACTGCAGGACATATCAGCTTCCATCGACATGAAATTTTGCACCAAATGTAGTTACTGCAGTTCCACTTCACAATGAGTGACTGGAAGTTCAGACAACATCTCAGACTCTATACAGTTTCTATCCAAGCTCATTTGGTTTGACAATGCTTTTACTCTATAAATCAGCTGTGAGAACACTTAGGATTCATATTATTTAGTCTTTTAATCAGTCTGTTATTATTTTCAATGTATTTACTAGACTTTAGTTTAATATTTCTGATAAACTTTGATGCAAAAATTCTCGATATAATAGTGGCAAACAAAATCCAGCAACATATCAAAAAGCTTATCCACCAAGATCAAGTCAGCTTCATCCCTTTGGTGCAAGGCTGGTTCAACATACACAAATCAATAAATGTAATTCACCATGTAAACAGAACTAAAGACAAAAACCCCATGATTATTTCAGTAGACTCAGAATAGATCTTTGATAAAATTCAACATTCCTTTAAATTAAAAACCTCATGAAACTAGGTATTGATGGAACATATCTCAAAATAATAGGAGCCATTTATGACAAACCCAGAGCCAATATCATATTGAATAGGCAAAACCTGGAAGCATTCCGTTTGAAATTCGGCACAAGGCAAGGATGCCCTCTCTCACCACTCCTACTCCATATAGTACTGGAAGTTCTGGCCAAGGAAATCAGGCAAGAGAAAAAAATAAAGCATATTCAAATAGTAAAAGAAGAAGTTGAATTGTCTTTGTTTGCAGATGACATGATCCTATATCTATAAAATCCCATCATCTCAGCCCAAAAGATTCTTAAGCTTACAAGCAACTTCAGTGAAGTCTCAAGATACAAAATCAGTGTGCAAAAATCACAAGCATTCTTATACACCAATAGACAAGAAGAGAGCCAAATCACAAATGAGCTCCCATTTACAATTGCTGCAAAGAGTATAAAATACCTAGGAATACGGCAAACAAGGCAAGTGAAGGACCTCTTCAAGAAGAATTGCAAACCACTACTCAAAGAAATAAGAGAGGACACAAACAAATGGAAAAACATTCCATGCTCATGGGTAAGAAGAATCAATATCATGAAAATGCCATACTTCCCAAATTAATTCATAGATTCAATGCTATTCCCATAAACTACCATGGACATTCATTACAAAATTAGAAAAAACTACCTCAAAATTCATATGGAATGAAAAAAGAGCCCATATACCCAGGACAATCCTAAGCTAAAATAACAAAGTTAGAGGCATCATGCTACCTAACTTCAAACTATATTACAAGGCTACAGTAACCCAACAGCATGGTAGTGGTACAAAACAGACACATAGACCAATGGAATGGAATAGATATATCAGAAATAAGATTGCACATCTACAACCATTTTATTTTTGATGAAAACAAGCAATGGGGAAAGGATTCCCTATTTAATAATAAATGGTGTTTGAAAAACTGGCTAGACATATGCAGAAAACTGAAACTGTACCCCTTCCTTATACCTTATACAAAAATGAACTGAAAATGGATGAAAGACTTAAATGTAAAACCCAAAACTGTAAAAAACCCAACCCCATATAAAAGTGGGGAAAACCAGGGTACAGTGGCTCATGCCTGTAATCCCAGCAGTTTGGGAGGGTGAAGTGGGCAGATAACTTGAGGCCAGGAGTTCAAGATCAGCCTGGCCAAGCTGGTGAAACCACGTCTCTACTGAAAATACAATAAATTAGCCGGATGTAGTGGTGCGGGCCTGTAATCCCAACTACTCAGGAGCCTGAGAGAGAAGAATCACCTGAGTCTGGGAGGCAGAGGTTGCAGTGACCCGAAATTGTGTCACTGAACTCCACCCTGAGTGACAGAGCAAGACTCTGTCTTAAAAAATAAAAATTTAAAAATTTCAAAAGTGAGCAAAGGACATGAACAGACACTTCTCAAAAGAAGACATTTATGCAGCCAACAAACATGAAAAAAATGCCCAACATTACTGATCATTAGAGAAATACAAATCAAAACCACAGTGAGATACCGTCTCATGCCAGTCAGAATGGTGATTATTAAAAAGTCAAAAGACAACAGATGCTGGTGAGACTGTGGGGAAATCGGAACACTTTTACACTGTTGGTGCGAATGTAAGTTAGTTCAACCACTGTGGAAGACTGTGGTGATTTTTCAAAGACCTAGAATCAGAAATACCATTTGACCCAGCAATCCCATTACAGAGTATATGCCCAAAGGAATATAAATTCTTGTATTATAAAGATACATGCATGCGTATGTTCATTATAGCACTATTCACAATAGCAAAGACATAGAACCAACCCAAATGCCCATCAATGATAGACTGGATAAAGAAACTGTGATACATATACACCATGGAATACTATGCAGCCATAAAAAGGAATGAGATCATGTCCTTTGCAGGGACATGGATGAAGCTGGAAGTCATTATTCTCAGCAAACTAATGCAGGAACAGAAAACCAAATACACATGTTCTCACTTATAAGTGGGAGATGAACAATGAGAGAACACAGACACAGGGAGGGGAACAACACACACTGGAACCTGTCTGGGAGTGAGTGGGGAGGGAGTGCATCAGGATAAATAGCTAATGCATGTGGGCTTAATACCTAGGTGATGGGTTGATAGGTACAGCAAACCACCATGGCACACATTTACCTATGTAACAAACCTGCACATCCTGCACATGTAGCCCAGAACTTAAAATGAAATAAAATAAAGTTTTAAAAAACTTTATTCTAACCTTCCAAAATGCAGGGATTACAGGCGTGAGCCACCGTGCCTGGCCCTGTTTTAACATACCTGAACAAGATTTAAGACATCAGTTTGAAAAGAGCCCCTCTATGGCAGCAACATGAATTCTGTCAAACCTGAAGCAAGAACAAACATCAAATTTACGGTGAAGCTGGGGTACAAAAAATGGTGAAATAAATTATTCTTTATGAAAAGTCTATGGGAAAAATGACCTGAAGAATCAGTCATTTACAAATGGATACCTTATTCTAAGAAGAGATAATACAATGTTGAAGATGAAGTCAACAGAGGAGGGACATCCATACCAATTTTTGAGGAAAAAAAAAATCGTTTCTATGCCCTAATTGAGGAGGATTGACAATTAACAAGAGATATTACAGCCAACACCACAGACATCTCAATTGGTTCAGGTTACACAATACTGACTATAACGTGAAAGTTGAGAAACTTTACATTTGATGAGTCCCAAATACCCTTGTGGCTAGATGAGCAGTGGACAAAAGCAGAGCTATTAGTGACTATTTTGAGCAAGCGGAATCAAGATCCTGAAGCATTGTTTTGAAGAATTATAACAGGGAGTGAAACTGGCTTTATCAATAAGATCCTGAAGACAAAGCACAATTCAAGCAATGGCTACCAAGAGGTAGAAGTGGTCCAGTCAAAGCAAAAGCAAACTTCTCAAAAGCTAAAGCCATGGAGGTTTTGGGGATGCTCAAGGCATTTTGCTTGTTGACTTTCTGTAAGATCAAAGCACGATAACATCTGCTTACTAGGAGAGTTCTTAGAGAAAATTAGCAAATACTTTTGCAGAAAAGCGCCCTGTAAAGCTTCACTAGAGAGTCCCTCTGCACCACAACAACACTTCTGTTCCTTCCTCTCATCAAACATGGGTAATTTTGCAAGAGTTTTCATGGGAAATTATTAGGCATCAACATTACAGTCCTGATTTGTTTTCTTCTGACCTTTTTTTCCCTAATCTTAAAATAACTGTAAAGGGCACTCATTTTTCTTTAGTTAGTAAAAGAAGACTGCATTGACACGGTTAAATTCCCGTTACCCTCAGTTGTTTAGCAATGGACTGAATGGCTGGGATCATCCCTTAATGGAGTGTCTGGACCTCAATAGAGCTTATATTGAGAAATAAAGTTTATATTTATATTTTTATTGTTAATTCCATTTTTCACTGACATTTTTAAATCCCTTCACAATTCACCTTTGTCTCAAAGGTATTTAAATTTAGAAATCATATCAAGTGTGAAATAAAGAAAATTAAATAGAGAGAGGGAGAACAGAATCTATAAATATGCATGTTTGTGTACATACATCCATATACATACATATGTGTGTGCATGCAGTAATTTTATTCTCCTAAAGCAATGCCTCTGCCTTCCACCCTCACTGCACATGTCCTAGTCCTGTGATGTCCCTGGAACTGAGCACCTGATTTCCTTCTCTGCCTCCCACATGAACAGGGAATAGAAATGGAAACCACGCTCTGTGGTTGCTGTTGTGAAAATCCATGTTCCCCACAGGCTGAGTTTGGCATCTTACATTCTAGTTCCCATTGTAAAAAAGCAAGCAACAAACAAAAAATACAAAAGAAAAAATAAAATAGTTGAAAGTCTAGAGCCACAGAGTTTCCGGATCCACCCACCGCCCACGGTGACCTCCACAGCCCTCCAGGCCTGAGGACAGCTATGCCTGAACAGCCTGCCTCTTCACCATCCACGCAGGAAAGTGACTTTAAACTTCAATAGCTATTACTCTGTTCCACAAGGAACCAGGTCAACATTCAAATTCAGTGGTCTGACAACTCTAAGCTTTGGCCGGAAAGTATTGGAAACATTTAATGTGCAGTGGATGAAGCAGCCCGGCCCCACTGCACACAACACACTCACGGGGACTCAAAGGAAGAGACTCAGGATCTGCTGGGTGGAACTGAGGACAGACCCAGAAACACAGGGGGTGGGAGGGGGTCAAACCAGGAGGGCTCAGGACCTGACCTCCTCCTAGGCCCTGCCCCTCTGGAACTCGCAGTTTTTTCTGACCCAGAAGTGGATTTCACTGATGGAAAAGAAGTTCAGTATTTCTGGTCCAGCCCAGTAAGCTGCTCCCATTGCCCAGCCTTCCACACCCCTGCAGACGTCACAATGCCTGCACCCACTAACCTGACAAGGGAGCTATGCATCACCTGGAGACAGTCTTAGGCCTGCACTCCTGTGATGGGGTCCAGGGTCTGTGTCCATTTCTGGTTAAAATTGCTGTGAGGCTGGTCGCTGTCTTGGCCTTCCCTGCTTCCTCTCTGTTCACTTCTCCCCTCCTCACTCCATGTGAAGTTTTTACTCAGGAGATGGATTCTCACCCCTCTTGGAACATCAAGGACAGTGCCCGGACACCGCACCATCCCCTTGACCCTGGGATTCTGTAGACCTCAGTCTTCTCCTGAGGTCCCCTCCCTCCCTACCTCATTTTTTCCATACTTCTGGGGCCTGGGCCTGCTACACCTCAGGCTTCCTCTTCACAGTCACAGAGTGAGGGAGTCCCCTTCATCCTTGAGCTCTGGCCACAGCTCACCTGCTGCAAGACACTCAGCAGCTTTCAGTAGTTCATGCAGACATCTAGCTGGAAGTGGGATTTCCTGGAAGGAAAGCAGGAACCCAGAATTACACTGAATTCTAACACCAGGGCCCAGATTCCCCTTCTGCATGGGACACTAAGCTGCAAACACTACATAGGCACTTAATGCTCAGCTGTCCTTCTAACATCTGGTCCAATTGTGTCCCTCCTCCTTGGAATATCTCAGAAAATGTATCTACACCTAGAGTTGTTTGAAAGCATCATCCTATGTGATTGCAGACCATCAGGGGGTGCAGTGGGTCCTCACCAGTATTTCTACTCTTCTTGGAAGACTTAGAATATCCTGCGGCTGCTCAGAGGGTCAGATTCCCATCTCTGTGTTTCAGTAAAACTTCAGTCTTCCCCGGACAAGTGAGGAGACAGAAAATGTCTAGTCTCTGGCACATCTTTTGCAAGCAATGGCGGCTCCCAGGAATCAAAACTATCAACGAATATATTTTTGAGACTCTGGTCAAAAGAAGAGTCATCCTGCAATTTCAGGTAGGATGGAGTGGTTCTGTGGCTCCTGAGGTGATTTTGAAAAGATCTTGACTCTCAGAAGGACCAAGGAGGACATTTCTGGCATTTCCAGACCAGGAAGACTGACTGACGGACCTCCAGTATTACTTGGAAAACTTTTTGTTGGACAGCTTTGTAACAAGAGGATCTTGCTTTGGCTTTCAGGCCTTCACATAGGTTGTTTAGATAATGGAAGTGTTTCTACATTTCTGCATAGGCTTAGGATGCCTTCTCAAGTCGTCCCTGCAATTATGAGACAGTTGCTTTCTCCAGAGGTCACTTAGAATAATACAAGAGGCTTCACCCTCAAAGGGACACCAGACAATATAGCCACAGTTCAGCCAAGATTATCTGTATTTACATACCTGTGAAGTAACACTCCTAGTTATCTCCATTAACTTGGACATCTTTCATGAATAGGGAAACTCTAGTGATTGTTATATAACAGCTGCCACAAAAATTAACCAATAAAAAGAAATGATATACGAAAAATAATTAATAATCATGATAATGAACTCAATGACCTAAATAGTACGAATTTTAATACTGGAGACATTATAAACGTAAGGATACAAAAATTAATGTGGAGCTTCCCCTAAATATATGAAAACTTCACAGACTGTCCTCCTTGTGTAATTTGGAGTCAGAGTCAAAGAATTTCTCTATGAAATGTGTTCCATGATGGCAAACATCAAAAACAGGAGGTGAAAGAAAAGCAAGCCGCAGGAGACCATGGGCTAATATGAACATTTGTGTGCAAACCTCTCTCATCAAGAACTACCAGCCAGAGGTGAAGGGACTGTGATTTGTGTCCTGCCCACCACTGGGCACACAAAAGCTTTCAGTAGTGCAACCAGATGGTTGGTTTGGCCTGGCTCCCTGCAAGGAAGACACGTCTCTGATCCCCACCAGCCCATCAGTCCTGGAACTCAGAATCCTACATGCAGTAAACATGAAGCTCCAACTCCATAGCTGACTTTACCTCCTTACTGTCCTTCTGCCATCTGGTGTTTCAGGTGCTCTCCAGATCTGGACTTCTTGGCTACCCTACCTTTACCAAGTGAACTCAGGATGTATCATTCTCAGTCTTCTCCTGCCAGTCCAAAGTGAAACTCACCAATACAGACATACCCTGAATGGGCTTCCTTGGAATATTTAGAAAACAATGAACTTGCTCAGGGGTGGTGTGAGCTCTAGGAGTAGAGTTACAGTCTCCCATGGAAACCCGAGAGGACTTAGAATATTCCCAAAGGCCTAAGCAGTCCAATCTGTCCTGGAAACATCAGGAATGATATACTCGGTCTTCCTGAGGCTCCAAAATTTTTCTAAATAAACTCAGAGGTTACAGAACCATTTTTCTCTTGAGAACTGAAGTGGAGTTATTTGTCTTCTGCCAGCACTTCAATTTTTTTTTCTCTAAGTTAGATTTTGAGCCCAGAAGTAGATATTCCTTGTATTTGATTTACACAGGGAGCTTCCTAGAATGCCCGTGCCTCTGGATAGTTTCTGCATTCACTCAGGTATTGACAAAATGCTGCAGTTCTACTGAAAATCTCTGAGATGACCATTTGATCACCTGAGTAACTTTAGAATGTGTCTTCTATGGAAGCCCTGGAGCCTCCCTTCTGGTATTTCATACATTGCTGGTACCAAGTACCCAGGGTGAAACCCTCCATCAGACATTGTTGGCAATTCCAGTATGGAGATGACACTAACATGATGGGGCTCAAGAATCAGATGGTACAAGACCAGCTGGGAGGTGAAGTTTCAGTAGGCTAGGGGCTTAATGTTCCATGCACACCAGACTTCTGAGACTCAGTAGGTGGGTATGGATCTGTCTGCCCAGTGCCTCTCATCTACAGCCTGGACCAGCTATTTCTTGGGGTGCACTACTGAAGGCTTTTGTACGAGCTGTGTCAGGCAAGACTCTGGCCAGACCCTTTGCCATAGTCCATTTGTAATGTATTTCCACATGGCACAGGTATCTCCACTTTTGCCCATGCTCTCATGTGGCTCAGAATAATTCTCCGTACTGCCACTCTTCTTTGCCTTCACAGAATATATTTCAAGATGTAGCCCTAAGCTTCCCCATCTAATCAATAACATGAGGGCTCATATGGGAACATTGTCACAGGCTTACAGGAATATGTTCTTAAATATCTGCTTTTTATTACTCTCTTCATTAAATTGACATATCATCACCATTATGATTGTTATTAATGTTATTATATTGGTACAGTTCTTTATCATGGATATATTTGTGGTCATTTTTATGTAATGTTGAAAAATTTTTTTATGTTCCTGAAGACTGTTGAATTTGCTGAAGATGATTAAAAGACAACCTTAAAACATAAATACCACAGCAACCCCAGGACTCCTACTGTACTGCCTGGTGTCCTGTAGAAGAATGGGCTTCCTGAATTATTCTTTTATTTTTCAGGCAAGTACCTATTCATACCAGCATAAGAGACTGATGAAGTGCACCCTCATCTTGCCATGGGCTCAGAAAGAGTTCATACATCGGCTTTATCTGATAGCAACTCTGTGTGTAGGCCTGTGAGTCCTAGAATGCACTTTCTTTCACCAACTAGTCCACGTAACAGTTTTCTAAGTCAAATCCCCTCTCCATGCTTGGATAGGTCATGAATGGCTTTCTGTTACCCACCTAAGATGAAGGGATATTGCCAAATCAGGTTTGTGGCCAAGAAACTTTTACCTGGAGTGGCAGGAGAGGGCCTACCTGTTCACCAGAGTGTCTGTGAATTTTCTTTTTTCTTCCTTTTTATTTTATTTATTTATTTATTTATTTATTTATTTATTTATTGAGATAAAATGTCTCTCCGTCGCTCAGGTTGGAGTCCAGTGTCGCCATCTTGGCTCGCTGCAACCTCCAACTCCCAGGTTCAAGCGATTCTCCTGCCTCAGCCTCCCGAGTAGCTGGGATTATAGGTGCGTGTCACCACGCCCGGCTAATTTTTGTAGTTTTAGTAGAGAGGGGTTTCACCATGTTAGTCAGACTGGTCTCAAACTCCTGACCTCATGATCCGCCTGCCTTGGCCTCCCGAAGTGCTGGGATTACAGGCATAAGCCACCGCACCTGGCCTCTGCAACATTTTCTAAGTCAGTATAGAAGCTCTTTGAACCATCTTTTCAGTCAAAGAACTCATGAAAAAGTCCTCCAAGAACTTGTGACCTTCTGGAAATTGTCAAAATCTCTACAGGTGTCCAGAGTCATCTAGATCTGTATTGCAAGCTACTGACTGGGTTCCACCACTATTAAAGCAAATGCAAAATATGCCATGCCCACCAAAAAAAATCCAGAAGCCGTGGTATTTAGCTGTTTCCATCTTTCTTGCCTCCTGCAGGTGGGAGAGTACTGAGTATCATGCCCTCCTGCAGCCTCTGGAGGACATGCCAGTGCCTAGAGGTACCAGTAGAGAGGGGCCATGAAAGAGCAGATGACAGCCAGGTGGCTGGGAATGACATTGTCCTGGGGCTTATTGCTTGTCATGAACTCTGCCACTGGGCAACATGTGCAGGTGTGGACCCGTGCCTTCTCTGGATCCCTGCCCCATCAGCCAGCTGTCTTATCTCCTGAAAGCTGATAGGTGTTGGTCAGCATGGTGTTCCAGGACCAGGGTTATATTAACATTCCCTCTTAGGCTGAAACACCAGAAGTTAACACAGGAGTCCCCAGGTGTGCACATACTAACCTCCAGATTGTTTTTCTTCTCGTTCTAGATGTTCATCCTTGCTTTTTGGGACTTGAAGTAACCCTACACAGCCAAATATTTATGCCTATTATCCACTTATGGAAAACTTATATGTCCCAAGTCCATAGGGTTAGTATTATTATCAGTATTAAAACCATTAGTACTAGTATCATGATGATCATTATTCCTGTTAATATCCATCAATATTTTTATTACTGCCATTGTTAATATGGATTTTTCATCATTGTACAGCAATGAATATAGTTTATCCATTCACAAATGGTGTTCAGTCACTAAAGATGACTGCAAGGCATGTGCTACAGACATATACACACACAGCTATCCTGGAGACCCAGCTTTGCCACCAATTGCTCTTTCGTAAGTTGAGATCCCCCAGTACCCACCAGTTTTTCAGGACTCAACCTGAGCTGGCTCAGCTAGACCCGGAAAAGTTTCCTATGCCCAAATGTACTTGGAAAAATTTTAAAGTCTCTTCAGGGCCCAGTAATAGCTTTTGGCAGCTTCTAAGATCAGGGAGGGTTTCTTGGCCATTCAGAGCCATTCAAATATTCTAAGTAAACTCAAGGATCCAGAAACCCCACTTGCAGTCATGAAATACCAGTGAATAGCCTCTGTGAGTCTCTTCAAGGTTTTCAAAGATGACTGCCTGGGAAGGCTGGCCAGGAAGTCACCCAAGCCCAACCTTCGGCAGGATGTTCTATATCAGCCAGGGACCCAGGGAATTGCCATTGAACAGAAGGGAGGAACAGAGACAGCACGCCTGAGCTTCTGGAAACATTCTAAGTGCCCTTGTTGGCCCAGAAAAGACTGGTGCTACCATATGAGGCACAGACTTGGCAACCTACCTACTCCAGGAACCACAGAAGGTTTAAAGGTTCCCAGGAAGTCCCAGGAAGGGCAGCCATGGCCCTTTAGAGCCATCAGATTTTATTCTAAGTCTACGTGGGAGACAGTGCTCTTAGCTTCATAAAAACACCAGTGGAGGTGCTAACACTTGCCCCAGTATCCAGTCTTTTCTACCTCATCTCAGAGCCAGCAGTAACTATTTCCCAAAGCTGCTGTGCAATGAAAGGGGAATATTCTAGGTGCTCTCCTGTGCCCACGAAATTCTGTGGCTGTGCTGAAAGGCAGGAGATGTCCTCCGGAATGCTCTTCAGAAATCTGACAACACTGGTCAAGATTAAAGAAGCTCAATTCAACGTCATACAAAACCAATCCCCCCACCCCCCACAAAAAAAAAATGCATAGTGAGACAAAATGATGAACACACCTGCTAATAATCATAAATGACAATAATAACAACAATGATGATCTTAGTGATAATGCCACCAACACTGTTAATGGCAATAACAATAAACCTGAGGTAATGAGTGTTAGGGTCCCGATTCACCGATGTGAAGGATGGCGACAATTTCTGGCCTCACAGAAATAAAGGAAAAGTAAACACCTGGAGGAGGAGGAGGTGAACCTGGAGCTCCCGCCGGCCTCTGGGCGCTCCTTGGTGGAAGGAGAGGGACTTGGTCCTGAGCCTGCCCCGGATCCACCTACACCAGAATCCCAGAGTCCCAGTCCCTGGATGGGCTCAGTCCCACCCAGGCCAGACGCCCCGGAGCCCCGCAGCCCGGGTCCTCCAGCCCTCGCTGCCGCCGCTTCTCGCGGAGCCGGGGCCGCCCCCGCGCCACCTCAGCCTCTGCGTGGCTCTGGGAGGGCAGCGCCGGAGGATGCTCCGGGCCCAGCGGGGGCATCCGGGCCCAGCGGGGGTATCCAGCCTCAGGCTGATACTGACGCCCTGAGGGCGCGGAATAGGGCGGCCTGCGCAGGGCCCGCCGTCTCGGGCCTTGCAAAAAGAGCGGCCTCTCCAACGCCCCTACCGGAACCTCCCCGGAGGCCCCAGCCCCAAAGCCAGGGCGATGGCGCCTTCCTGACAATGGGTGAAGAAAACTCAGGTCCTCCCTGGAGACCCGGCCCGCCGCGGGAGGCAGACCGCGCATGCGCCCTGCATGGCCGGAAAGGTGGGTTTCATTGCCCTCTGCCGGCCATGAGGTGGCAGCACAGGACGTTTGGTCTTAGCGGTGGACCTGAGTCTGAATCACTGAAATTCAGGTGTGGATTATTCAGTACTTTCTTTTGGAAGATCAAATGGAAATTGAGTACGATATCTTGTGCTTTAATTAAAGAAGATGGAAATAAAGAAGCAAATTCAAAAATCAGTATACAAAAGTCGATTGATTCCCTCTATGTGGAGGGAAGACGAGCTTGAATAAGAGAAGCATTCTGTGTTACGCTTTAATAATGGCTGGAGATCTGCCACCATGCATTTGTCAAATCCCATAGAATTTCACAGCACAAATAGTACATCTTAATGTGGCTCAGGAGTACATATAATGTCAGCCACAGTTTGTGGGTAAATTACATATTTAATTAAATAGATTAAACAATAAATAATGATATGAGCTCTGCCTGGACACAGTCCTTGCCTCTCCAACCAGTTTGCCAAGGGCTTGAATTTCTTGCTCATTATCCTCACACTTGACATAAACCCTGGCTGCAGAGTAAAATCAATCACTCGTGGAGATTTTTTAATATGATGATGTGTCAATTTCAACCATGGATAAGGCCATTTAGCCTTAGTAAGGCCGATCGTATTAAGATTCTGCCTGTTTGACAAAATTTCAAGTCATCCCACTTGATATTCAGGAAACATTTTCTCTTGAGTTTTAGGTTCAGTGGTGAGGCTCCTTCACGGACAATACATTTTCCAATTCTGAGGACAAGGCAGAGGAGGGCCCCTCTGTGAGAACTTTCATTTTGCTTCGGGAAAAGTACATTGAATCAAATATAGAAAAGGCTTGCAAGGTGGCTGACAGGTTCGGCTGTTTTATCATGCTGGTGTTTTATCTTCTGGACTGCAGTAAAAGGAGCACAGCTGTGTCTGTCTCTGTGTAATAACTCAGGACTCACCTGAATAAAATGTGGGGTGTCATGAGATGAACTGCTACTTCCAGTTAGAGAGGCTCCAGGGACAAAATTTCAAGAGCCTTCTGAGGGATAGAAGAGAAGAGCTGCCTTATTCTCTGATCCCAGGTAACTGCTCAGAGACAGAGGCAAGAGCTGGGGACACCCAAATGCATATACTAGGGGTCTTTGATACAGCCTCCATTTCCCTGCTAAATCTATGCAATGACAAACTGAGAAATCTAGCAAGTGGGGCTGAAGATCCCTGGTGTGTCAACTCGAGGGTTGGATGGAAACAAGTGGTTTTGGTGGACGTTGAAGTAAAGGGAGGTGAGCTGTGAGGAAAGAGCTGTTGAAGACTGGGGAGACTCAGAAGTTGGGGTAGAATCTCCACCAAGAATCTCACCCAAGGAGTTCAGATGCAAATCAGTTTGTTAGGGCTGCATAAATGAAACAAGGGCTTCACCAACATACTAAGTTTTTTCAACAACAGATTGTATTCTTTCAATATTTGTAAGTATTGCTCTTTTGGAAAAGTTTAATGAGATTTCTTATATAATTCTGCATTCAATTTATTCCTTGGTCACTTTGCTATTATGCATTTACATGCCACATTTTTATGAATAGATATTTTCTCAAATTTCTGAATTATTTTGCTAAAGTATGTGTTAAGAGTTTTTTCTAGAGGTCCACCTTCTTGACTCACTTTTCTGATGAGAAATCTATCAGGTTTCTCCACAGTGATTTTCAAGTTTGATAGCTCCTCAACGTGAGAAACTTAATGTCAACTAAGAAATGAATTACCACTAAAGAATTTTCTTCTTTCAAGATGCTAACCCTGTTTTGTCCAGTGTGAAATCTCACATGTGCCACATGTGTTGCTCTATGAAGAAAGGATTTCTCATGATTTTTCATTGCATAACTTCTCCAGTAAGAAGTATTTGGTATTCCAAGAGAATTCATTGCCCTTGGAAAGACTTTCCCTTGTTATTTAGCTTATGAAGGCTTTCCTCTCTTATTTTCCATTTTAGCAGCATTTTGTCACTCTTCTCTTGTGAACATCAAGCCTGGTGCTTGGCTGAATGTTCATTCACAGAAAAATACAAATAAAGGGTTCATCCAAGTAAAGTTTTCTCATGTTATTTGACAATAAATTGCAAATAAAAACATTTTCACACTGAATGCAGAGTTAGAGATTCTCTACCTGAAAGTCCCACATGTTTTAAGTTAAAGCTGTTGCTGAAGACTTTTAGTTGATTATGCTGACAGTTTCAGCTCTCTCATGTCATTTATGCTCAGATCACTAACAAGTCTTTGGTACATACATGTCATACAATTTCTCTTCCATATGAATTTATTGATGTGGGCTGAAGAATAAAGGCAACTGAAGTATCTTCCATGTTGATTACAGTAATTCTTCAAAATGTGAGTCCTTTGGCATGTTTAGATGCTACAACTACAGCTGAAGTCTCTTCCACATTCCTTACCTTCGTCATTCCTAACACTGTGTCATCTAAAGTCAGAATATGTTCTGAAGAAGTTTATAATTTTCTCTCCAGGGTGAATTTTCTGATGCTTTTTAAGATTAGTACATTGACTGAAGGCTTTCCCACATAAATGGCATTCATATGGCTTTTCTCCAGTGCGTGTTCTCTCATGTCATCTAAGGTCGGAAGACAGACTGAAGGCCTTCCCACATAGAAGACAAGCATGTGGTTTCTCTCCAATGTGAATTATTTTGTTTCCTCTAAAGCCAGAGCTTTGACTAAAGGCTTTCCCACTTTTATCACATTCATAACACTTTTGTCCAAGGTGAGTTCTCTCATGTCTTCGAAGGTTAAAGGATTGAATAAAGGCTTTCCCACATTGATGACACTTATATGGTCTCTCTCCCGTGTGAGTTTTCTCATGTCTTCTAAGGTGAGAACACTGAGTGAAGGCTTTTCCACATAGATGACATGCATATGGCCTCTCTCCAGTGTGAGTCATCTTGTGCCGTCTAAGGTAAAAGCAATTAGTATAGGCCTTTTCACATAGATTACATTGATATGATTTACCTTTAGTATGAATTTGTTTACGTGGTTTAGGGGACAAAAGATTACGAAGGGATTTTCCACACTGTTTGCTGACACAGGGTTTCTTTCCACTGTGAGTTAACAAACACTGAGTTATTGTGGAACTGTGAGTGCAATCTTCTCCCGAATCATTATATTCAAAAGGATCCTCCAGAATGAGAGAGTTCTCCTTTGGGACAAAGATTAAAAGCTCTTAATGGTTTACCCACATATATCTATACATTCATTTCACTACCTTTGAATCCTAGACCAACCATTCAGTGGTAGACCCCAGTTGAAATCTTTCCAATGTTTCTTGTGTGAAAGGAAATTAAATTTGGGGACCCCAAACTCATTTAACCAAAGGGAAAAATCAAGCTGGGAACTGGGTCACACAAACCTGCCTCCCCCTTCTGGTTCCTAAATAATATGACTACAAGATGAAAAGCTACATGCCTCCCCCATATTTTGCCCACAAGGAAATTCCTCATGAGCTGTTAAAATTACACCATGGCAATGCAAACTGATAACTTGTCTTTACAGGTGCAGTCATCCCAAGTTCACCAGACACAAATGCATATCTGATTGTTTCCCTGCCCCCATTCTGCCTATGTTGTCTTATGTAAAATGCAGCTTTCCTGCATTATTCCTCTGCCTCATTTGTTTATGTCATGTTATGTAAAAAAATCCAGATTCACTGAGCCAGAAAAATGCATGAATGACTATTTTTTCTACCCACCTTTTACATGAAAATTGTGTACTTCTCAATATCCCAGCCTTTCCCCTTTGAATTTGGAGCCTTCAAAATCATCTTTGGAGAAAGGCATACACCTGTCCCCTGGGTGCATGTCCTTAACTTTGGCAAATAAATCTCCTAAAATGATTGAGACTTGTCTTGTCATTTTTCTCGATTGACATTTGCATACACATTATCTCCTGCAGACACAGGTATGTTCTCTTCTGTAAGATCTCAACTGCAGAGTTATTGCATAATTGTGATGATATCAATATCTTTCAATGTCTGGGCATGAGCAATGTATATGCACTTGCTCTATTTTAGAGATCTCATGTTATGATTTAGAACAGAGGTCAATGTATTCACTAAATTCAAAGTCTCCAGTTTTTTTCTTTGCTTAGAAAGCACTTAATGCCAGCCTAATTACACTCAGGTGATTGTGCTTCATTATTAACTTAACCCATTACCATATCTTTAACTTAGATGACTGGTGTACACAGCTATAAAACTTACCATTGTCATACTGGTGGATGTGTCTTTTCTGATGATAGGATGCATGGATATCATGTGTTTTTTCTTAAGGGCACTTTCCCTGTCTGAAATAATTGAAAAATAAATTGTTACATTGGTATTATGGTAATAAAATTGTTTGAAAAGCCCCAAGGCCCATTTACTTTTTTTCAAAAATTGACACTTAGATGTGGCAAGTGTGTCAAATGAAGAAACTACTTGAATAGAAGAAATAGATTGTACAGTGTCAGCAATTAGAAAAGATTTTTAAAATTAAAATGTGAAAAGAGTTAAAATGGAGATGAGATATCAGGCAAGTAAATAGAGGGATAGTCTTCACAGGGGTATCAGGGAAAGGGTCAGCATATGAAAGTTTAACCCCAGCCAAGTACATGAATTGTCTTTTTCCCAAAAGTAAAAGAAAAGAAAAAAAAGAGGACACAAGAGTAACATCTGACACATGAACAAAATGATAATAACATCTAAGGAATTCTGCTCCAGTAGCCTAACCTACATTTTAGAAATTATCACTCATTTAATAAAACCACTAATTAATATTCAACTGATATTATTCATTGAGAAAGCACCTCCTCCTATTAGGACACAGGACCCTGTTGCTTACCTGGATTCTGGTCTTGAAGAAATACTCTTCCTTCCCACCACAGCTCTTTTCCTTGCTCCAGCTGCAAAATTATATAGGATTTGCTTATCTGGTACCCTGTTAGTGGAAAGAATACATGTGTTTTGAGTTCACTGTCAATAAATGTGCATTATCACCAAGTGTAAGGCAGGCTATCAAGGAAGAATAAAAACAGTGAAGGTCAGCTCAGGCCACAAGACCTAGAACACAGAAAACTCCCCAGGATTTTTCTGACCCAACTTGAGACTAGAAAATAAATCCAAACCAAAGGGCCATCAGGAAAAGGAAATTCAAAACAGTCAGGACCTATGAATGCTGAGTCCATGCCTAAGTTCCAAGACACAATGCATAATACACAATCTTTTCAGAAAGAGAGTAATTAAATCTCTGCACATTGTGTTTATTATTATTCTCACGCAGAACAAAAAAAAACATTCGATTTACAAAAATAATTGGTGTTCTATATGGAAAAGATATTGCTATTGTTTTCACTAATTGGTCTCAGCCTAAGCATAGACTAAAGCAGAAGAGTTATTTAGAGAGTATTTAATTTAATACATTGAAAATATTCATTATGTTCCCAGGTCTGTTATGAGTATTAGAGACTGAGTACCAAAGACACCATGAAATACTTGTCAAGATTACATTCTAATTGAGTGACAAACTAAATAAAATAAAATAAAAAGAAAGATATTTATTTAAGATAGATTTAGAGAGTTCAAACTTTTTTCAGATGAGATCTCTGAGAGAATCAGAGAAGAGATTAGAGTGAGATATGGGGAAGCTGTTCTAACACTTATTGAATGAATGAGCGAATGTGTGTCTACATATGTACGTGAATGTTGAGGGACTCACCGAGGGACACCAGGTGACTGATATTTTCCAGCATCACATCTCTGTACAGCTTTCTTTTGGATGTGTCCATCATGTCCCACTCTTCCTGGGTGAAGTCAATAGCTACATCTTCAAAAGTCACTTTCTCCTAAAACATCACAGACATTTTAGTTTAGACAGAGAAATCCCTTTCAATGTCCGGAAGAGGAAGGCTGAGATGATATAGCTAGGAGCTGGGTATGCAGAATACTCAGTGTTTTTGGTTCCAGCCAGTTCATTCTCAGTACTAAGCTGGTATCTGCCTTTCAGATTCACTCACAGAGATATACCCACTCTGAATCCATTAAACTTTACTATAAAGAAATATTGCATGAGGTGTGGCATAATATAACACAGATATTTTTCAGTAATGTGTTAATCACCTCTACATAACTGCTTATAAAATTTTCACTTGAACATTCATAAATAAAATGAAATTTACCATGAATTTCAAGTAAATTACAGATTTGTCACAAGGCAAATAACCATGATTTACTACTTTTTAAACATGACTGCGATGAAATAAATTATTTCTCTAGATGAAAGACAGGTTTCTCCCCAATCAAATGGTTAAAAGACCAATGATGTGTTTTGAATAATCTAATGAACTAATAGAAAATGTGTTTCCTACCTAGCAAATATTTATTAAATATAAGTCATTGGTCCCTTATTCATTCAAAAGTTAGAAAGTAATGAACCAGACTCCAGCATTCTTCAGAACTGAACGCTTTATGCAGAATATAGGATTCAATTCATACATATAGTCTCTCTAATGTTATATAATTCAGGTGTTCATGAAAAGGCTTGAAGACAGTCTAGCAGCACAAGACAAGACTGCTGAGGCTGCTATACTGAGGAAATCTTAGTCCGATGATTCCTGTGATATGAAGCCTCCTGTTCTCAACTTTCTCTCGGCAGTCCAAACATCAGTTATCATTGTTTCTCTTTTAAATTGACCTTCTCACTTCACTTGTTCAAAGATTAAGAAAGCCTCTTCATTGTTTTTTTTTTGTAACCAGCCCTTATAAAGCATTTCCACAGAACCCTAAATTGTACTCTATCTACTATATTCCTTCTTCTGAGTGTGCAACCATAATTAAATAATTATATTTCCTATATGTTACTTTCACTTACCAGAAGGCAAAAAAGTTAATTACCAAAAGGTAAAATAAATGGGGATAAGAATAGTAATGACTTCTTTAGTTGTCCTTTCACAAAGTTTTTAAAAGCTCAAATATATTTTATAAAACTCTTCTTTTCCCTCAACACTGCACAGCTCTTGCCCAAGTCCTATCACACTGGATTTATTGAACTCAGCTGCTAGAACATCAGACTCATTGTTGGGCTGTGATGTTCTGCTCTTCACTCATCTCTGTCATCTACATTCATCACAATCCTAAGTCTATTTCAGCCAACAGTACAGTTAATGGGTCAATTATTTCCCTATGAGATTATAGGATGGATAGAAGAAAAAGAAATATATAAATGAAACCTCTCATATCTTTTTTTGTAAATAGTCTTAATAAGGGCTGGAATAAAGTAGTGTAATATTAGAAATTATATTGATAATTTAGGAGTCTTTGACACACGATACCCAACCTAGAGTCCTGAGAAAACTTAATTGGAGGCCAGATACCTGAAAGCCTCCTGACTGCATTTGGAACACCCAGGCTGGGTGGATTTTACATCATAAAAACAAACAAAAAAAGAATAAAAATGAAACACCCATGCAAATTGGAGAAAACTGCCCATTTGCCAGCAATATGGGTATAATTTCAGTAGAAAGAGGCATCCCCTACTCACTAGTGAATGCATTGTCAGGAACTCAGTTTCTCTCTGTCTTCCTCTGGATTTCCACTTGCAGACACTTTAGGCACTAAGAAAAGCTGAGGTTGGAGAAAGAACATGTGAGACACCAGTCTTGTGCACAATTTTCAGATCAACCTGTGATGAAAAGCCAGACTTTCACTGAAGTGTGACACCAGCTGCACCACAGCCTAACCAACAGACACAAACACGCAGAGGCCTCTCCTCTTTTCCCGTGGTCAAAATTAGGAAGCCTATGACTATGGTTGCTAATAAACAAGGAACACAGATATCTTGTGAATGAGAACATCAAAAGCACGGAGTTTTGTATGTTAATTGGCACAAGTCCAGATATTCAATTCCCTCACTGATTTTAAAACACAGGGATCCCTGACTCCATCCACATGTGGAATATGATTTCCACCTATAGATAAACACTGGGATTTCTCAGATTTTATTATCCTAGCTTTATGCCCTAGCAACGTTTCTCCAACACCCACCACAGCCTTCTGAAGCCTTACTCCACTTTTATTTTCACTCAACTCTGACTTTTGTATTTCCCCTTGGAACGTGGAAATAATCAAGTAAGAATCTGTTTTAGGGTCGAGTGCGGTGGCTCACGCCTGTAATCCCAGCACTTTGGGAGGCCAAGGCAGGTGGATCACCTGAGGTCAAGGGTTCGAGACTAGCCTGGCCAACATGGTGAAACCCCATCTTTACTAAAAATACAAAAATTAACTGGGTATGGTGGTGCTTGCCTGTAATCCCAGCTACTCAGGAAGCTGAAGCAGGAGAATCTCTTGAACCCAGGAGGCAGAGATTACAGTGAGCTGAGATCCCACCACTGCACTCCAGCGATGGCGACAGAGTGAGACTCTGTCTCAAAAAAAAAAAAAATCTGTTTTAGGATGGGGATAATGAATTGAGGGATTTATTTCACTTAGAGGGTCAACACTCCCATCCTGCTAATCTAGCCCTTAAAATCTCCTGCATCGGAAATTAGCAGGAGTACCCTGAGTCATGGTGTTTCTGTCCTGTGTATACAATCACAATCGTCTAGGATGCTCAGAAAATACAAAATGACATAGGGGTGGGAGAAATTTAGCAGCTCAATCTGATGTTTCACTAACGTGGTATCTAAAATTCTTGCAATCATGGTTTATATTAGTCTTTGTTAGCTGCAATATCTGTGATTATCATGATACATATTTGCTGAGAAATACCCATGTCCATGTATATATTCGTACATAGATATGTAGGTATATAGGTGCATATGTTTATATGAGTGTATGTGTTTGAGACAGGGGGAAACATGCATGTATTATTTCCTTGCTAAAAATATAAAAATAATTAAATATATTTTATGTGCAAGTGATAATTATGTGTCATAAACAAAAAATTTACTGACCCATTTGTACATGAAGTCCAGGAAAAATAAAAAGGGTAACTTTGTATTAATTGTGACATTGTGCTTACAGATGTACATATATTTCCTTATTTAACCCTCATAATAATCCTGCTGATTATAATTTATTTACCAATTTAATAAATGATCAACAGGGTTTGAATAATATGACAAAATTACAAAATTAGAAAATGGCCCAGCAATACTTTTAATTATATTCTGCCTGTCACTGCCTCTTCTTGCTTTTTGACAAAATTACTCCCCTAACCAAGGTTCTCTATGATTCTGGGGACTCCAGCATTTAGACCCCAGTTCCCAAACATCATTGTGTCTATTTTTACTGCCACATTTAATGCACATTTACAGACTTCAACAAGCACTTTTCAATATCAACTTTTTTCTTATTCCTTGAACTATTTTCTACATCTGTTCATCAAGACTCCAGTAACATATGACTCCATCTGCCTGTCCCTTCCATGAATGTACCTGACAGTACATGTATTATGTAGCCTACAATTTAAGCAGAACAGATATTCCTTCAAAAAAAATAAGATATTAGAGAATGCCGACAAAGCTTCAGTGTAACCAGCTGTAACCCTTAATATTATTACCATGTAAACTCTTCCTCGAATATCAAAATAAGATTTGGGCTTTAGAGAATATTTGTGTGTAATTATAACCCAAACATGAACTAAAAGTAATTTAACTGGTCATATACAGACCGTGCCAGGGACAAAAAAGGACAAATATTATAAGAAAGTTAAAGCATACTTATTTCATAAAGGACTCTTGTGTGGAATCTATCAAAACGATTTCAAGATGTAGAGATTAAATATATTTTAAACCACATACATACACAAGCAATCTTTAGGAGAAACTTTTAAAAACTTATGTTATAGGTCTAAAATTTTCATTAATTCATGGAAAAAAAATGTATTGACAAACTTTTCACCAGAGCAGAAATAACAACTTATGTATTTGGTGACTTCAAGATGAGAGCCTGCACAGCTTAGTATCTCCCTCCAGTTGTCTCTCTCTCTCTCTTTTTTTTTTTTTTTTTGGTAGAGTTTCACTCCTGTTGCCCAGGCTGGAGTGCAGTGGCGCGATGTCGGCTCACCGCAACCTCCACCTCCTGGGTTCAAGCAATTCTCCAGCCTCAGCCTCCTGAGTAGCTAGGATGACAAGCATGCGCCATCGTGCTCGGCTAATTTTGTATTTTTAGTCGAGACGGGGTTTCTCCATTTTGGTAGGGCTGGTCTAGAACTCCTGACCTCAGGTGATCCGCCAGTCTCCGCCTCTCAAAGTGTTGGGATTACAGGCGTAAGCCACCGTGCCCGGCCCAGATCTCTTAAAAAGTCATGAGGAATGAGCCATTCTGCATCCTCAATATTACCTTAATATTTTAAGGGCACCCGTAAAAATTAAGAGGCCAACTTGTGACTTCTTAGCCCTTTCACGGCTATTTAGACACACGTTAGTGAAGTATTAGGAATGCAGTATTAGGTCTCAAGTTCCTGGACAACAAAACCATGTTCTCCAACAGATCTTCAGTAAAAATAGCTGATGTCTATATTGTTTTGCCTGTCCTTTCCCTTCCTTTTAATTCAGAACTGCAGTCTCGAAAAGTGCTATTATTTAGTAGATTCTCTCAATTCTCAACACCAGTGCTATACAATGTTGAATGACATCTGAGGTGCTAGGGAAACAGCAGCTCACATTCTAGCAATGGAAAAATAGAAAAGCAAAGATCACCACAGAGTAAAAGAGAATAGATTTTTTTAAAGTATGAAACCAGAACGAATATATATCAGATTACACTATAAATGGAAAATCCTATTATCTTGACGGGATTGCAAGTCAGATTACACTATAAATGGAAAATCCTATTATCTTGACAGGATTGCAAGCCTCTCATGGCTTCCAACCTCCAATATATTCAAAGCAGTTCAGGAATGGTGAAAGTGGAATGGAATTTAAAATTATTCTAAGGTTTTATGTGTGAAAGCATCATGCCCTGAAACAAAATATTTATTTTTAAAGTGCATAATGAACACTGCATACAAAGTTTGTGTAACAGGAGAGAGGAAATATCTCACATTTAAAAAAAAGGAATATGCAACATATTTACATACAATAAAATTAAATTAAATTAAAATACAGCAATGGAAGACAGAATCTAACATCTGAAAATCAAGGGAGAAATCTATTTTAAATAAACTTGTCACAATTTTAAAAGTAAGTTATGAAAAATAATAATACCTGAATATAGTACATAAAAGTACCAATACAATAAAGCTAAAACAATATCGATGGAAAAATTATTTGCTGTGCATTATTTTAAAAAAATAATCTAAGTACTTACCTCAATAAGGTAAAAGAATGAAATTTAAAAATTGCTTGAGAAAATCTGTGAAAGGAAATGAATATAGAGAAGCAGAATATAATTTAACTATAAACCACACAAATAGAATTTAAAAATAAGTGGTAGCCAACATGCCCAACACGATTTTCTGTGATGAAAGAAATTCTCTATATCTGCATTGTCCAATGCAGTAACTACCACACATATGTAGTTACAGAATTTCTAGTTTGGCCAAGACTTTGGCTATTACTACTAAGGATATGTCATTTAGTTATTTAATTATAATTAATTTACAGTTTATAGTCACATGTGACTAGTAGTTACTATATTGGCCAATGCAGATCTAGAATCTTGGAGGAGGCAGTTCAAATAATGAGATATGGTCAAAATAAAAGTGGAAAAGGCACACAAATAGTGAACACAGATTATGAGAATGTGAAGTAACAATTCACACAATAAAATGTAATAATGAGATGCTGCCTTGATGGGACAAATGTCTAATGATATACAAGGCTTGTCTTGTTACAGGTAGAAGAGCATGAGCAGGGCAGGAGAGGGCTCTTCCCCTACCCACTAGAAATGTCAGGTGATGGCCTGTCAATTATCACATTGCCTCTCTAAAAATGATAATTAGGCAGCACCAAAGAGAGGCCATTTCCTGATGGTCTACACCTGTTAACATCAAAAATGTTAGTTAAATGCAGACCTCAGGAAGAAGCAACTTCTTGGGCATGCATGTTAAGAGACAAAAATGGCAAAGCATAATCTTCCGGGGGCACACTCCACCGGAAAAGGAAAGAAAGCTTCAGATGGACATGCATATAACTCCCTAAACACACCGTGCATGCTCAATTTCAAAGGGTAAGGAAAACACTGTGCAAGCCGGAAACGCTCCCTAAAGTTAGAATCATGGGAAAGAGGAAAACCCATGGCAGGATCAAGGTTAAAGGCTCTTCTCTTTTCTTTCTTGGACATTCAGGCATCTGTTCGGGTCTCTTCCAAGAGAATTTTCCTCTCCTTCCTGTTCTAAAGCCTTTTTAAATAAACTTCCACTCCTGCTCTGAAACTTACCGCTCAGTCTCTTTTTCTGCTGTATGCCCTTCAGTCAAATTATTTCTTCTGAGGAGGCAAGGACTGAAGTTGCTTATGGACCCATGCAGATACGCTGCCAGAAACTGGAATCTCTTCTACTGGTAACAGTACCATTGTAAGGGAATGAGGTCAGTTCACATCTCAGTGCTTGGAGAACTCACCAGAAATAAAAAGTTGGAGGATGCAGTGAACTTATCTACCTTCCAAGGCAAGTCCCACAAGCAAGCAGCAAGACTCTCTTTCCCCAAGGTCGTATAGCAAAGACATGGAATCAACCTAGATGCCCATCAATGTTAGAGTGGATAGAGAAAATACAGTATATGTACACCATGGAATACTACACAACCATAAAAAAATTATGTCCTTTGCACCAACATGGATGCAGCTGGAGGCCATTATTCTAACATAATGCAGGAAGAGAAAACCAAATACCATATGTTCTTAGTTATAAGTGAGAACAAAGCGTTGGTTACACACGGATGTAAAGATCGGAACAACAGGTACTGGGGACTACTAGAGGGGGAAGGGAAGGTGGGGACAAAGGCCTTAAAAACTGTCTATTGGGTATTATGTTTTCTATCTGGGTTACAAGATCATCCATACTCCAAGCCTCAGCATCACACAATGTGCCAATGTAAAAACCTGCACATGCATCTCCTGAATCTAAAATAAAAGTTGAATTCTTTTTTTAAATGCTCAAAGATCTGGCTAACATGGTGAAACTCTGTCCCACTAAAAAAAGAAAAAAAAAATTACAAAAAATTAGCTGGGCATGGTGGTGGGTGCCTGTAGTCCCAGCTACTTGGGAGGCTGAGGCACGAGAATGGTGTGAATCTGGGAGGCGGAGCTTGCAGTGAGCCGAGATCACGCCACTGCACTCCAGCCTGGGTGACAGAGCGAGACTCCATCTCAAAAAAATAATAATAATAATAAAAATGAGCAAAGATCTGAGTAGACATTTCCCAGAAGAACAGATACAAATGGCCAACAAATATGTGAAAATATTCTTACCATCTCTAATCATCAGGGGGATGCAGATAAAAACCACCATGAAATATCACCTGATACCTCTTAGAATAGCTATTATCAAAAAGATGTATAACAAGTATTAGCGAGGATGTGGAGAAAAGATAACCCTTGTATACTTGCGGTGGAAATACAAATTACTATGTCCATTTCAGATAACAGTATGAAGGTTTCTCAAAAATTTTTTAAATAAAACTACCTGCTGATGAGGCTGCTGAGATATAAGAACACTTTTACACTGTTGGTGGGAATGTAAATTAGTTCAACTATTGTGGAAGACAGTATGGTGATTCCTCAAAGACCTACAACCAGAAATACCGCTTGACCCAGCAATCCCATTACTGGGTATATACCCAAAGGAATATAAATCATTCTATTATAAAGATACATGCACACATATGTTCATTGCAGCACTATTCACAACAGCAAAGACATGGAATCAACCCAAATGTCCATCAGTGACAGACTGGATAAAGAAAATGTGGTACGTATACACCATGGAATACTATGCAGCCATAAAAAGGAATGAGATCATGTTCTTTGCAGGAACATGAATGGAGCTGGAAGCCATTATTCTCAGCAAACTAACCCACGAACAGAAAACCAAGCACTGCACGTTCTAACTTACAAGTGGGAGCAGAACGGTGAGAACACATGGATATTAGGAGGGGAACAACACACACTGGGGCCTGTTGGGAGGCAGGTGGAGGGAGAGTATCAGGATAAATGGCTAATACATATATGCAATGGAATATTGTTCAGTGTTCCATAATAACGAAACCCTGTCATTTGTGACAACATGGATGGACTTGGAGGGCATTAGGTTATATGAAATAGGCCAACCACAGAATGACAATTACTATATTATTTCACTTGTGTTTGAAATCTAAAATCGACAAACTCACAAAAGCAGAGAGTAGAATGGTGGTTGCCAGGGGCCCTGGTGCTGGGGAAATGGGTAGATGTGGTTAGAGCACAAAGTTTCAGATATACCACGTAAGTAAGTTCTGGAGGTCTCGTTTACAGCATAGTGCTTACAGCTAAGAATACTGTATTAAATACTTAAAATTTGCTAAAAGGGTAGATTTTGTATTCTTACCAATATTTCTTACCAAAAAAAATAATAATAATAAAGGGGAGGGGACTTAGGGAGGTGAAGGATATGGTTATAATCTTGATGGTAGTGATGTGTTCATGGTGTATACTTATCCCCAAGCTCACTGAGATGTACACCTTAAATATGTACAGCTTTTTAAATGTAATCATCACTCAACAAAGTCGGTTAAAATAAAACAAGAGGGGGTTGGTTAAAAAACTTAAAAGGAGGGGTAGATGTTCCCTTGTTTTTTTCTCTTGGCTTTTTTCCTACCTGCTGCCTGGAATTCAAAAATGATAGGTGGGGATTTAGCAGCCAAACTAGAGCCTCTTTTACACTATAGCAGAACAGAGTGCTGGAAGGGGCCTGCATCCCTAATGAATTTGGCAGGTATCTGTACTAGCCATGGTAGGTAGAACTATAGATTTAAGTGAGGGAGAAACAAACTTCTGCCTTGTTTAAGCTACTTTGTTCAGACATTAATTTTATATACATATAGAGAACATATGCTCCTTTATGAGTAGGAAAAATGTTTATGCCATATGGTCCATGATGGGTGTTCAACAATGTAGGATGAGGCTGATTATGATGACAATGGTGACAAATAGCATGAAATAATAAGCAATGAAAATAAGGTGGCCTCATAGTTGTGTATGGTTACTTTATTTAAAGATTCTGCTGCTAATATCATTCAATGTATTTGTATGCTGGTGGGAGTTTTGTTAGATGTAGACTAAGAAAGTTTACATTATTTAATGAAAAATACTTGACCAATTTAAAAAAAAATAAAAATATCATGAGATGGAACTAAGCATCTGTATTGCAAAGTAACTCTCCCAGTTGATTTTCTGCATAGTAATGATTGAGAATCCCCTGATCTAGATCCAATAGATCTCGACCTTTATAGGTGCTATCAAGGAAGCACCTAAGGAAGACAATTTTCCTG
The DNA here is from genome assembly GCF_000001405.40 of Homo sapiens. Lineage (NCBI taxonomy): Eukaryota > Metazoa > Chordata > Mammalia > Primates > Hominidae > Homo > Homo sapiens. Next base: position 55,145 of record NT_187570.1, read on the forward strand.
ACTATATCCATACCTCCAGTTAGTAATAGATCTAGAGATCTAGAACCCAAATCCAAACCTCCTGCCTCCACGTGCGGTGGTCTTTCGCTGTTGTTTTGTTCCACTTGGTGAAGAGGATTTGAGAATAAATAGCCACATGATTCAACTCCCTCCTCAGTTCTGAGGAATATAGCCTTGTCCTAGCAAGCAAGAAGTTCATACAGTAGTGGATGAGGCAAATATACATTCACTAATCTAACATACAAGGCAGTAAGTACTGTAACATAAACAAAGCACTTTGGAGTTTCAGACCAGGAGCAAGTGGGGTGATTAATTCTTAGCAGGGCTAGTAAAGTCTGGGAAGTGTTCACTAACAAAATGTCTGGTCATTAATGAAACCAACTGGTTTCTCAACACAGTCTAATTTACTGTAACAATATAAATGGTTGTTTGTTCATAAACTTTCATCTTTTGCCAAAATGTAGCTTATGTCCCCATTTAACAAGGTTTTCTGGCCAAAACTGTGCACCCACATCATTCTAATGAACTGGCTGTCCAATAAAAAAAAAGGATTCTCAGTCTTCCCATAAAAGCAATTTTGCGTGCATAGAACACCTCTATCTATGAATATCCCTAAGGAGGTACAGAAAGACTCTTATTATCCAAACAGAGACATTCCACTGCTGCTAGAGAGCCACAGACGGAAGTTTTCTCTGCCTCCTGGAAATGAAGCCAAACTTTTTTCTTTCTTCAGCCATGAGGATTGCTGTCCTCTTCTTCACCATTTTCTTCTTTATGAGCCAAGTTCTACCAGGTAACAAAATAAACTTGGTAAGAGTAGAGTGCCTAACACCTTACAGGGATTCAATACTCAAAGAGAAATCACCATCACCTATGACCAGAAAAGGGGGTCTCATAGGAAACCTGGAAGACTCATTGGCTGAGAGGCCTGCAGCCATCTAATTCGTTAATTCTCCATAGCAACCCAGTTAAATGAAGTCAATGGTGTTTCAAGTCTTTGAAACCCTCTTATTCCATCTCCAAATTAGGCAAGTTTACTAGCAGTTACTAGACCTCAAAAATTAAAAATCAGGCATTATTCTACTAAATTTTTGTCTCCAAAGCTCCTCTTTCGGCAAAAGTCAGTTATCCTAAGAACTGGCATAAGAGCTATGCCAAAGCTGTGGTAGGCTCAGACAGAAGGGATTGGTGGAAGAAGTCTCTTTGAAAATATTACTATAATCTAAGAAATCTTTAACCTATTGCTCCCCGATACTGTTGGTCCCTGGAGCTTGACTTTTCCCCTTAAGGCTCCATCTCCATCCCTGGCTGTCCCTCTTCCTTCTCAGCATCTAGTCTTGTAATGTAGAATTTAAACACAGGAACCAGGGATGATCCCACACCAGAGCATAGCCTACTGCATTCAGCATGCGAACATTAATCACAGGTATAAGGCCCCTTGCACAGACATGCTTTGGAGAAGTGTGTATAGGACTTCTTGGATTGGCCCAAGGTGGTTACCAGACACCCAAAGTAGATTCAAAAATTTTCTGGAACTCCTGAACATGTGTATTCAAGGACGAATAAGCAACTTATTGCCTCTATTTTTGCTGTTTTATAGAGAAAAAAATTAAGGCCCTGGAAACTGAACTGTTTTTCCCAACAGTGGGGTAAATGTCAGAGTCAACACTTTGTTTTAATATCCTGGCTTTCCCTATACATCCCACCCTAGAGTTCTGTTGTGCTGTTCCTTTGTATTACTTTCTAAAGCCTGAAAAAAGGTGATACCATATCCAATTATATTAACTCGGTAGCACACAACATCGGGGACTGACATAAGATTATTATCCTTGTGGCATTACTGAATTCCTGTCTCACTAGTACTTGTTAAATAGTCACCCTGGCTAAATACATGGGTTTGATTTTTTTTAATCAGTTAAAAATATTTTAAAATATGTGTCTTACATATATAACCCCAGAAAATCAATGCTTTTAATCAAGGTTTAAAAATTCCAAATTTGGATAAACACATTTTGTTTTGTTTTGTTTTCACTGTTACTCAATCAAAATAGAAGCAACTAATTGGATAGAACAGCACAGGCAGAAGCATGACTCACAGTCAAAAATGGGATGCAACAAGCCTGGAGAAGAAAACACAGGATGGTGCTAAAGAATGCACCCTAATGAAAGGTGGCATCTCCTCTGGATGTCCTTAGGTAGACATTGAAGCAGAACTGCCAACTTTTTGTAGAAGGCTAGAGAGGAGAGGAGGACACAGAGAGAGGGCAAGAGTGGAAAATAGAATGAGGCTCAGAATACCAAGCCTTAGTGCTGTCCCTATCATCTGCTTCACTCGATCACTGGGTAATCTTGGGCAAGTTTCTTCCTTTCCATCAGCTTATTTCCTCAACTTTAAGGTAGGTGACTAGACAAGACAGCCTATGTTCATTGTAACTCTATCTTTTGTTCCTAAAGCAAATGGCCGGAAAAGACATAGTGTCCACAATATGCAATACACAAGGTTTACAAGCAAAGAACAAATGAAAACGAAAGATTTTTAAAATCCCTAATGTTACTTGAATTCTTACAAATGAACAATGGTACATCATAATTTTAAAAAGTCTTTTGTAATTTCAATTTTTAAAAATAACTTCAACCTTTATTTTAGATTCAGGGAGTGCATGTGCAGATTTGTTACATGGATATATTGTGTGATATTGAGGTTTGGGGTATGAATAACTCTGTCACACAGGTAGGGTGTACCCAAAGAGTAGCTTTTCAGACTTTACTCCCTCTCCCTCCCCTCCTGGTAAGACCCAATCTCTCTTGTTCCCATTTTTATGTCCATGTGCACTCATTGCTCGGCTCCCCCTTATAACTGAGAATATGTGGTATTTGTCTTCCTGTTCTTGAGCTAATTTGCTTAGAATAAAGTCCTCCAGCTGCATCCATGTTGCTGAAAAGGACACAATTTTGTTCTTTTTATGGATGCATAGTATTCCGTGACATATATGTACTACATTTTCTTTATTCAATCCACTGTTGATGAACACCTAGTTTGATTCCATACCTTTGCTACTGTGAATACCACTGTGATGAACATACAGATTTAGGTCTTTTTACAAGACTGATTTATTTTCCTTTGGATATACACCCAGTAGTGAGATTACTGGGTCAAATGGTAGTTCTGTATTAAGTTTCTCGAAAAGTGGTTTGAAAATATAATGCTCAATAGAATCAGGTATAGTAAAATAGTACACATGATTCAAAGACCTCTGAACCGAGAGTAACAACAAATTTCCGCACAAACATATTGCAAGTTAGAAAATAGCTGTATTTTAATCAATTATTCCACAATCATTTACTGAATAGCTATTATAAGCCAAGACTTTAATCAGATTCTGGAATATACATACAGAGGAGAATAAGATACTATTCCTGCCCTCAAGAAATTCATTATCAAGAATTGAGGTCAGATGGGAAAACACCACCCATAGTAGAATGCAAGAAGTACTACCACAGAGGGATGTTCAAGAGTGATTTATCACATATCACAAGACAGGTCAGTGGTTCATCCTCTACACTATACTAATCTCTTATGACTCTTCCAGCTGCAAAGGGCCAATTTTAGCACAAGGCCAGTGGGCTTGGGTACTACTATACATAGTAGCTGACTACTTACAGATAAAAGGAAGAGATGGAAAGCTCAGGGATCAAAAAACTCAGATTTCAGCTTGTTTCTACCAAGTGGTCAACATTTACAATTACCATTGTCTTCAGAAAAGCATGACCTTTATTTCCCAATTTGCATTACAGATATAAATATGATGTTGCATATATTTGGTCTTCACATCAATCCACTAACTGCTTTGTGACCACTGAAAAGTTAAATGGAATCTAATACATTTGGATTTCAGGTCAATTAAATAGGCATTTATTGAATGTTTATTAAAATTGCTGTACTGATTGAAAGCTATTCTAGAATTGGCTTTTGTGTTCCAGAATAGAAAAAAAAAAAGTGCTGGTTTTTATACCTCTCTTACTGCCAAGAAGTTATCATGGAAAAGGTGCTCTGTGTTACATACAAAGACTGCTCAGAATTAAAACACTTTTCAAACTCAATACCTCAGAGTGTGTGGCCTATGCCCAGAGCGGTGATATCTTAGGACATAAATGAAATACTATTCAATATTTTCAACAAGTATAGTTTTTGAGCCTTTAAGAAGACCTTGAATGTTTCACTCTTAATATATGCAATGGTTTCTAGAGAAAAATTGCAACCTCAAAGACCAGTGCCAGAGATATAAGTAGTGAGTGAAGTCTCAGGGTGTAACAAGTAATGGCACAGATATATTTGTGTATTAAACACATAGGAATATTGTTCCCTTCCACAGGAAAAATATCCTCTCTAACAATTGAAGTATATTATCTTTTAGGTCTATATTTCAGTTCTACTTTTGAAAGATACATCTATTATAATCTATCATATAGAGAGAGTGTGTGTGTGTGTGTAGGAATAAAAACAGCTGATCCAAAAGAGATTTTCTTCTCTTTCACTCCAGGAAAATCCATAGTACAGGACATTATATTTTCTTAAAAGGCTGACATCTCCCATCAGTGTTAGAAGACAATAAGGAAGAAATAAACTGAAACTTGTATGCTCTAGAACTTGTAAAGGGAAGCAGGCTACTCACCTCCAGCCTTTTGTCATGTAGGTGCACCCAATATTCTCAGATTTTTCAAGAACACCAAAAAATCCAAATTTTTGTGTGGCAGCAGATTTTTAAGTGTTTAAGAAATCAAATAACACACACACACACACACACAAATCCACACAAGATTATTTTCAGGCACTGCCCCCTACGTCCATGTAATTCAATACAAAGTAAAGAAAGACTGATGAATGGTTACAATAACCCCTTCTGCATGTAGCCAAGGGCAAATTCAAGGAGATCTGTGAACGTCCAAATGGCTCCTGTCGGGATTTTTGCCTCGAAACAGAAATCCATGTTGGGAGATGTTTAAATAGCCGACCCTGCTGCCTGCCTCTGGGGCATCAACCAAGAATTGAGAGCACTACACCCAAAAAGGACTGAAGCCTGTTGTTTTCTGGAGGTTTTAGGTTCTCTTTTTTCTCTCTCCCTCTCCCTGTCTCCCTGTCTCCCTTTCCCTCTCTCCATTTTTCTCACAGGGATTTTTATTGAATCCTCAAAAAAGAATAAACCAAAACCAACCAGCACAAAACCTCTTTTAAAAGTTTATATTACTGGCTGGGTGCGGTGACTCATGCCTGTAATCCTAGCACTTTGGGAGGCCAAGCTGGGTGGATCGTGAGGTCAGGAGATCAAGACCATTCTGGCCAACATGGTGAAACCCTGTCTCTTTTAAAAATACAAAAATTTAGCCAGGCATGGTGGCGGGCACCTGTAATCCCAGCTACACAGGAGGCTGAAGCAGGAGAATCGTTTGAATCCATGAGGTGGAGGCTTCAGTGAGCCGAGATCCCGACACTGCACTCCAGCCTGGGTGACAGAGTAAGACACTGTCTCAAAAAAAAAAAAAAAAAAGAAAAAAAAGTTTATATTACATGTTATGACTTGATTACTGTTTGGTTTCCAGTATCCTTCTATCCCATCTAGATGAGCTCTTAGTTGAAATTGACATACAGCAGGGTGGGGGAACTTTCAATCATACCCATTGCTTTTGTCTAGCACTGTAACCCTTCACCTTGCATGTGGGAAGACCACTCCCCTTTTTTACTAGGAAAATGCGCCATCCTATTCCATGCAGCCTTGCAGGGGTCTGTCTCTCCCTGATAAAGGTGCAGCACATGGGAAAATTGCACAATCACGTCAACCAGACTTCACCAGAAATCTAAATTATAAAAAGAGTTGCACTCAGATTAAAGGCAATTTCTTCAGCACCCTTTTCGGAGGCAATTCCCTGGGTCTGTACATGTATGCCTGGCCAAGATTCAGGGAATTCCTTTGCTTCCCAGCTTTCACTGGGCATAATCATTCAGCATTTTCTTCCATCTTTTAAAACACTGTATTGGCTTCCTACGGCTCCTATAACAAATTACAACAAACTTAGTGGCTTAAAGCAACACAAATGCATTATCTGACAGTTCTATAGGCTGCAGGTTTCAGATGGATCTCAGTGGGCCAACATCAAGGTGTCAGCAGGGCTGAGCTTTCTTCTGGAAGCTCTGCAGTTTTCTTCCTGCACCTTTATCCCAGCAATGACAGGTTACTCCTGGGCACCATAGCTTCCTTCATACATTTTCAAAGCCAGCAACGGAGCGTTGAGTCCTCACATTCCATCATTCTGAATTCATCTTCTCCCCACTCTTCCATTTTTTAGGACTCATGATTACATTGGGCCCACCTGGATAATCTAAGATAATCTCCCTATTTTAAGTTCAGCTGATTAACAGCCTTAATTTCACAGGAAACCTCAATTCCCCTTTGCTTACAAGGTGGCACATTCACAGGACCCAGGAGTTAGGATGTGGATAGCTTTGGCGGGAGACAGAGGGGACATTATTCTGCCTACAACAGCCACTGAGTGCTTTTACCACCTGTCACAATTTTCCTCCATTTAGACACAACTTTAGTGGCTTTGTGTGAAGAGATTCTCATTCATAGAGTTTTCTTTTTTGTGTAAAGTAGTGGGGGGCCTCCCCTTGGTCATTGAAAGAGTATAGAATCAAGATATTTAAAAGTATGTTAGCTGGATTTTATTTTTCACTATGCCTGATTTGGCCAAGAAACAATGTTAAGTTATGTCACATGGACTACTCGAAATCTCAAAAAGTTCAAAACATTGGGTTCAAAATCTCAGAGACTGAGATATATTCCAACCAACTCAACCCTATGGAAGTGCCAAGTTTTCCTCAGTGCATTTTTGAAACTGCATCACCAACTGACCCTTTAATATATTTTTGCACTATATAACATTTACTTCTTAGAGTAAGTGCTTCCCTAGAAAAGAAGCAGTTTGGACACATATATTAAAGCCATCACATAGAATATTATCCTCTCATTGCTAGGAGGTGGCCTTCAAGATGGCTGACTAGAGGTACCAGGCACTGTGTCCTCCCAAAGAAAGACCAAGACAGCAAGTAGATAATCATACCTTGAAGAGGGCACGAAAGAGGGCACTAGAATTCAGCAGCAAATTGACGAGGAATCTCTGAGGCATGGAAGGAAAGGAAAATGAAGCAGCAGCCCAGCCAGAATCAGCTTAAAGCCAGGACAGGCTCTCCAGTGTGGTGAAAAGGTAAAAAAGAGAGCCCCAGTGGTCCATATTCCCACTGTGGACACTGCAATCCTAGCCAAGGGACAGTCTCTCAGCCCTTGCAGGCCCTGAGACTACTATAGGGAGCTGCCTGGAGTCTATGTGATGGTCATTGTCCCAGAGAAGGAGTTGGCACTGGATCGTCTGCACCTGCCCCCAGACACAGGCAGCTGTGGCACAATGCCAATTTGAGAGCCCAGCCCCCAAAAGACTACATCCTGCCCTGGGGCCCAACAGCCCCTGAATCTCCACATCTCTGGACCCTCAGTGACATTCCCTCATGTCCATCCAGAGGCCTGCAGAGTCACAATACCAGCTGAACTCACCAGTGTAGCTTGGTCCCCATCACTCTAGCCTACACAGTGTCCTACACTCCAGGGAACTGGCAGTGCCATTCACTAGGGAGGCTGCCCCCAGAACAAAGGGAGCTGAAGCAGGCACTCTTCTCAAGTGGAGAGTCACCTTCCCAGGACCACTGACACTGACAGCAATCCTGACCCCCAGGAGCAGGGCCACTGCACACCTGCAGGCATCCTCAGGGGACCTGGGGACTCACCTGCCTGGGCACTATTCCAGGGCCAGAGCACAGGCCCATCCCACCCATTGCTGTCACTACCACTACCCAAGGTCGTTGTCCAGGACGCTGGGGATCAACCCACACTGCTGTCTGTCATTGGCACCTGTGCATGCCTTCTTGTGACCTGAGTATGAGCCCACCCAGCCTGGTGGTGCCTGTGCACATTGTCTGGGAGCTGGGGGATTAATCCACCATGCCTATCACCATCAAGTACCTGTGTGTCTCCTGAGAGCCTAAGGATAGGACTTCCCATCCTGCCATCACGGCTGTCACCAGTGCCCACATATTTGCACCAGGTGAAAGCCTGAGGACTACTCTGTCCATCATGTTGCCATGACTGTTGGTGTCTGCACATGCCATCTGGGGTCACGAGAGTTGACCTGCTATGACTACTGCAATTGCTGATGCTACACATGCCTCCCAGGGTCTTGAGGGCATGCCTATCTACCGAGCTCACCACTGTCACTGCTGGCACTTGAGAAAGCCACCTGACTCACACCTGTAATCCTAGCACTTTGGAAGGCTGAGGGGAGCAGATCACCCGAGGTCGGGAGTTCAAGACCAGCCTGACCAACATGGAGAAACTCCATCTCTACTAAAGACAAAATTAGCTGGGCATGGAGGCGCATGCCTGTAATCCCAGCTACTCTGGAGGCTGAGGCAGGAGAATTGCTTGAGCCCAGGAGGCAGAGCTGCAGTGAGTTGAAATTGTGCCACTGCACTGCAGCCTGGCCTACAGAGCTAGACTCTGTCTCAAAACAACAACAACAAAAAAAAAAAAACAAAAAAAATAACACAACACATCTTTGCCGTGATGTCTGGTAAACAGAAAGTGGTCAGCATTATTTGTTATTAGTATTAGTGTTGTCGTTGCCATTGCTTTGATTCACATGGAAATGGTTTGTAAGCTGTGATGCCTACTATTAATGTTATCTATCACAATTGTTAGTTATGTCTGGTATCTATTGCAACAACTAGATGAATGTAATCTTGGGAAAAAATTTTAAATTTCTTTAAGCTTCTCTCTCCTGATTTGTAAAACGAAATTTGTTGTACATGCTGTGTTTTTCTCAGCTATGCAGCTGTTCAGTTATTCCATATTTCAGTGCTTCCTTGGCTGATCAATCAATTTGGCCTACGTCAGCTCCAAGGGCATCCACTTCATCATCCTCCAGGTGGACTTGTAGCTTACCTGAGGCTGTTTGTATCAGACATCCAAGAAGGAGAAAGAGAAGGAACAGCAGTGTCATGATGGGAAATGAGTGGTCAGGATTATACGATGACCTTACAGCCTGAAGGTAGCTCTTTCTTCAGTGTACATCAATTGAGGAGGACAAGTGATCTGGGAATGAGTTTGAATTCAGCTGGGAAACTAACACAGGAATAGAAAACCAAATATTGCACATTCTCACTTATAAATAAGAGGTAAGCATTGAGCAGACATGGACATAAACATGGGAATTATAGACACTGTGAACTACTAGAGGGTGGAGGGAGGAGTTGGGTTAAAAAACTACCTATCTGGTACTATGTTCAGTACCAGGGTAATGAGATCCATACTCCAAACCACCACATAATACCATATTCCCATGTAACAAATCTGCGCATGTACCTACTGTATCTAAAATAAGTTGAAATTTTAAAAAAATGAACATACATAGAGTAAATGGATATTTTTTGAAATAATTTTGGGTAACTAATACTTAAATCCAGAAGCAGCAGTTTATTGCACTTTTGTTTCATTTTAGCCAATTTCTACATGTATGTGGCTAAGCACACAAGGGCGTGATACAAAAGTGGCAAAACAGATCTGCTGAGCTACCTGCAAATGCCTTTCAGAAATAAAATAAAGCATCCTTTAGTGGTGATGCTTCTTCTCAAGAGCAAATGACTCCACTCAAAGTAAATCACTGCAAAATTTAAAAAGAAGAAGAACAACAACAACGACAACAATTCAGCTAGAGAGAAAAAGCTTGCATTCCTGATTCAAATGTTCAAATTATGGCATGGGTGTAACCTGAGAATGTTCCATCTATGGACTCATGATTACAGATCCAAGTCTCCTCCTATTCAAATAGAAAGTCTTCACAATAATTTTGCATTTTCTGGTGGATTTTCATTTCTGCTTATGGCTCTGAGGTTTGGTGCCTTTTTTTCCCCAGAATAAATTATTATAAAATAGTGATATTGAGGATTCATCCACTTATTCATTTATCCTCATTCATTTCATGTCTCTGCATCTATCAACTTTCCTTTTGGAAATATAAAGAAAACCACCCTTTAAACATTTTTTATTTCTTCCATTCTATAAAAAAGTTTATTTTTAATGCCAGACCATGTAAGGGCAGCTATTTTAAAATTGCATTTTGATTAAAATTGCATTTTGAATTCATGCAAGATTACTTTCTGTCAACTGCCTCTTTCCACACATCTATGGATTAAATTAACCAATATTTAATACGACTGACATTACCTTATTTCAAGATATGAAAGTGCTACATGAATCATTAAGGAGAGGTTAAATTCTCTCTCTTCTTTTCAAATTTCAGTAGTTTTTGGGGTACACATAGTTTTTTGTTACATGGATGAATTATATAGCGGTGAATTCTGAGATTTTAGTACACCTGTCACCTGAGTAGAGTACATTGTACCTAATAGGTAGTTTTGTATTCCTAGCCCTGCGGCCTTCTGAGTCTCTAAAATCCATCATATCACTCTGTATGCCTTTTTGTACTCATACCCTAGCTCTCACTTATAAATGAGAGCACTTGGTTTTTTGGAAAACCACCCATTTTAGAAGCTAAAAAAGGAGAAGAAATTCTGTAAATGGAAATTACATTTTTTCCTTGGTTGAGTTCAATGTTTGATTTTTTTTTTTTTTTTTTGCTACCTGGTTAAAAGCGATAATTCTAGGCAGGCTCTTACCATGTCAAACTTCTGCATAGATTACAACTAGGTGACACATTAGGGGCCAAAGAGTTTCTTAATCATGTAGTGCAACGCATTTTTATGGTAAAGGAATTAAACAGCAGAAAGTATACACGGTAAAACACTGAAATTCCTCCTTCTCTCTTTCCCCTCCACATCTGTGTTGCTTTATATTGTTTCTACATCTCTCTCCTTCTCTACACTGTGAGCTTCTAAAGTAACAAGCACTGTCTGGTTACCTTACTTCCTCAGCCCCTGAGAAGTACCTAGCAGAGACGAGGTACTCACGTATTTGTTTAAACAAATGACACTTGAATGAAAGAATCAATACATGAATGAATAAATTGACGGAGGGAGGAAGGAGGTAAGGAAGTGCTGTGGCCCGAATGTTTGAATATTTCTGTCTCCCCATTCATCTGTTGAAATGCCAACCCCCAAGGTGGTGACGATATTACAAGGTGCGGGCTTTGAGGAGGTGATTAAGTCGTGGAGCTGAAGCCCTTGTGATGGGATTGCTGCCCTTATAAAAGAGGCCTGAAGGAGCTCGTTTGTACCTTTCACCACATAACAACACAGAGAAGGGAACGAGCTCTCTCCAGACACCTATGCCGGTGTCTTGATCTTGGACTTCCAACCTCGAGAACTGTGAGAAGTAAACTTCTGCTCTTTATAAGCCACCCGGTTTATATTACTTTTTAATAGCATCCCAAATGGACTAAGGCAGGAAGGAAGGAAGAAAAGAAGGAAGGAAGGCAGGGAGGAAACTCAGGGATGCATACCTTTCGACCTCTCTAACAGTGGTCACCCTACATTAATAATCAGTATGTGTTGAGAAGCCAAAAGGTAGATTGTTGATGAGATGTAGACATCAGAGAAATCAGCCAAGCTCTGATGTAAGCTGTGGTCTTTGCAAAAATAGAGACAATTTTTTTTTGTACCTAAGAATAAAAGAGCTCTAAAGTCAGATAACCCTGGTTTCAAAACTTTTGCTCTGCCATTCATCAACTGAGTGATCTTGTGCAAATAATTCAACCTTTCAAAGCTCCAGTGTCTCCTGTTTATTTGGTGATGGCTATAGTGTCAACCTCCTACTGTTTGTCTCGGGAAAAAAAAAAAATCTTAGGAAGAGTCAATTGCTACCCAATACCTATCCACGCAGAGTTGTGTTTTAACTAGGATCACCACAAGAGTTTCAACCCCATCAAAAAGTGGGCAAAGGATGTGAACAGACATTTCTCAAAAAAAGACATTTATGCAGCCAACAAACATGAAAAAAAGCTCATCATCATTGGTCATTAGAGAAATGCAAATGAACCTAACCTGTAAGAGGAACTTTTAAGTCAACTTCTGGATACCTGAAATCACACAAGATACTACTTTCCTCCATAAGGCCTGGAATGTCTCAAAAAAATCCCTAAAATTTAAAACTTAATAAGGACAACTTTGCCTTTTAGGGCCCATGGAATTAGAGGCTGGTAGGGAAACTTTGGCCATTTTGGGTGTGGGAGAAAGATGGTCGTAGATAAGGCCTAAAATTGTAGGAACACACTGAATTTCACTTATTAAATGTTAGCATAACTTAAGTTTACATAATTTAATAAAATAATATAGAAACTCCTCTGTCACTCCAGTAAGAATGAACATTCTTGAACACCTATCACATACCACGAGTCTTGAAAGTGGTATCTTAGTTGACATAACTTTTATATGAGATAGATATTTTCTCTGAGCAAGTCAATGCAGGTTATACAACTAGTGATTGAGCTGGGATTTGAACTATCCACAATCAAAACTTTTGCTTATTTTACAGTCTTTCTTGCTAAAAAAGAAAGATAATATTTTTTGAATAAAGGAACACATCTCTAGTGAGATAAACTAGTTCTGTGTGTTTGACAGCAAAAGAGCTTGAGGTTTAGAGAATGAACAGGGTCGTGCATAAAAGGTTGTCTGAATTGCACTTCCCTAACAAAGGGGGAAAGTCTGCATCAGGTGGGTCATGGTGGGCCAAGTGGGTAAAGGTCAGTGTTCCTTAATCACTTCCCAAATGTTCCGCTTCTTAATACTATTGCATTGGGGATTAGATTTCAGCATGAATTTTGGGGGAGAGACACAAACACTCATACCACAGCAAATAATGATGGTGATAATACTACTGATAATAATAATAATAATAATACCACTAGAAAGTAAAGTGGAGGCTGAAATCTGTTGTCTACATTCCTGTCTCCTACACTTACACCCTGAAAGCAAGCCTCTTTATTGCCTCCCACCCCTTCTTTAGCCCCAGTTGGCCCTACTGGAAACCCACCTTGCAGTTGGTTCCTCCACCCTCCACAGGCTGTGTGCTGTATGTCCCTTGGGACAAGGACACCTGAAAGCAGCTCCAGTGACCACATAATTAGGGGTCATATCAATGGGCAGAGGCAGAGCTTAGTGAGGTCATGCAGAAGGCATTGTGACCCTATTGACAGAAGTCAGGTTTGAGTGGCAGTGAGGGAAAGAAGGGTGGTAGGATGTGGGGACTGTGTAGCACCCCTTTCATAGGGTTTCCCTGAAAAGCTGGGCAAATGCAAAAGACGAGAGCTCTTGTGTGTCCAATAAGTGTTTTTCTTTTAGTTGGTATAGATGCAGTAGAGGGGAATAAGAGATAGATTAGGTGAGAGAAAGAATTGCTGGAGTCCTGATGCGATTTGGCTCTGTGTCTCCACCCAAATCTCATCTCTAATTGTAATCCCCACATGTCAAGGGAGGGATCTGGTGGGAGGTGATTAGATCGAGGAGGCAGTTTCTCCCATGCTGTTCTTGTAATAGTGAGTGAGTTCTCATGAAATCTGATGGTTTAAAAATGGTGCTTCCCTCTTCTCTCTCTCTCCTGCTGCCATGTAAGATGTGCCTACTTCCTCTTTGCCTTCTGCCATGATTGTAAGTTTCCTCAGGCCTCCCCAACCCTGCAGAACTGTGAGTCAATTAAACCTATCTTTTTTTTTTTAATAAATTACTCAGTTCTTTATAGAGGTGTGAAATGGGCTAATACGAGTCCTGTCTATGAGTAAGCAAGGAAATGCGATCTACGACCCTTTCTCTCTTCTTCCCTCTTTACCCTTCCCACCTTTGTTCCCTCCTTTCCTCTCTCCTTCCTTCCCTCCCTTTTCTTTATTCCTCCCTCCCTGCTTTCCTCCCTCTCCTTTCCCCCTCCCTTTCCTTCTTCCTTTTTCCATCCCTTCTGTCTTTTCTTACCATTCTTTCTCTCTCTCTCTCTTTCAGTGCCCTGTCTTTTTTTTTTTTTAACTTCTCTTTCAATACATGCCGGGACAAAATAAAGGAATAGCGAAGCTAAAGTCATCTGAAAGCCAAAGTTGTGATGGAGAACAGTGAAGAGACCACATGGGGCACTTATGGCAAGGGTTCACCGTATAAAGTGCCCCAGGCATATATTATGAGCTTCTCTAGGTGCCCCAAAACTCTTCCATTTAATTATAAAAGGATATACTCGTAAAGAGATAGCCAGAATTTCTATCCTTGAAATAAAATTAATCATTTTACTTCCATTTAAAATGGCACTTATCCCTTAAATATAGGCACCCCAGTCTTGCCAAGAAAAAGCGATGGGATCATCACAGGTAATTTCAGTCTGTTAGGTTGGGCCATGAAAACGTAAAACTCTGAAACCTCCTCTAAAGCTATATGTACCTTCAATGTTAAAGGGAAGGTGCTTAGTTTTCACAAACTGTTCAAATAGTCTATCTGGTCTAGAGAAAGAATTAGTAATAAACTACAATCTAACCTCAATTTATGTCAACCCTCTTGTTTCTCAGCTCCCTCTTATCTGGAGCAGGCAACAAGGACAAAAATGGCAAAGTGAAGAGCAGGTAACTGACATTCATAGCTGGTGGCTGACCAGCCAAGTGACAAGCCAAGATTGCTACCTTCTTAAGAGTCTGACACTTTCTACACAAATGCAGATTCTAAGAACGTACATTTTTGACCTCAGGTTTTTATGGATTATGATCTTTCACTTCTGGAACTCAGATGAGGATTGAAGGCATTAAAGGCAGCCTGATGTTTTGCAAGGCAGCAATTTGCTGTTTTTTGGGTTTTTTTGTTTGTTTGTTTGTTTGTTTTTTAAGAATAGCACTTTGGAGGTGTGTGATTGATTAATAAAGAATTAGATCTTGAACCATAAGAATAAATCTCTGACAGTACATATTTACTCTTTGCAAATTCTATGGAGGAAGTGCTTTTGGTGTAGGAATATCCTGGAGATATGAAATCAGGGAATGGAGACATATGTCTTCCACCCTCACCTAAGACTGAATCTGTTCACAATAAATTCCAAGCTACAGATCTGAAATAAATGGGCTATTCATGTAATACTGAGCTCAGAGTGCCTTCTGAGGGAGGAAGAGTTATCATGTGAGCCTTGCTCATTTCTAGGAAAAAAACATAGAAAGTTCAGTAACTTGTTGTGAGTTTTTCATCATTTTTTCTCCATTAAACAAATGTAGGCTTAGGTCTTTTGTGTTACTAATTTTATGCTCAATTCATGATTTGAAACTAGGATATAGTCGACCCTCTGTGTTGATCTGAAAATACTCAGGAAAAAAAAAATGTGTCTGGTCTGAACATATACAGGCTTTTTTTGGTCATTATTCCCTAAACAATATAAGTTAACACCCATTTACTTAGCATTTACATCGATTTAGGATTTACAGGTAATCTAGAGATGATGTAAAGTACATAGGAGGAAATGCAAAGGTTATATGACAATACCCATGCCATTTTACATCAAGGACTTCAGCATCTGAGGAATTTTATATCCACAGAGGACCTGAAACCAATCCCCCCCGGATACCAAGGAGCAACTATATTTGTTAATTACTGCTGAAGTAGTAAATTGTCATTAACCTTAGTGACTTTAAACAATGCTAATTAATTATCTTACAGTTCGGGGGAATAAAATATCCAAAATCAAGGTGTCAGCAAGACTGTGTTCCTTCCTAGAGTCTCTAAGTGAGAATCTTTGTTTGCTTTTTTGTTTTGTTTTGCATTTTCAAGCTTTAGAAGCTGCCCAACTTCCTTGGCCTGTAGCTTCTTCATCTCAAAGCCAGCAATGCCTGTCAAGTCATTCTAACATCACATCACGAAGACACTGACTGTTCTGTCTCTTTCCAAATTTAATGATCCTTTTGATTACATTGGTCTCGTTCACCTAATCTAAGATAACCTCCCTATTTGAAAGTCAGCTGATTAGCAACTTTAATTCTGTCTGCTGACATTAATTCTTATCTGCTATGTAAAGAAGCATAATCATAGGTTCTAGGAATTGGGACATGGACATCTTTGGGAGGCCATTATTATGCCTACTACACCTAGTAAAATAAAACTCAGTGTAGCAAATAAATACTTTGGCCACAAAAATTGTCTTTAAGGAGAAAAATGTCTGTGAATAACTTTTTAGTATATGGACATTGCAAATATCATGGGATATATAATGTAAACTCTACCTAAACTTCCAGGCACCAGGAGAGCAACAAATTCATTCAAACTAATAATGTCACATATTATAAAAATTAAATGGTTAAATAAATAAGACTATCGGACAGGCCTGGGACCAAGGTGAGGTGGGTAAGTTTGAGTTGCACAATAGCAGGATTAGATTCTGTCCTTATTTAAAACTTGAATATTTTGTAGATCATGTGTTACTTTTGAATCAATTTTTTTTTTTTTACAAAAAAAAAAAAACACATACATTATAAGATCACTTATCTTGAGTGCAGAATTTTTTGATCCCCAAATTCTGCACCTGCATCCAGTGCGTCCCTCACCTCTTGGCCTGGTTAAAGGATCTACAAAAAATCTCTAGGTCTGATTTTTTTTTTTCCAATCTTGATACTCTAGGAAATCCAATGGATTATTTTAGACAAAAATGCCTTTAGCTAGAGGTTGATGGTATGCACATTAAGAGAAAAGTTAATATCAAGAAGCAGAGAGCTTCATAGACATGTAGGGTATACCTGCAGAGTTCACGATTTAACTATCAAACGAGTTAAACTGCCCAATGAGAGAGGGCAGGGCTAGGCAGGCATCTTGATGCTTCCCCTCAGAGTCTATACTGTCTTTCTTCTTGAGGTTTGCTCTCCTCTCATTGTGTTCTGTGCTATATTGCCCTCATTTAACTGTACCTTCAAAAAGGACCTGTTTTTAAGAGCTTTTACATGAATCAAAATTATGTCTAGATGTGAGGAAATGCTTTGTGCAACTCAACTTTGCCATTAAATGTATAATAATTTATGAAGTAACAACTCTTCCTCAATGACCACTACATACATGAATAAGAGAAAGTCCATACCTGTAGAGAGCTCATAGACTATTGGAGAAGTAAAAAATTATCCACATGAGCAGGAAGCACAATTGCATAAGCAGGCCAAACCAGAAGGAGGGAGTGCTTGTGAAGAACAAGAGGATAGGACGTTCCCTCCTTAGTGGATCACCCTGATTCCAGGAGGAAAGAGGCCTTTGAGTTGGGACATTAATGAGGCACAGTCTTCCAGGAAGATGTGGGGTAGGTGAGGGCACGCAAAGAGAGGAAGTAGGAGGAGCAAAGCACAGTTATAGGAAAACAATGGGAATAATTGGGGAAGGTCAAGGGACCTAAAGGGAACAGATGTCACTAAGCCTCCCCCAAATCACAGCAGTGCCAGTCTCCTTGTCAGAAACTTATGACTCATAATTATTCACTCACATCTCATGATGATGGAAAAGCTCAGGTTTGGAAAAGAAACTCACCGTGGATTTATTCAAGATGATACTGACACAGACTTTGTGTCTTTCTGACATGGGGTTTTGAATTCTAATATCCCGTTGCTCCTGTTGGTTTTGGGTTACTGGAGGAGCAACCCAAAAAACTCCTCCTGTGCCATCCCTGACCCCTGGTCTGGAGAGCTGGGAAGGACATTCCAAAGATGTCAGAGATTCGCTAGTCCGAAACCAACGTTACACAATCACAATTACAATTACTAGGATAAAGATTCCATGTCTTCGAACACCGTAGCTTAATTTGGTTTAAATGTGGCACGTCTCTGCTGAGTGAGCCCTTTCTGAATCCACATTAGTCACAGAAACTTCTTGGACTCCTCGTTACTTTTTGCAGCATTTTATTCTGTCATGGCCATAGGTGCCAATCTGTTTCAAGCTTGTAGAGCAAACATTCAGAACACACACACACCTTTATTCCTGTGTCAGCTAGCAGGATTTCTTATATCTTTAGAAAAACCTAAAGAAAGGAAAAGAAAAAAAAGAAAAAAAACCCAGAAGCAATAAACAATAAGCAAATCAAAGGACAATAGGAGTGATAGGGTGTTAGAATTCAAAACCCCATGTCAGAAAAGCACAAAGCCTGTGTCGGTGTTGACTTGAATAAATCTCTGGTGAGTTTCTTTTCCAAGCCTGGGATTTTGATCATGATCATGAGACATGAGTGAATGATGACGTGAACCTAAGTTTCTTAAAAGGAGGCTGGCCCTGACGTGGTTTGGGAATGTTTAGTTCCTGGAACCAGAATGTGAAAGACCGATCTCTGCTAAGTGACTGGGGCCTCCAGATGGGCTCAGGTAGCAGCTCAACAAGGATTTCTTGAGAATTCAGCTCCACCACACAAAAATAACCTCAAAGCTACCCTACCTCCATTTACACACACAGGCCAGTAACCTCTGCTTTCCAAATCATGAAGTCCGTTAAGTTTTTAAAATGAGATGCAAGAAAAAGATGTGGCTCAAATGGCAGAAATTGTTTAATGTGAATTTAATATGAAAGTAACTTAGGGCCGGGCCCAGTGGCTCACGCCTCTAATCCCAGTACTTTGGGAGGCCTAGGTGGGTGGATCACCTGAGGTCAGCAGTTTGAGACCAGCCTGGCCAACCTGGTGAAACCCTGTCTCTACTAAAAATACAAAAATTAACTGGGCATGGTGGTGGGTACCTGTAATCCCAGCTACTCAGGAGGCTGAGGCAGGAGAATCACTTGAACCCGGGAGGCGGAGGTTGCAGTGAGCCGAGATCATGCCATTGCACTCCAGCCTGGGTGACAGAGCAAGCCTCTGTCTCAGAAAAAAAAAGAAAAAAAAAAAAAAAAGAAGGAGGGGCAAGGAGGGGCAGGGGGAGGGGAGCTGGGAATGAAAAAAGACAAATAAAAGAAAGTAGATTACAATTAAAAACAATAATTAACAGTAGAAGTAAACCTTTGTAATGAATTGTTTCTAATCTCTAAATTCTGTTCTCAATCTCACTCTTCCATTTGTCCTCCCTCCTTCCTTTCCTCCTTTCCTCCCTTTTGTCTCTTCCTTCATACTCTCCTAAGTGGTGGAATATCGCCCAGTGTCTGTGCCTCCAGGAGCCCTGCTGCTCCTCTGTAACCCAAAACCCATAAACAATATGGATAAAATGAGGCTTTTTCTATGTAATTTCTATCAGATTAGATATCTCAGGTCTTAGTCTCAAATTATCTTTCTCTCTCCCTTCCTCCCTTCCACTCTCCTTTTCTTCCTTCACCCTTTTATTTTATTCTTATAATATCAAGGAGAAAATAAAATTAGGCATTCCATTTTAAAAGTGGCTTTCAATAAGCATTTTTGTTCTGTGAACCTAGAGCAGCCACAGAGGGCAAGTGTTCTCCAGGGCCTTCCATCTGAAAAGACGAAGGGCCAGTGTCCCAAACACAACTTCCCAAAGTACAGGCTGCGCCTTATCACTACCTGAAATTCTCTAGGTCACTCAAATCTACACTTTAAATATAAAAATTTAGAAAATGACATTCTGTACTTACTTCTTTGGATAAAATCAAAATTTCTCACTTTTATTGAAAAATAAAAGTCGCCTGACAGTTTTCAACCATAGTCTTAGCAGTCATAGAGTGAAGATCAGGGAGGAGATGAGATTTACAGGCTACTGGGCCCCTCTGGCTTAGAAGAGGGAGTGAGGCAGCCATGAAGCTCTTAAACTCCTTTCATATTGAAGGAAATGGAGTTTGGTTCAACAAAGTAAGGCATGCAATCTACTCAGTCTAGAAGTGATAGTAGAAGAAAGAGAGAAAGGGACAAAAGGAGTCAAGCTGTAGGGGAGACAGGGAGAGAGGGAGTGTCCTGACACTGAGAGAAATACAAGAGGCAGAGAAAGGAGACAAAGGAGAGATATAGACATGAGAGACAGAGAAAAAGAGAGAGAGTGTCTACGGCCATAGCACCTTGAACATGTTTGATCTCCTCTCATCTTGTAAGCTAAGCAGGAGTGGGCCTAACTAGTACTTGGATGAGAGAGAAAGAGGTGAGAGAGAGGCAAGAGAGAGCCTCTACCCCATTTTTCCACTTTTCCAAGCCTCTTATTTCCCTGACTCATCTCATGTGGAAGAGGCATCAGGAATACGAAGCGGAATGAGAAGAGAAGATAAGGACCCTTATGGGTGATGGCTGGGAGCTTCACCATGAGCTGAGGCTGGGGAGGACACCGAGCCTTCCATCTAAACAGGTCTTGGCCCCTGGTCACTGGGCAGAATTTGGAACAGGTATTGCCTACCACATCAGTAATTACAGTGATTGAAACTGACCACCTTACTGGGGGCATCAGACAAATGGCCCTCTGAGAGAAAAGTATACCCAGGAGCTCTTATGCAAATTTGGACACAAGAAACCCCAGAACATCCCCTCGTTCTGCTCATATGACCAGGGCTTCTTTCTGTCTTGTACCATTTGGGACCTGGGATGTGAATGGAGTGAGGGGCAAGGTCTTTCTTACAGGGGAACAGACTCAGGGTCTGTGAACTGGAGATCACCTGCCCGCTCTGTGGGATGTCCTGTTTTTCCTGAATGTCTAGGGACAGTCTCAGGCCAAACTGGGAGCCGGTTCCATCTAGTTCTATCCATTGCTGGGACATTCAGCTCCTGGGGATGATACAGGGCTGGCTCAAACCCAGGGACCTGGGAGGGGCTCACGGCTTCTGGCAGCTCCAGGAGCATGGTGGGCCCCGTCCTCACAGATCTGAGCTGGTGAAATTCATGTGAAAGGTGCCCTGAAATTCTCCGTCATCACCATGGGACAGAGATGACGCAGATGGGTGCCCACTTCCTTCCTCTGAGAAGGAGAATGGGAGGGTGGGATTGTGACTACATGTGTCCCCTCAGAGTCCACCCAGGCCCAGGCCAGGAGGTGGCCTACCACTAACACTTGAGTTCCCTCCGTTCACACCGTCACTCAGGGAATGTCAGCTCCACAGGACTTCAGGGCTTTGGGAGCCAGGGCTTTCCCTGCTTTCCACAGACGTCAGTGCTAAGTGAGCTCAATACCGTTGGGATTTGGTAGAGAAGCACGGAGTGGGGGTGCAAGGCCTCCACGTGGTGTCTTTCACGTGCATCCGTGTGAAGAGACCACCAAACAGGCTTTATGTGAGCAATAAAGCTTTTTAATCACCTGGGTGCAGGTGGGCTGAGTCAGCGTAGGGAGATAAGGGTGGGGCCGTTTTACAGGATTTGAGTAGGTAATGGAAAATTACAGTCAAAGGGGGTTGTTCTCTGGCTGGCAGGGGTGGAGGTCACAAGTTGCTCAGTGAGGGAGCTTTTGAGCCAGGATGAGCCAGGCCAAGGAATTTCACAAGGTAATGTCATCAGTTAAGGCATGAACAGTCCATTTTCACTTCTTTTGTGATTCTTCAGTTACTTCAGGCCATCTGGATGTATACGTGCAGGTCACAGGGGATATGATGGCTTAGCTTGGGCTCAGAGGTCTGACAGTCTCCCTATTGGTGATGGGACCCACTTCTGCAGAAGCCCTGTGTTTTCAGAGCTGTGCAAGGTCTCTGGGGACTCTCAGGACCCTGTCCTTCCTCCATAACCCAGAGTAGCAATCGGTGGCCACAGGCAATGGACAGAGCCCCTGGTGTCAGATGCTCAGGGGTGGGGCTTTTCAAGGGAAAATAAGTGGCATTCATCCTGGTTCCTCCCTCTTTGGATCCAAGGGAAGTTTGAGAGACAAGCAGGCCCCAGTGTCAGGTGTAGTGATGACACCAAGGTGTAGCGGTGACAGCCATGGGGACAATGAGCCTTGAGCCATGGTCTACATTTTAAATGTCACACTTTAAGAATTCACAGTTTGAGGCAGGCCAGGGGTGTTTTTAAAGAAAGCTGCAATGGATTCTATGAACAAGATCTTTAATGTCTTTCTTATCATGAAAGGAAGTTTCCGATGGGGTAGGCAAAGAGAGGGCTGGGTTGGGTGCCCTCAGAACTGCTAAAGGAATCTGAATCCAGGGCTGCAGCTGACTCAGCAGGGAGTCACTCCCTTTGTCAGAACTTTGTTTTCCTCTGTGCTGAGCAGGCTGGAATTGAGGGGCAGACTCATTCATTTCCTGACACTAAAACTATTCCTGGCCAAGGAAGCCAAATAGAAAAACTGAATGAAAAAAAAAAAAAGCACATATGTGCTCGTCTAAATTAATAAACAATTTAAAAAATATACTTTCTATGTCGCTGTCACCTTTTGAAAGTAGCAGGAAAATGTCATGACACTTCACCCTAATTATCTCAGCATGGATCTCTTATAAATAAGAAAAAAATTCCCGCATCAATCACACTACCATTTATGCACATTAACAAGAAAATTTCCCTGGCCTGAACACTGGGACAGCAGCTGTAGGTGCTCAGGAAGCAAAGTGTCAGTAAATTATTGCAAAACAGAAGTCAGTGCATAGACATTGAAATTGTTCCAAGAATAGCTTCGTGGCTGTTGAGTTTTCTGGGTACATGTTCAATCCAGATTCACACATCGAATTAGGTTGTCACGCCTCTTTCCTTGTTGAGTAAACATTCTTAAGGAAATGCCATGGTATGTGGCAAGGGGCCTTACTGGAGTTATTACATAACTCTTATATGTAAATAAGAGTTTGAGTTAAGAGAGTGGTTCCCATCTTTTTCATGTGTGGCATCACTCCTGATTGATACGTCCTTAATGACTGCTGTACTTAACATGATTATTATAAAAGTAATACACTTGCATTTAAAAACTCACCCATAGGCCGGGCGCGGTGGCTCACGCCTGTAATCCCAGCACTTTGGGAGGCCGAGGCGGGCGGATCACGAGGTCAGGAGATCGAGACCATCCCGGCTAAAACGGTGAAACCCCGTCTCTACTAAAAATACAAAAAAATTAGCCGGGCGTAGTGGCGGGCGCCTGTAGTCCCAGCTACTTGGGAGGCTGAGGCAGGAGAATGGCGTGAACCCGGGAGGCGGAGCTTGCAGTGAGCCGAGATTGCGCCACTGCACTCCAGCCTGGGTGACAGAGCGAGACTCCGTCTCAAAAAAAAAAAAAAAAAAAAAACTCACCCATAGAAGAGTGTGAATTTCTCCTATAATCCCGTTGCAATCCCAGGAACCACTGACAGCACTGTGGTTTTACACTTGTTGTCCTCTCTAGCTCTCAGTACATTTGTGAGGCCTTGTTAGAGAAGGAGGTGAAATTGCTCTGAAATAGGAAAGTCACTGTGAAATGCAGCACCTGTGTCCCTGGGGAAGAAGCCACCAAGGCTTAGGGAACATGGGCCTGGTTGCTCAAGGACAGCTGGGCTGACTGTTCCCATGAAGATTCCTATGGTTGCAGCTATTCTTTTTTCCTGGCACAGCCCGATGTGACTCCTTCAGAGCAGTGTTCATCCTGGTGATACAGTGTGTTTGATAAAGATCAAGGGAGGAGCACTTTTGTCTTAAAGGTAGGGTTATTATCTTGCTTCAGCAAGGAAGACTATCCACCAGCACAGATATGGGTTTTTTCCCAAACCAGACGCTGTTTTCTGTGGCAAAGTGGCTCAGTTCCCCAGGCAAGAGTGGGCATTCCTTTAGATAGGCTCCCAGAAAGCAAAGTCTCTCATATCTATAATTTTAGAAAGCAAAGTTTCTCTGCACTCTGTCCTCAATGATAAATAACAGAAGCAGTTTTACTGGCTCTCAATTCTGGAGCCAGGACCAGCTTCATGGGCTTGAGGGCTGGGCAGTGACACAGGGACCTGCCCTTAGAAGGGCCAGTGCCTGGTAGCAGGCTCTGCCGACACCCTCTTGACCTTAGTTTTTTTTCTTTGAACTTCATTTTGTAAGTGAAGCCCACTGAGACAATGGAGCAGGCACATGAGCAGAGTGGCTATGAGGGGGGACAAGGTGGGCAGGCTCAGGCCCAGGGACATGAAGGCCACATGTTGGAGCTTGCTGCCCTGAGCACGGGTGCCTTGGAGCGGCCCAGGCACATCTCGACTGGGAAGGAAGATGGCAACGGACCAGGATGGGAGGTGGCAGCCGCAGCAGCAGGTGTCCTCAGCCCTGGGGTGAAAGGAGGGTCTCTGTGTGGACGCAGCACTGACACCTCTGTGCCTGTGCATTCTCAGAGTCATCCTTGGAGCTTCTGCACGAATATTTACCCCCTGACCTGAGCGCCGGGACAGGAATCATAGGGCTCAGATAGCAAATTGGGAGGAGAGAAGCACAAAACAAAAGTGTGCCCATGGACATTGTGAAAGAGTATGCCAGGGAGTTCTTGGAATTCCTCAGAGAGTTTAGAGTTCTTCAAGGAGTTATCCAAGGCTCAGAAATATAAATTAAATATATAATGATAGTCACAAAACTTCTGATGGGACAGGCATGGTGGGTCACACCTGTTATCCCAGCACATTGTGAAGCTCTGGTTAGAGGACTGTTTGAAGCCAGTTGTTGGAGACCACCATAGGCAGTATAGTGGGCAGTATAGTTAGACCCCAACATTAAAAAAAAAAAAAAAGATTAGCTGAGCACAGTGGCACATGCCCGTAGTCTTAGCTACTTGGGAGGCTGAGGTAGGAGGATCATACGAGTTCAGGAGTCTGAGGCTGCAGTGAGCCATGATCATGTCAACAGATGGAGACCCTACCTCAAAAAGAAAAGAAAAGAAAAGAACACTTCTGATCAATCAATTATTAACAAGTAGAGCAATTTTAAAAATTCAGCTCTTCTTGTTAAAGATACAACAATAGAATTCAAAAACAGGAGTTTTGAGTAAGTTACAAATCATGACGCCACATTTGGTCTGCTGTGGGCCTCTGCAACTTACAGAACATGTCAGAAGATGCATCAAAATTCCATTGGAGAAATTTACACTTAAAATTAAATTCAAACTTCCATAAAACTGATTTGCTTAAACAGTTAAATCCTTTGAAAAAAATAGCTCCACAAGAACCACCAGCTACAGATATACTAAAATTTGTGTCAAAATAGTTTATCCCAATATTGTCAGAGTTTAGATAATATTCCAGAAACAGTTGCTTCAGCAGATTCTTTTCAGAAGAAAAAATGAAGTTGCTCAAGGTATAAAGTTTGATGACCTAATAAATTAATTGCAGAAAAGTTGGCCAGAAAAATTGTTTCATTCATCTAGATCCAATTAATAAAGTATTATTATTTATTCTATTAAAAGTGTGACACTGGTTTCTGGTGGGGATTTATATGATTCTGTTCTTACTCTTCTAGAAGTATTATCCCTATTACACTTTTCAAATGATGAAACATACTGGCTTGAGAAAGCTGAATACCCTCCTGCCTTTCACGACACTTTCTTCTGCTGCTCTTTGAACAAGGCGCCCTGCATTTCCACTTTGCACTGAGCCTTGGGAATTTTGCAGCCGGCCCTGCCGTGGCCATTTTTATACAAGTTATCTCATTTAATCCTCAGAAGCAAACATGCCAGGGGGTTATTACCCAAGTTTACAGAGGCAGGTCCTGGGGCCTAGAAAGGTTAGAGGACATGTTCAAGGTCATCTGACTACTAAGTGGCAGAGATGGAATTTGAAATAAAATCCCTCTCTCTTCAAAGCCCATGTTCCTAACCAGCACCACACAATCACCATGGTGTCCTGATAACCTCCCCTCTTCATCCTCCTACAACCCCAAAGCTACAGTAACGCTCTGCCTAAGGCCAGAGTCCACGCGGCTACTGTCACCCTCTCCCATCTCCTGAGCTGAGCGGTGAGTCCACAGCCTGGCCCGGCCTTGCAGGAGGTGAGGGAATGAGCGCGCAGTTACTGCCACCTCGTGGCGGCCTGACTACATGACCCTGAAACGCAGACCTAATCTGTTTCCTGCCTGCCTGAAGCCTGGGTGTGCACCTGAGACTTCTAGTAATTTCCTTTTTCCCCTTAAGGAACCTATCGAGAGTTCTCACAATTTTATGCATTCTCTCAAGCAAGTAGCTTTCATTTATTTATTTTTAATGTTCTCTTTTGTGTCCACATTCTTTTTTATTCACTCGTTTTCCTATTTACTTTCAGCTTAATTAGTTCTTTTTTCCCCAGGTTTTTTACAATGGAATATTAGATTGTCTATTTCTGAGCTTTCGACTTCCCATCATAATAGCAGTTAATGTTATCAATTTCCCTCCAAGCACTGCTTTTGTTGTATTGCCACAAATTTTGGTATGTTATGTTTCCATTTGCTGTCATGTGAAAATATTTTTAAATTTCTCCTTTGACTCATTAGAAATATGTTGAGTAATGTCCAAATATGTGAGGAATTTTCCAGCTATTTTCCTTTAGTCACAGCTTCATACATTCCACTGTGGAGAGACATTATGCTTCATATGATTTTAAATTGTTTTGATTTTTTTTGTTTCTTAGTCCGACATGAGCTCTCTTAGGTAATATTTCAATGCATTTTACTGTTATTGGGAGGAGTGTCCTGTAAAGCTTATATAGGTCATAATGGATGATACTGTTGTTCAAGTTCTCTCTATCTTTATTTATACTTTGCTGCTAAAAAAAACTATTTCAAAGAAAAAAGTGTTGAAATATTCAATGGTAATTCTTAATTTTTCAATTTCTTCTCTTAGTTCTATCAATTTCTTTTTAAAAATTTTGAGATTCTCTTATTAGGTGCATACTAATTTAATAATAATGATACGTGTTCTTGCTGATTTAACAACTTTATCACTGGAAAACATAGGCTCTTTATCAGTAATAATACACCTTGCTGTAAAATCTACTTTGATTTATAGTCAGTTAGCCGATACAGCTAATTCTGTTTTCATTAGATTAATGTTTCCATACTATAACTCTTTCTGTCCATTTACTATCAACCTATCTTTGTCCTTATATTTGATAAAGACATTGGGTTTTTATAGACAGCGTGTATTTGGGTCTTGTTTTATACTACAAGTTTGCTAGTGAGGAATTCTCTTTGTTTTTGTTATCGTCATTAGAAAATGCCTTTATGCGGTGGGTCACGCCTGTAATCCCAGCACTTTGGGAGGCCGAGGTGGGCGGATCACGAGGTCAGGAGATCCAGACCATCCTGGCTAATACGGTGAAACCCTATCTCTACTACAAATACGAAAAAAATTAACCGGGCATGGTGGCGGGCGCCTGTAGTCCCAGCTACTCGGGAGGCTGAGGCAGGAGAATGGCATGAAACCGGGAGGCGGAGCTTGCAGTGAGCCGAGATCGCACCATTGCACTCCAGTCTGCGTGACAGCGAGACTCCGTCTCCAAAAAAAAAAAAAAAAAAAAAAAAAAAGGAAAAGAAAATGCCTTTACTTATTACTGGAATATGTGTTTAGCATTAATCTAGAAATGTATTTTTGCTTGTCAGGGTCCTATGTTGACTGATTTTTCTTCTTTTGATACTTAAATATGTCACTTTATTTTTTCTACTTCTGTAAGCAGTGTCTTCTCTCAGAATGCTTTTAAGATTTTCTCATTATTTTTGATTCAAAACAATTTGATTATTGATATGGTTTGGCTCTGTGTCCCTACTCAAATCTCATCTGGAATTATAATCCCATAATCCCCAGTGTGGGGGGGCGGGACCTGGTGGGAGGTGATTGGATCATGGGGAGGTGATTTCTGCCTTGCTGTTCTCATGATGGTGAGTGAATTCTCAAGAGATGTGATGGTTTTATAAATGGCAGTTTCCTTCTGTGCTTACTCTTGTGCTCTGTCTCTCTTCCTCTCTCTCTCTCTCCCTCTCTCTTTCGTCTGACACTGTGGAAGACTTGCTTGCTTCTGCTTCACCTTCCATCATGATTGTGAGATTCCTGAGGCCTCCTAGCCATGCTTTCTGTTAATCCTGCAAAACTGGGAGTCAAAGAAACCTCTTTTATTTATAATTATCCAGTCTCAGGTAGTTCTTTATAGCAGTGTGAAAATGAACTTGTATAATTATGATATTCTTGTTCTGTTTTTTTTTAAATAATTATTCTTCTTGGATGTCTTTCAATAGCAAATTTGTATGTTTCCAGTCTCACCAAATTTATAAAAATAGGCTATTATTTCATTAACTTTATGCTTTCTCCTGGAACTTCTTTCTGCCTTCAAACACACATAGGTGCTAGATTGCTTGATATTTCTACGAAGTGCACTGTTTATTTTTCATCCAGAGTTTTTTTTTTCTCCCTTTGCTTCATTTTTTCATTTGTTTGTGTTAATGTAGACTCAGGCTTACTGATCCTTTCTTCTATACTGTCATATGTCATTAATCCAATTCAGAAAATTTTTTGTTCTCATGATCATTTTGTTTTATTGCTGGAAGGCCCATTTGGTTCTTTTTATGTGTTCCTCCTCATCAAAAAGGTTTTCTCTTCAGCCTTTGACATATTTATAACTTTTATAATAGCTCCTTTACATTCCCTTTTCTGATCCTAGTACCTTTGTCATTATTGGGTCTGTTTTTACTGAATGACTTTTCTCCTAGTTATGGGCTGTATTTTCCTACTTCTTTTCATGCTTGGAAATTTTTGATTGGATTCAGTATATTATAAAGCCTATTTTTTTTTTATTTGGAAACAGGGTCTTGCTCTGTTGCCCAGGCTAGAATGCAGTGGTGCAATCTCAGATCACTGCAACCTCTGCCTCCCTGGTTTAAGCAATTCTCTTGCCTCAGCCTCCTGAGTACCTGGGACTACAGGCCTGTGCCACCACGCCCAGATAATTTTTCTATTTTTAGTAGGCATAGGTTGGCCTGGCTGGTCTCGAGCTCATGCCCTCAAGTGATTCACCTGTCTTGGCTTCCGAAAGTGCTGAGATTACAGTCATGAACCGCCATGCCTGGACAGCTTGAATTGTTGAGTAACAGTTTTGGTTGTTTTTTTTCCCCAAAGAATGCTAGACATCATCTGGTTCATTTTGGGGGTTCTATACATTCATTTGGTTTTTTCAGGAATGGCTTGAAAATTTCTTGAAGCAGTTGCAGAGCAGTTTAATCTAGAGCTAACTAGCACCACTACTTGCTGATGGCTTTCTGAGGTTCTGAGTTCTCTCCACTTTGCTGTGGGGATACAAAGTTTTCAAGACTTGTCTGTCCTCCTGAAAATGCCGTTCACTCCCTTATGGAGTTTTTACTTTTTTCTGGCCTGGGGAAGTCTTAGCCCAAGTGTGCACACATCATAACATAGCCTAAGAGTGAAGGCATTCTTCTCTTCTCCAACACTCAAGATCAATGCTTCCTTTCAGTAGCCCACTCTCTGATATGTGCACTGGAAATTGGGGTCTGATACAGGTTGGATGTTTGTACTCTACAAATACTATGTTGAAATGTAATTCCCAGTCTTGGAGGTGGGACCTGGCAGGAGGTGTTGGGGTCATTGGGGTGGATCCCTCATGAATGGCTTGGTGCTGTCCTGGAGATAATCTGTGAGTTCCTTCTTTGAGTCATGGGAGATCTGGTTGTTTCACACAGTGTGGCACCTCCCCAACTCTGGCTCCTTCTCCTGGCTTGTGATACTCCTGCTCCCCCTTCCCCTTGCTACACAAAAGGAAGCCTTCTGAGGCCTCAAAAGGAGCAGATGATGTCACCATGCTACTCATACAGCCTACAGAATAGGGAGCCAAAATAAACTTCTTTTCCTTATGAATTACCCAGCATTAGGTATTCCTTTATAGGAGTAAAAACAAACTGACACAGAAAATTGGTACTGTGCAGGGGGCATTGCTGTAAAGACAGCTGAAAATATGGAAGTGGCTTTGTCACTGGGTACTGGCAGAGGTTGAAAGAGTGTGTAGGGCCCAGCAAAAGATAGGAAGATGAGGGAAAGTTTGGAACTCTTTAGAAACTTGTTAAATGTATGTGACCAAAATGCTCACAGAGATATGGACAGTGAAGTCCAGGCTATCAAGTTGTTAGATGGAAAAGTGGAAGTTACTGGGAATTACAGCAAGGGTCCCGATTGTTACACCCCAGTCAAGAGCTTGGCTGCACTGTGTTCACATCCTAGGGATTTGTGGAAAGTTGAACTTTAGAGCGATTAGCTAGAGCATCTGGTCTAAGTAATTTCCAAGGAGCAAAGTATTCAAGATATGTAGCTGCTTCTACAAGCTTGCAATCAGATACAGGAGCAAATAAATGCTTTAAATTTGGAACTTAAAGGAGAAGCTGTCAGGCGTCTCAGCCCAAGCCAAGCCATCGCATCCCCTGTGACTTGCACGTATACGCCCAGATGGTCTGAAGTAACTGAAGAATCACAAAAGAAGTGAATATGCCCTGCCCCACCTTAACAGATGACATTCCACCACAAAAGAAGTGTAAATGGCCGGTCCTTGCCTTAAGTGACGACATTACCTTGTGAAAGTCCTTTTCCTGGCTCATCCTGTCTCAAAAAGCACCCCCACTGAGCACCTTGCAACCCCTACTCCTGCCCGCCAGAGAACAAACCCCTTTTGACTGTATTTTTCCTTTACCTACCCAAATCCTATAAAACAGCCCCACACTTTTCTCCCTTCACTGACTCCCTTTTTGGATTCAGCCCACCTGCACTCAGGTGAAATAAACAGCCATGTTGCTCACACAAAGCCTGTTTGGTGGTCTCTTCACACGGACGCACATGAAATTTGGTGCCGTGACTTGGATCGGGGGACCTCCCTTGGGAGATCAATCCCCTGTACTTCTGTTTTTTGCTCCGTGAGAAGATCCACCTATGACCTCAGGTCATCAGACCGACAAGCCCAAGGAACATCTCACCAATTTTAAATCAGGTAAGCGGCCTCTTCTTACTCTCTTCTGCAACCTCTCTCACTGTCCCTCAACCACTTTCTCCTTTCCACTCTTCAATCTCTCCCTTCTCTTAATTTCAATTCCTTTCATTTTCTGGAAGAGACAAAGGAGACACGTTTTTCCCATGGACCCAAAACTCCGGCACTGGTCACGGACTGGGAAGGCAGCCTTCCCTTGGTGTTTAATCATTGCAGGGATGCCTCTCTGATTATACACCCACATTTCAAGGGTGTCTGACCATGCAGGAACACCTGCCTTGGTCCTTCACCCTTAGCGGCAATTCCCGCTTTTCTGGGGAAGGGGCAAGTACCTCAACTCCTTCTCGCCTTGTCTCTACCCCTTCTCTGCTTTTCTGGGAGAGGGGCAAGTACCCTTCAACCCTTTCTCCTTCACCCTTAGCGGCAAGTCCCGCTTTTCTATGGGGCAAGAACACCCAATCCCTTATTTCCACGCCCCAGCCTCTTATCTCTGCACCCAAATCCCTTATTTCCATGCCCCAACCTCTTATCTCTACACCCCAATCCCTTATTTCTGCACTCTGACCTCTTATCTCTGTGCCCCAATCCCTTATTTCCGCACCCCAACCTCTTATCTCTGTGCCCCAATCCCTTATTTCAGTGCCTCAACCTCATATCTCTGCACCCCAATCCCTTATTTCCATGCCCTGACCTCTTATCTCTGTGCCCCAAACCCTTTTCCCACTTTTCTGGAAGGTAAGAACCCCCAAACCCCTTCCTTCCATTTCTCTACTCTCTCTTTTCTCTAGGCTTGCTTCCTTCACTATGGGCAACCTTCCATGCTCCATTCTTCCTTCTACTCCCTTGGCCTGTGTTCTCAAAAACTTAAAACCTCTTCAAGTCACACCTGACCTAAAACCTAAATGCCTTATGTTCTTCTGCAATGCCACTTGACCCCAATACAAACTCGACAGTAGTTCCAAATAGCCAGAAAATGGCACTTTGAATTTTTCCATCCTACAAGATCTAAATAATTCTTGTTGTAAAATAGGCAAATGGTCTCAGGTGCCTGACGTCCAGGCATTCTTTTACACATCAGTCCCTTCCTAGTCTCTGTGCCCAGTGCAACTCATCCCAAATCTTCCTTCTTTCCCTCCCGCCTGTCCCCTCAGTACCAACCCCAAGTGTCGCTGAGTCTTTCTAATCTTCCTTTTCTACAGACCAATCTGACATCTCCCTTCCTCCCCAGGCTGCTCCTCACCAGGCCAAGCTACGTCCCAATTCTTCCTCAGCCTCTGCT
Organism: Homo sapiens; assembly: GCF_000001405.40. NCBI lineage: Eukaryota > Metazoa > Chordata > Mammalia > Primates > Hominidae > Homo > Homo sapiens. The sequence continues at coordinate 87,220 of NT_187570.1, forward strand.
CCTCCACCCTATAATCTTTTTATCACCTCCCCTCCTCACACCTGGTCCGGCTTACAGTTTCCTTCCGTGACTAGCCCTCCTCCACCTGCCCAGCAATTTACTCTTAAAAAGGTGGCTGGAGCCAAAGACATAGTCAAGGTTAATGCTCCTTTTTCTTTCTCCCAAATCAGAAGCGTTTAGGCTCTTTTTCATCAAATATAAAAATCTAGCCCAGTTCATGGCTCCTTTGGCAGCAACCCTGACACGCTTTACAGCCCTAGACCCTAAAAGGTCAAAAGGCCGTCTTATTCTCAATATACATTTTATTACCCAATCTGCTCCCGACATTAAATAAAACTCCAAAAATTGGAATCTGGCCCTCAAACCCCAAAACAGGACTTAATTAACCTCACCTTCAAGGCGTACAATAACAGAAAAAAGTTGTAATTCGTTGCCTCCACTGTGAGACAAACCCCAGCCACATCTCCAGCACACAAGAACTTCCAAATGCCTGAACCACAGCAGCCAGGCAGTCCTCCAGAACCTCCTCCCCCAGGAGCTTGCTACATATGCCAAAATCTGGCCACTGGGCCAAGGAATGCCCACAGCCCGGGATTCCTCCTAAGCCACGTCCCATCTGTGTGGGACCCCACTGAAAACCGGACTGTTCAACTCACCTGGCAGCCATTCCCACAGCCCCTGGAACTCTGGCCCAAGGCTCTCTGACTGACTCCTTCAGAGATCTTCTCCGCTTAGTGGCTGAAGACTGACACTGCCCGATCGCCTCGGAAGCCCCCTAGACCATCACGGACGCTGAACTTCGAGTAACTCTCACAGTGGCGGGTAATTCCGTCCCCTTCTTAATCATTACGGTGGCTACCCACTCCACATTACCTTCTTTTCAAGGGCCTGTTTCCCTTGACTCCATAACTGTTGTGGGTATTGATGGCCAGGCTTCTAAACCTCTTAAAACTCCCCAACTCTGGTGCCAACTTAGACAATACTCTTTTAAGCACTCCCTTTTAGTTATCCCCACCTGCCCAGTTCCCTTATTAGGCCGAGACAATTTAACTAAATTATCTGCTTCCCTGACTATTCCTGGACTACAGCTATATCTCATTGCCACCCTTCTTCCCAATCCAAAGTCTCCTTTGCGTCCTCTTGTATCCCCCGACCTTAACCCACAAGTATAAGATACCTCTACTCCCTCCTTGGTGACCGATCATGCACCCCTTACCATCTCATTAAAACCTAATCACCCTTACCCCACTCAACACCAATATCCCATCCCGCAGCATGCTTTAAAAAGATTAAAGCCTGTTATCACTCGCCTGCTACAGCATGGCCTTTTAAATCCTATAAACTCTCCTTACAATTCCCCCATTTTACCTGTCCTAAAACCAGACAAGCCTTACAAGTTAGTTCAGGATCTGCACCTTATCAACCAAATTGTTTTGCCTATCCCCCCTGTGGTGTCCAACCCGTACACTCTTTTGTCCTCAATACCTTCCTCCACAACTCACTATTCTGTGCTTGATCTTAAAGATGCTTTTTCACTATTCCCCTGCACCCCTTGTCCCAGCCTCTCTTCGCTTCCACTTAGACTGACCCTGACACCCATCAGGCTCAGCAAATTACCTAGGCTGTACTGCCGCAAGGCTTCATAGACAGCCCCCATTACTTCAGTCAAGCCCAAATGTCATCCTCATCTGTTACCTATCTCAGCATAGTTCTCATGAAAACATATGTGCTTTGCCTGCTGATCATGTCCGATTAATCTCCCAAACCACAATCCCTTACAAAACAACTCCTTTCCTTCCTAGGCATAGTTAGTGCAGTCAGAATTCTTACACAAGAGCCAGGACAGCACCCTGTAGCCTTTCTGTGCAAACAACTTGACCTTACTGTTTTAGTCTAGCCCTCATGTCTGCGTGCAGTGGCTGCCGCTGCTTTAATACTTTTAGAGGCCCTCAAAATCACAAACTATGCTCAACTCCCTCTCTACAGTTCTCATAACTTCCAAAATCTATTTTCTTCCTCATACCTGACTTATATACTTTCTGCTCCCCGGCTCCTTCAGCTGTACTCACTCTTTAAGTCCCACAATTACCATTGTTCCTGGCCCGGACTTCAATCTGGCCTCCCACATTATTCCTGATACCACACCTGACCCCCATGACTGTATCTCTCTGATCCACCTGATAGTCACTCCATTTCCCCATATTTGCTTCTTTCCTGTTCCTCACCCTGATCACGCTTGATTTATTGATGGCAGCTCCACCAGGCCTAATTGCCACACACCAGCAAAAGCAGGTTATACTATAGTACAAGCCACTAGCCCGTCTCTTAGAACCTCTTATTTCCTTTCCATCATGGAAATCTATCCTCAAGGAAGGAAATAACTTCTCAGTGTTCCATCTGCTATTCTACTACTCCTCAGGGATTATTCAGGCCCCCTCCCTTCCCTACACATCAAGCTCGAGGATTTGCCCCACCCAGGACTGGCAAGTTAGCTTTACTCAACATGCCCTGAGTCAGATAACTAAAATACCTCTTAGTCTAGGTAGATACTTTCACTGGATAGGTAGAGGCCTTTCCTACAGGGTCTGAGAAGGCCACCGCAGTCATTTCTTTGGTTCTGTCAGACATAATTTCTCAGTTTAGCCTTCCCACCTCCATACAGTCTGCTAACAGATGAGCCTTTATTAGTCAAATCAGCCAAGCAGTTTTTCAGGCTCTTAGTATTCAGACCTTTATATCCCTTACAGTCCTCCATCTTCAAGAAAAGTAGAATGGACTAAAAGTCTTTTAAAAACACACCTCACCAAGCTCAGCCACCAAAAAGGACTGGACAATACTTTTAGCACTTTCCCATCTCAGAATTCAGGCCTGACCTCAGAATGCTACAGGGTACAGCCCATTTAAGCTCCTGTATAGACGCTCCTTTTTATTAGGCCCCAGTCTCATTCCAGACACCAGACCAACTTAAACTGTGCCCCAAAAAACTTGTCATCCCTACTATCTTCTGTCTAGTCATACTCCTATTCACCATTCTCAACTACTCATACATGCCCGCTCTTGTTTACACGGCCGTTTTACACAGTTTTTCCAAGCCATCACAGCTGATATCTCCTGGTGCTATCCCCAAACTGCCGCTCTTAACTCTTGAAGTAAATAAATAATCTTTGCTGGCAGGACTATGATGAGTCTCCTTAGGCACTCTCTAATGAGATATCCTGAGTCGTCCCAATTCTTAGACCTTTTATACCTCTTTTTCTCCTTCTGTTATTCCATTTAGTTTCTCAATTCATCCAAAAGCGTATCCAGGCCATCACCAATCATTCTATATGACAAATGTTTCTTCTTACATCCCCACAATATCACCCCTTACCACAAGACCTCCCTTCAGCTTAATCTCTCCCACTCTAGATTCCCACGCCACCCCTAATCCCGCTTGAAGCAGCCCTGAGAAACATCGCCCATTCTCTCTCCATACCACCCCCCAAAAATTTTCACCACCCCAACACTTCAACACTATTTTGTTTTATTTTTCTTATTAATATAAGAAGGCAGGAATATCAGGCCTCTTAGCCCAAGCCAAGCCATCGCATCCCCTGTGACTTGCACGTATATACGCCCAGATGGCCTGAAGTAACTGAAGAATCACAAAAGAAGTGAATATGCCCTGCCCCAATTTAACGGATGACATTCCACCACAAAAGAAGTGTGAATGGCCGGTCCTTGCCTTAAGTGATGACATTACCTTGTGAAAGTCCTTTTCCTGGCTCATCCTGGCTCAAAAAGCAACCCCACTGAGCACCTTGCGACCCCCACTACTGCCCACCAGAGAACAAAACCCCTTTGACTGTAATTTTCCTTTACCTACCTAAATCCTATAAAACGGCCCCATCCTTATCTCCCTTTGCTGACTCTCTTTTCAGACTCAGCCCGCCTGCACCCAGGTGAAATAAACAGCCATGTTGCTCACACAAAGCCTGTTTGGTGGTCTCTTCACACGGACGCGCATGAAAGAGGCAAAGCATAAAAATTTGGAAAATTTGCAGCCTAGAAATTTAGTAGAGAAAGAAAAAGCATTTTCAGAAGAGGACTGTAAGGGGCTGTGGAGAAACCACTTGCTAGAGAGATGTGCATGACTGAGAAGGAGCCAAGTGCTAATAGCCAAGACAATGGGGAAAAGGCTTACAAGGCATTTTTGAAAACTTTGAGGCATTCCCTCCCACCACAGCCCACAGGCCTAGGAGGAAAGAATGGTTTCAGTGGCCAGACCCAGGCACAGCTGCCCTGCTCAGCCTCAAGACACATCCTGGCTGCCCAGCCTCCAGCCTCAGCTCAAAGGGCCTAATGTACAGATTGGCCACTGCTTCAGTGGGTGAAAGCCAGAACGTCTTGGCAGCGTTCATGTGGTGCTAAGCCTGCAAGTCTGCAGAGTGCAAAAAGGAAGGAGGCTTGGCAGCTTCCACCGAGATTTCAGAGGATGTGTGGCAAAGTCTTGTTCTCCAGGCAGAAAACTGCTGCCAAGGGAGAGTACCAAGAGAAAAACTCTACCAGGGCAGTGCTAAGGGGAAACGTGGGGTTGGATTCCCCACACAGTGTCCCCAGTGGGGCATTGCCTAGTGGAGCTGAGGGAAGGGGAACACTGCCCTCCAGACCTGAGAATAGTAACACTGTTGACAGCTTGTACCCTCAGCATGGAAGAGCCACGGGCATCAGATTCTGACCTGTGACAGGAGCCATGTGGGCTGCACCCTGTAAAGCCACAGGGGCAGAGCAGCCCAAGGTCTTCAGAGCCCACCCTCACAGCAGAATAAAGGACATGGAATCAAGAATTATTTTCGAACTTTGAGGTTTAATAGCTGCCCTACTGAGTTTCTGACATGTGTGGGGCCTGTAATCCCTTTTATTGGCCAATTTCTGCCTTTTAGAATGGTAGTGTCTAGCCAATGCCTGTGCCATCATTGTAACATGAAAGTACATAACTTGTTTTTGATAGTACAGGCTAAAAGGCGGAAGGAATTTGAGTCTCAGGGGATGAGATTTTGAACTTTGGACTTTTGATTAAGTTAATGCTGGAAGTAGTTAAAACTTTGGGGAGTGATTGGGAAGGGATGATTGCATTTTGCAATGTGAGAAGGACATGAGATTTGAGGGGCCAGAGGAAGAATAATATTTTTCAGATGTTTGTCCCCTCAAAACCTCCTGCTGAAATCTAATCCTCAGTGTTGGAAGTGGAATCTGGTGGGAAGTGTTTGGGTTGTGGGGGTGAATCCCTAATGAATGACTAACTGCTTTCATCACAAAAATGAATGAGTTCTTGCTCCGAGCTCATACAACATGTAGTTGTTTAAAAGAGTCTGGGACCTCCTTGCACCCTCTCGCTCCACTCTTACCACGTGATATTCCTGCTCCCACTTGACTTTCCACTATGACTGAAGGCTTATGGAGTCCTAACAAGGAGCGGATGCAGGCACCATGCTTCTCACACAGCCAAAAATAGTGAGCCAAATAACTTCCTTTCCTGAAGTATTATCCCACCTCAGGTATTCCTTTAGAACAACACACACAGACTGACACAGGGCGTATCGTGCTGTGTGAGCTTTGACCTTGGTCTCCTCAATGCTACAGGGTGCTGGTCTCCATGTGAGTCTTCCTCCCTGTGCTGTGGCCTGTAACCTGGCCCTATAGAGAGCTGGGGCAAAAGGACATCCTACTTTATTTGTTTGTTGCACTGCTTATTATCCAATATATGAACACAGCTGTCTCACACCTGCTGACTAGTTCCATCTTGTCTACTGTAGGAGGGCAATTCCCATAGCAGTGAGTCCATTTGGATGGAAACTGAGGAACAGGCTCAACTTTTTCAGTTTTTGTCCCTTCTTCCTGAGAGCCTCATTGTCTTTTCACATAAGCCTTCAGAGTTTAAGAAAGATATACATAAAATTCCGTAAAATGTTGGTAGGTTTTCATCTTTGTTCTCCATTACAGAAATGTAGCCTTAGCTTTTTTGTGTTACTAATTTTATGCTCAGTTTATAATTTGAAACCAGTAGGCCCTTCCTATTCATGTGTTCCACATCAGGAAACGTTCTACAAAAACATTGTGTCTGAATTGAGCATGCACAGGCCTTTTTCTCTTGCCATTATTTTCTAGGAAATACAGCATAACTCCTACTTACTTAGCATTTACATTGTGTTCAGTGTTACAAGAAATCTAGGAATGATTTAAAGTATATGCAAGGAGTGTGAAGATTATATGAAATTACTACTCTTTTATATCAGAGACTTGAGCATCTGAGGCATTTGGTATACACAGGGGGTCCTGGAACCAATCCCCCATGGATACTGAGGAGCAATTGTATTTGTGTTCTGTTTCTAAGCAAATTGTCATAAGCTTAGTGACCTAAACCAACACAAATTATCTTGCTGTTTTGGGGATCAAACATGAAAAATCAAAGTGTCCGTAGGACCTTTTTCCTTTCCAGAGGTTCTAAGAAGCTGAGTTTGCTTTCCTTTTTTTTTTTTTTTTTTTCTTCTTTGCCTTTTCAAATCTGAGAGGCTGCCCATGTTCCTTGGTTTGTGGATCCTTCCTTCATCTTCAAATCCAGCAATGGCTGTTGAGTCGTTCCCACATCGCATCACCCAGACACTGACTGTTCTGCCTTTCTTTTCCACATTTAAGGATTCTTGGATTACGTTGGTCTCATTCACATGATCTAAGTTAATCTCCCTGTTTTAAAGTCAGCATATTAGCCAACTATTCTATCTGCTGTCTTAGTTCTTATTTGCCATAAAGTGTAACATAATCCCAGGTTCTAGGGATAAGGACATGGACATCTTTGGGATGCCGTTATTACGCCTACTACACCTAGTAAAATAAAATTCAGTGACGTAATAAATACTTTCGCCAAGAAAAATATCTTTAAAGAAAAAATGTTTTCAGTGATTCATAGTGTTATTAGATGAATATAGGAGGCCAAGTTCAATTTGGCTTTCAGAAAAACCATGAAGAACTTTTTAGTGTATTTAATCCCAAATAGTATGAGATAGATAATGCCACAATAAACTGGATGTTGTTTATCTAAAACTCACATTTAACTGAGTGTCCTATACTTTTATTTGCTAAATCTGTCAACCCTAGTCATGTGGGATTAATACAAACAAATATATGTTTCTTCTAAGTTGCTCACATATGAGAGCAAAACAAAGAAAAGTACATTTAAGGTTCTATCACAGGTCTCTCAGAAAAAGTTTCCTGGATGTGTTATCATCCCCCAGATACCCTACAATTAGATCTTTTTGATGTTTCTTTAGTGTTTTTTTAATTATCTCTCTTTGATCAAGACCTTCACTGAAATGTATTCTTTTAAAAGCAAACACTCCTCCATTTTGGATTCATTAAGAGACAGATGTTAGCATGAAAAAGCCCATATCCCAAGAAGGCTGGGGCATCTGAAACATGTCTGACCCTTTTCGTTTTTGAATAGACTCTCCTATCTTATGTAAAAATATTAAATAATTGAATTCTAGTACTTGATACAATATGTGAAGTCAATATCACAATAGATGGGATTAATAGCAAAGTGACCAGAGCAGAGTAGAGGATACAAGAATTAAAACACAGGTCAGTGGGCTGGGCGCGGTGGCTCACGCCTGTAATCCCAACACTTTGAGAGGCCAAGGCAGGCGAATCACTTGAGGCCAGGAGTTCAAGACCAGGCTGGCCAACATGGTGATATTCTATCTCTACCAAAAATACAAAAAAAAAAAAAAATTTAACTGGATGTGGTAGAGGGCACCTGTAATCCCAGCTACTCAGAAGGCTGAGGCAGGAGAATTGCTTGAACCTGGGAAGCAGAGGTTGCAGTTGAGTCGAGATCACACCACTGTACTCCAGCCTGGGTGACAGAGCAAGGCTCTGTTTCAAAAAAAAAAAAAAAAGTAAGAATACAAGTCAGTGGAAAATTTTCAGGTTGAAGTGCAGAGATATAAAATAATGAAAAATACAAAAAATGGCATAAATATATATGTGAAGACACAGTAAAAGGATGCTTTGTATATGTGTGTCTGTGTGTTTGTATTGAATATATATGCAATACACACATATTGCATATGTGTTTGTGTACATACATATGGTTGGTGCAAAAGTAATTGCAGTTTTTGCCATTACCTTTAAAGGCAAAAACCACAATTACTTTTGGACCAATTCTCTATCTATCTAGACAATTCTATTTCCAGGAAGAGAAAGGAGAGAGGGACAGCAGCAATAACTGAAGAACTAATGGCTGAAAATCTGCTCAAAGCAATGATATTATTCCACATATTCAAAAAGCTCTGAAAACACCAAGAGGATGTGTCGAAAGTAAACTCTACCTAGACTAGTCACAGACAAACCCTGTTCTTTGGAGAGTTTCTTCATCTGCTTTCAATATAGTTGGAACAAGATCAGTTGCTAATTTTGTAGCCAGGTGAATTCAATAAAATGATGAATGAGCTTCAGTGTTTAAAATTAATACCTTTTTTTTTTCTTATGAGTCTTCAGGCACGATGAAATGGGAACAATTTTATTCTGTTATGTCATGAGTTCACAGGTTCAGAGACTTAGAGTATGGCATGCAAGCTCACTTGGTTGGAATGGATTCTGTGAATTCTGTAAACTCCCAGAGTTATCCTATTTTTGACCATCCAAATTAAACAGCTCCAGCTCCCATTCCTCATTAGTGTAGACAGCCAAATGTTTCTCAGAACTCCCTACAGGTGCTTATGCTCCTAATATCTTGTGCAAATTCTTATTTCTGTCTTCTCTGTGACATTCTCTGGCCACCTCCACCTCACTCCTGCAACCAACTACCCATTTTCTTTGTAGCTTTGCATTAAGAATTACTGAGGCTTTCCCCCTTTTCCAAGAATTTTCAAATACACAGCCATTGATTGAGACACAGTTTTGCAAAAACATAAGGATAATGACGGGTGGTTAATGCACAGAACTGTTAAAAATAAGAATAGAAATCAGAGTGCATTCTAGCTAAAGAGTTCAGCCACTCTTGGCAATAACCTCTACAGGCTACTTTGTGCCCTGATGTTACAGGTATACCTGCTCCTTTTGGAACCCAGAACTCCTTTCATTGTTAATCTCTGAGGGCCAAGAAACGTTTAACATTTTATTTTTAGAATTGTAGAATGATTTAGTGCTTATGGATTGTATCTCTATTTCACAGATGCAGTCAGGTGTCCTACCTTCCAAGACCTAAACAGCCATTAAAGGGCCTTCTTAAATAAAAGGAGAGTTTCTTCCTAAGAGAGTTGTGCTGTTTCCCCTAGAACATAGGAATGAATGTCATTGTCATGGTGACTTTTACTTTTTGTGTGTGTGTGAAGCTTCACTTCTTTTATACAGTCAAATGATATATGCTTCCAGGAATCAAGAAATCCACTAATTTATTCAAAATAACAATGTATACACGATGAATATTAAATGACTAAATAAAGGCAGGGTCTGACTATCCTGGCATCAAGGTAGGTGAGTGCGACTGAGTTGGACAATCACAGGATTAGACCCTGTCTTGGTTTAAATTTTGGAGAGTTTGTTAATTATGGTGATTTTTTCATGAATATTATTTTTTAAAAATCTATCGCATTATAAGATCATCTATCTTAAGTACAGGATATCTTAGTGCTTACATTTTATACCTGAGGCCAGAGCCTCCCTCGCTTCGCCCTAGTCCTGGCTCTGTCATCACGTCTGGATAAAATCTATATCCAGATAAAAATGCTTTTACTCTAACAAGGTCTGGTTACTTTTTTCAATCTTGAGATTAGGAAAGACAATGGATTATTTTGGAACTAAGGTGCATTTTCCCAGACGTAGATGATATGCACATTCAGTGCAGAGCTAATGTGAAGAAATAGAGAGCTTCTTATGCGTCTAGGATACACCCACAGAGTTCATGATTTAAGGACCAAACCCTCCCAAGGAGAGAGAGCAGGGCCAGGGAGCTATCTTGATGCTCCCCCTTAGAGTCGATGCGTCTTTCTTCTTGAGGTTTGCTCCCCTCTGCTTGTGTCCCATGCCATATTGTCCTCATTTAATTGTGCCCTCAAAGAGACTTGTTTTTAACAGCATTTACTTGGATCCTATTATGTTTGTATGTAAGGAAACCCTTGTACAACTGCATTTTGCCATCCAATTAATGAAATAGTTTATGAATGGCCAGCACATAAATGAATAAGACAAAGTCCACACTAGTAGAAATCTCATAGCTAAATGGAGAATTAAAAATTCACGCACCTCTGTAGGAGGCATAATTGCATAAGAAACCTTAGCCAGAAGAAGGGAGTCCTTGTGAAGAACAGAGGACTGGGCATCCCCTCCCTTGGCAGATCCACTATGATTCCATGAGGGAACTGGTCTTTGAGTTGGGCTTGCTTTTTTTAGGGAAGATGTGGGGTAGGTGAGGGCATGCAAGGGGAGGATGCAGGAGGAGCAAAGCACACGTTTTAGGAAAATGCCGGGAATAAATGGGGAAGGTCAAGGAATCCAAAGAATACAGATGCCTGTGACCCTGGAAAGCACTCCAAGCCCCGCTGTGGCAGCCCTGACCCCTTCCTGGAGAGCAGAAAAAGGTGTTTCAAGGATATTAGAGATGGTCTGCCCAAACCAACATCACCCAATGACCACAATTACTAGGATAAAGATTCCGTATCTTTGGACACCATAGTTTAATTTGGTTTACATGTCGCACGTCTCTGATGAGGGAACCCTTTCTGAATCCGCATCAGCCACAGCAGCTTCTTGGCCTCCTCATGGCTTTTTGCAGCATTTTGTTCCAGGGAGACCACAGGTGCCAATTTGTTTATACCTTCTAGGGCAAAAGACTGGATGACATATGGCTCCACTCTTAAGGCAGGTAACGGGATCGCCTATACCACCAAAAACACCTAACAGGGAAAAAACACACAAAAAGAGCAAACAGCGTGTAAGAACTCAAAACTCATGTTGGAAAAACACAAACCCTGTGTCAGTATCGCCTTGAGTAAATCCGCAGCGGGCTTCTTTCTCAAGCCTGGGCTTTTCCATCATGATAATGAGACGCGAGTCAGTCATTTGGATCTAAGTTTCTGACATGGAAACTGGCACTGCTGTGGTTTGGGGGATGTTTATTTTTGTAGAACCTGATTGTGAAAGACCCTGATCTCTCCTGAGTGACTGGGGCCTCCAGGTGGGGTCTGGTAGGAGCTCAGCAACGATCTCTTGTGAATTCAGCTCCACCACAAGAAGATAATATCAAAGCCACCATACCTCCATTTTAACACACACAAGCCAGTAAACTTTTGCTTTTTCAAATCATTTAGTCTGTTAAGTATTTGATCTGAGATGGGATAAAAAGATGCAACTTACTGAAATTGTTTAATAGGAAATTAACACCAAGTAACTTACAGTTGAAAACCACAATTAACCATAGAAATAAATTTTGTAATGGCTTGTTTCTAATATCTAAGTCCTGGTTTCAACCTCATTCTTCTTTTTTTATCCCTCCCTCCCTCCCTCCCTCCCTCCCTCCCTCCCTCCCTCCCTCCCTCCCTCCTTCCCTCCCTCCCTCCCCACCTGCCCGCCTCCCTGCCTCCCTGCCTCCCTGCCTCCCCGCCTTCCTTCATTATACTGTTCTAGGTTTTGGAAAACATGAGGTCTCTGGTGCCTCTCAGAACCCCATTGTTCTCACAAAACCCAGGACTCATAAATAAGATTGGTAAAATGAGGATTTCACAAGATGATATCTATTAGATTAATTGTTTTAGGATTTACTCTCAAATTTTCTTTTTCCCTTTCTCCATCCTTCCCTTCCACTCTCCCTCTTTTATCCTTTCATGGTTTTTATTTTATTTTCATAATATCAAGGAGAAAATGAAGGTTAGGCATCCAGGTTTAAAAGTTGGTTTCAATGGGCTGTCCCTGTCCTGTGAACCTGCAGTGGCCTAGTGGCAGGGACTGTTCTCAGGGCCTCTGATCAGAAAAGTCCTGGGGGCAGAGTGTCTGCTGCAGTAGTTCTCACAGTATAGGCTGGGCCTTAAGATTATCTGGAATTCTCTAGGTTGCAGTATCTACCCTTTAAATATAAAAATTTAGAAAATGACATTCTATACTACTTTCTTTAGATAAAATCAAAATTTCTGCCTTTTATTTAAAAAGTCACCTAACAGGTTTCAACCATAGTCTCAGCAGTTGTAGCATGGAAAGCAGTGAAGAGATGATATTTACAAGCTACTGGGCTCCTTCATATTGGCTTAGAAGAACGAGTGAGGTGTCCATTGGGTTCTCAAACTCCTTTTCTATTGAAGGAAGCAATGCTTGGTTCAATTAAATAGGGCATTCAGTCTAAAAGTGTGGGTAGAAGAAAGGAAAGAGAAAGAAAGAAAGACATGCTCTAGGGAGAGAGGAAAAAGAAAGACAGAAAAAAAGAGAGAGAGGGAAGAAGAGAGAGAAGCAGGAGAAAAGGATGGAGGGGACACACAGAGAGAGGAAGGAGAGAGAGGGATGAGGGAGAGATAGGTGGAGGGGAATGAGAGGAGACAGAGAACTTCTACGCCATTCTTCCATTTGGCCAACCCTCCTATTTCCCTGGCCCATCTCACCTGGAAGAGGCATCAGGAATATGAAGAGGAACGAGAAGAGGAGATACAAGACCCTCATGGCTGATGGCTGGGAGCTTCACCAGGAGCTGAGTCTGGGGAGGACATCAAGCCTTCCACCTTATAAAGGTCCTGGTCCCTGGTCACCAGGTAGAGTTCAGAACTGGTGTTGGGTGCAATGCTCATTACAGAGGTTAGAATTCAGCCACTTACCTGGTGAGTCAGAGAATGGTCCTCAAAGAACAATGCACACTCAGGAGATCTTATGCAAATCTGGACTCAGGAAACCCCAGAAAATCCCTTCCTCCTGCTCTTGGGACCAGAAAATTCCTCCTATCTTGCACCATTTAAAACCCAGTGTGTGAATGGAGTGAGGGGCTGGGTCTGTCTCACGTGAGAACAAACTCAAACTCAGGACCTATAACCTGCCACTCACCTGCTGCCCACTCTGTGCGACGTCCTGTTTTTCCTGAGTATCTGGGGACAGTCTCAGGCCAAATTGAGAGCTCTTTCCATCTAATTCTATCCATTGCTCGGACATTCAGCTCCTGGGGATGATACAGGGCTGGCTCAAACCCAGGGACCCTGGGAGGGGCTCAGGGCCTCTGGCAGCACCGGGAGCATGGTGGGCCCCATCCTCACAGGAGATCTGAGCTGGTGAAATTTATGTGAAAGTTCCCCTGAAACTCCCCATCTTCCCCACGGGAGAGAGATGAGGCAGATGGATGCCCACTTCCTTCCTCTGAGAAGGAGAATGGGAGGATGGGATTGTGACTACATGTGTCCCCTCAGAGTTCACCCAGGCCTGGGCCAGGAGGTGGCCTACCACCGCACTTGAGTTCCTTCCATTCACACCGTCACTCAGGGAATGTCAGCTCCACAGGACTTCAGGGCTTTGGGAGCCAGGGCTTTCTCTGCTTTCCACAGACGTCAGTGTCACTGCCCTTGGGATTTGGTGGAGAAGCACCGAGTGGGGCTGCAAGGCCTCCACGTGGTCTCCCTGTTGGTGATGGGAAACACTTATGAAGGAGCCCCATGTTTTCAGGGCTGTGTGAGGTCTCTGGTGTCTCTCAGGACCCTGTCCTTCCTCCGTAACCCAGAGTAGCAATTGGCGGCCCCAGGCAATGGACAGAGCCCCATCCCGGGCACTCAGGAGAGGGCCTTTCTTGGGAAAATGAGTGGCATTCATCCTGGTTCCTCCCTCTTTCGATCTAAGGGCAGTTTGAGAAACAAGCAGGCCCCAGTGTCCATGTCTGTGATGTCTCAGGGGTGCAGCAGTGACAGAGACATGGGGACAATGAGGCTTTCCTCATGACCTGCCTGACCTCTTCATTTAAAATGTCAGGTTCTGAAGAACCCTGATTCCTGGCAGGCCAGAGGTGGATTTAAAGGAAGCTGGTAACGATATTGTGCAGCCAAGATCCTTAATGACATTTTTATAAAAGGAAATTTCTGAGCCTAGCATGGTGGCTTACACCTGTCATCCCAGCAGTTTGGGAGGCTGAGGCAGGTGGATCACATGAGGTCAGGAGTGTGAGACCAATTTGACCAACATGGCAAAACCCCATCTCCATGAAAAATACAAAAATTAGCCAGGCATGATGGCTTACGCCTATAATTCCAGGTATTTGGGAGGCTGAGGCACAGGAGTCGCTTCCGACAGAGCAAGACTCAGTCTCAAAGAAAAAAAAAAAAAAGAAGGTTCTGATGGGGTATGCAAAGAGAGGGCTGGGTCAAATGCTGTCAGAACTGCTAAACAAATATGCATCCAGGACTGGAGCTTAGTCACCAGGGAGTCACTCTGATTGTCAGGGCTTTGTTTCCTTGTGTGTTGAGCAGGCTGGAATTGAGGGGCAGACTCATTCATTCCTGACACTAAAACTATTTCTTCCTGGTGAAGAAAGCATACAGAGAAATGGAATATGAAATAAAGCCTTTATGTGCTCTACCTAAATTAATAATTTATTTATTTTTTTTTGTATATTTGCTATGTCACCTTTAGAAAGTAAGAGGCAGCTCTCACTTGCTGCTGATGACCTGCCTCACCATGCACATGTCCTGCCAGCACCCCACAGAAATGCTTCCATTACCCACAGTCTTTCACCAGATGAGACCAGTGTCCAGGCTACTGGCTCCTCACCTCACTTGAAGTGATGGTAAAGATGTAAAATTTGGTGCTGATGTCCGAGCCTTAATGCTTCAAAGTGTAGACTTTTTGTCGAGGCTGTAGCCATTACAATGGGGCCAAAGGGAAGAACAGTAATTATTGAACATAGCTGGGGAAGTCCCAAAGTAACAAAAGATGGTGTGACTGATGCAAAGTCAATTGACTTAAAGGATAAATATAAAAGCATTGGAGCTAAACTTGTCCAAGATGTTGCCAATAACACAGATGAAGAGACTGGGGGATGGCACTATCACTGCTGCTGTACTGGTATGCTCTATTTCCAAATAAGCCTTCCAGAAGGTTAGCAAAGGTGCTAATCCAGTGGAAATCAAGAGAGGTGTGATGTTAGCTGTTGATGCTGTAATTGCTGAACTTAAAAAGCAGTCTAAACCTGTGACCAAACCTGAAGAAATTGCACAGGTTGCTACAATTTCTGCAAATGGAGACAAAGAAATTGGTAACATCATCTCTGATGCAATGAAAAAGTTTGGAAGAAAGGGCATCATCACAGTAAAGGATGGAAAAACACTGACTGATGAATTAGAAATTATTGAAGGCATGAAAATTTGATCGAGGATATATTTCTCCATACTTTATTAATACATCAAAAGGTGAGAAATGTGAATTCCAGGATGCCTATGTTCTGTTGCATGAAAAGAAAATTTCTAGTGTCCAGTCCATTGTAACTGCTCTTGAAATTGCCAATGCTTACTGTAAGCCTTTGGTCATAATTGCTGGAGACATTGATGGAGAAGCTCTAACTACACTCATCCTGAATAGGCTAAAGGTTGGTCTTCAGGTTGTGGCAGTCAAAGCTCCAGGGTTTGGTGACAATAGAAAGAACCAGCTTAAAGATACGGTTATTGCTACTGGTGGTACAGTGTTTGGAGAAGAGGGCTGACACTAAATCTTGAAGACGTTCAGCCTCGTGACGTAGGAGAAGTTGGAGAGGTCACTGTGATCAAAGATTATGCCATGCTCTTAAAAGGAAAAGGTAACAAGTCTCAAATTGAAAAATGTGTTCAAGAAATCATTGACCAGTCAGATGTCACAACTAGTGAATACGAAAAGGAAAAACTGAGTGGAGAAACTTTCAGATGGAGTAGCTGTGCTGAAGGTTGGTGGGACAAGTGATGTTGAAGTGAATGAAGAGAAAGACAGAGTTATAGGTGCACTTAATGCTACAAGAGCTGCTGTTGAAGAAGGCATTGTTTAGGGAGGGGGTTGTGCCCTGCTTCGATGCATTCCAGCCTTGGACTCATTCACTCCAGCTAATGAAGATAAAATAATTGGTATAGAAATTATTAAAAGAACACTCAAAATTCCAGCAATGACAATTGCTAAGAATGCAGGTGTTGATGGATTTTTGATAGTTGAGAAAATTATGTAAAGTTCCTCAGAAGTTGGTTATGATACTATGTTAGGAGATGTCGTGAATATGGTGGAAAAAGACATTATTGACCCAACAAAGGTTGTGAGAACTGCTTCATTGGATGCTGCTGGCATGGCCTCTCTATTAACTACAGCAGCTGTTGTAGTCACAGAAATTCCTAAAGAAGGGAACAGCCCTGGAATGGGTGCAATGTGTGGAATGGGAGGTGGCCTGTTCTAATTCCTAGAATAGTGCTTTACCTTTATTAATGAATTGTGATAGGAAGCCCAAGGCAGTGTTCCTCACCAATAACTTCAGAGAAGTCAGTTGGAGAAAATGAAGAAAAGGCTGGCTGATGTTTAAGAAACCACTATAACCATCAGTTACTGGTTTCAACTGACAAAATATATAATGGTTTACAGCTGTCATCCATGCCTACAGATAATTTAGTTTGTATTTTTGAATAGAAAGATCTTGTACATTCCTGACACTGGGTACAAGAGCCATGTACTGATGTACTGTTTTCAACTTAAATCACTGAGGCATTTTTTAGTAAAAATGAATAGTAGTCTATTCTGTTAAAATCAGGATTTTAGTGCTTGCAACCACCAAATGAGAAGTTAAGCAGCCTTTCTGTGCAGAGTGAGAATAATTGTGTACAAAGTAGAGAAACTTCCAATTATGTGACAACCTTTGTGTACTAAAAATGTGTTTAAAGTTAAAAAAGAAAGACGCAAACATCATGACACTTCACTGTAATTATCTCAGCAGAATCTCTTACATATGAGGGGACATTTCCACATCAAACACAATATAATTTACACACATTAAGAAAACTAGTTCCTCAATGTTATTTATTATCTTGTCAATATTTCACATTTCTCCAATTGTTCCAACCATGGCTTCATGGCTGTTGATGTTTCTGGATACATGTTTAATCTAGATTTGCACATCAAATCAGGTTGTCATGTCTCTTAATTTGTTGAGTAAATATTCTTAAGGAAATGTCATGGTACTATGAGAAGAACCTTATTGGGGCTTAGAGTTTGAATTAAGGGCCTGGTTGCCATCTTTTTCACGTGAGACTTCATTCCTGATCGATACATTCTTAATGACTACCATGCTTAACATTATTATTATAAAAGTAATACACTCACATTTAAAAACTCACCCATAAAAGAGAGTGAATTTTTCCTACAAACCTGTTCCAATCCCAGGAACCACCGATAGCACTGTGGTTTTTCACTTGTTGTCCTCTCTAACTCTCAGTACATTTGTGAGGCCTTGTTAGAGAAGGAGGTGAAATTACTCTGAAATAGGAAAGTCACTGTGAAATGCAGCACCTGTGTCCCTGGGGAAGAAGCCACCAAGGCTTAGGGAATATGTGCCTGGTTGCTCAAGGACAGCTGGGCTGACTGTTCCCATGAAGATTCCTACGGTTGCAGCTGCTTCTTTTCTCCTGGCACAGCCCAGTGTGACTCCTTCACAGCTGTGTTCATCCTAGTGATGAAGTGTGTTTGATAAGGACCAATAGAGGGGCATCTTTGTTTTAAAGGTAGGGTTATGATCTTGCTTCAGCAAGGAAGACCATCCACTGGCAGAACCATGGGGCTCTTCACCAAAACCAGAGATGCAGCAATTCTAGGATTTGGGGACATGTCAAGATTTGGTAAAATATACATGACTTTTCTTTTTCTTAATGAGCTAAAAGCAAAGCCAGGTTGTGTGTAAAATGGGAACCATCAAGTCTAACTGACAAATAGACTCACTATGCTGTCTTTTAATGAAACATGACCTGTGCTGTGTCCCCAAACCTATCTCTATAACTGGGGAGAGAATTTCAGGCTGTTTCTTTGTGGCAAAATGGTTCAGTTCCCCAGGCAAGAGTGGGAAGCCTCATTCTTATAGATAGGCTCCCAGAAAGCAAACTCTCTCATCTCTATGATTTAGAAAACAAAGTTTCTCTGCATTATGTCCTCAATGTTAAGTAACAGAAGCAGTTTTACTGGTTCTCAATTCTGGAGGCAGAGCCAGCTTCATGGGCTTGAAGGCAGGGCAGTGACACACGAATCTGCTCTGAGAAGGGCCGGTACCTGGTGTCAGGCTCTGCTGATAGCTCCCTGACTTTCTTAGTTTTTTCTTTGAACTTGTGTTTTGTAAGTGAAGCTTACTGAGGACAATGGAGCAGGCACATGGGAAGAGTGGCTATGAGGGGAGACAAGTTGGGCAGGCTCAGGCCCAGGGACGTTCTAGAGCTTTGCTGCCCTGAGCATAGGCATTCTTGGAGCAGCCCAGGCACATCTGGACTGGGATGGGAGGTGGCAGCAGCAGCAGCAGCAGCAGGTGTCCTCAGCCCTGGGGTGAATGGAGTGTCTCTGTGTGGAGGCAGCACTGACACCTCTGTGCCTGTGCATTCTCAGAGTCATCCTTGGAGCTTCTGCACAAAGATTTACCCCCTGACCTGAGCACCAGGACAGGAACCATAGGTGCTCAGATAGCAAACTGGGAGGAGAGAAGCACAAAACAAAAGTGTGCCCATGGACATTGCAATAAAGTATACCAGGAAGTTCTTGGAATTCTTCAGAGAGTTTAGAATTCTTTAAGGCATTATCCAAGGCTCAGAAATGGAAATTAAACATGTAATAGTAGTCACATTCAACAGAGAAGGATGCTATATTTGTATAAAACTTCTGATGGGCCAGGCATGGTGGTTCACGCCTGTTATCCCAGCACGTTGTGAGGTTCAGGTCAGAGGACTCCTTGAGGCCAGGTGTTGGATACTAGCTTGGGCAGTATAACTAGACACCATCTCTACAAATAATGATAATAAAGATAATAAAGATTAGCTGGCCATAGTGTCACATGATCGTAGCCTTAGCTTCTTGGGAGGCTGAGGTATGAGGATTACATGAGTCCAGGAGTTTGAGGCTGTAGTGAGCAATGATCGTAGCACTGCACTCCAGCCTGAAAAATACAGACCTTGTCAAAAAACAAAAAACAAACAAACAAACAAACAAAAACCTTCTGATTAATCAATTATGAACAAGGAGGGCAATTTTAAAAATTAAGTTTTTCTTGTTAATAAATACATAGCAATAGAATTCATAAACAGGGGTTTTGAATAAGTTACAAATCATGATGCCATATTGGTCTGCTGTGGGCCTCTGCAACTTACAGAACATGTCAGAAGATGCATCAAAATTCCGCTGGAGAAATTGACACTTAAAATTAGATTCAAATTTACATGAAACTGATTTGTTTAAAGAGTTAAATCTTTTGAGACAAATTGTTTCACAAGAATCACCAGCTCCAGATATACTAAAATCTGTTTCAAAATAATTTATCCTCATGTTGTCACAGCTTGGAATATATTCCAGAAACAGTTGCTTCAGCAGATTCTTCCCAAAAGATAAAATGAAGTTGCTCAAGGTATAAAGTTTGTTGTCCTAATATATTATTTGACAGAAAAGTGGGCCAGAAAAATTGTATGATTCATCTAAATCCAATTAATAGAGTAGTATTTTTATTCTATTAAAACTATGAAATTAATTTCTGGTGGAGATTTGTAAGATTCTGTCATTACTCCTGTATAACTATTACATTTTTCAAACAATGAAAAATATTTGTTTGAAAAAGCTTAATATCCTACTGCCTTTCATTACACTTTCTTTTTCTGCTCTTTAAACCATGGTACCCTGCATTTCCATTTCGCACTGAAACTTAGGAATTTTGCGGCCAGCCCTGCTATGGCCATTTTTATATTAGTTATCTTATTAAATCCTCAGAAACAAGCCTGCCAGGTAGGTATTACGCAAGCTTACAGAGGCAGCTCCTGGGGCATGGAAATGTTGGAGGACACGTTCAAGGTCACCTGGCTACTAAGTGGCAAAGATGCAATTTGAAATAAAATCCCCCTCTCTTCAAAGCCCATGTTCCTAACCAGCGCCACACAATCATCATGGTGTCCTGATAACCTCCCCTCTTCATCCTCCTACAACCCCAAAGCTACAGTAACGCTCTGCCTAAAGCCAAAGTCCATGGAGCTACTGTCACCCTCTTCCATCTTCTGAGCTGAGTGGTGAGTCCAGAGCCTGGGCTGGCCTGGTCTTGCAGGAGGTGAGGGAATGAGCGCGCAGTTACTGCCACCTCGTGGCGGCTCGTCTATATGACCCTAAAACGCAGATGTAATCTGTTTCCTGCCTGCCTGAAGCCTGGGTGTGCACCTGAGACTTACAGTAATTTCTTTACCCCTTAATGAACCTATTGAGAGTTCTCACAATTGTATGGATCCTCTCAAGGAATCAGCTTTTATTTACTAATTTTTAATGTTTTTTGTGTCCAGTTTCTTTTTATTCACTTTTTCTTTTTCTCTTTTTTTTTCTTTTTCTTATTTACTTTGGGTTTAGTTTGTTCCCTTTTCCCTTACCGTTTCTTACAGTGGAAACTTAAATTGTCTATTTGTGAGCTTTTCTGCTTTCTATCATAATAGCATTTAATTATAAATTTGTCTCCAAGAGCCACTTTAGTGGCACTTCCGCAAATTTTGATATGTTATGGTTTCATTTTCTATCAGTTGAACATATTTTCTAAAGTATCTTGTGATTTCTCCTCTGGACCATTTAGATACATGTTCATTGATGTCCCAATATATGGAGATTTTTCCAGATGACTCTCTGTATTGATAGTTTTGTAAATTCCACTGTAGATAGACACTGTCTTTTGTATAACTTTAAACTATGTTGATTTTTTTAGACGTTTCATAGGTTAGTATGAGCTCTATTGGGTAATATTTTAATGCATTCTGCTGTTATTTGGTAGAGTGTTCTATAAATCTCAAATAGGTTGTGCTGGACGGTAGCGTTGCTCAAGACTTCTCTACCTTTACTAATATTTTGTCTGCTTTAAAAAATCTCTTACAGGAAGAGAAGTGTTGAATTGTCTAATTGCAATTGCTAATTTGTCTATTTCTTTAATGTCTATTGATTTTTCTTTAAGAATTTCAAAATTCTGTTATTAGGGGCACACACTGATTTAATATTAATATCTGTTCTTGGTGATGTAACCACTTTATCATTAGGAAAAATATCTCTCCCTATTACTGATAATACCCCTTGCTCTAAAATCTACCCTAATTTATGTCAATGAGCCAGTATAGCCAATCCTATTTTCTTTATACTAATGTTTTCATATTATATCTCTTTCCATCCTTTTATTTTTACTCTAAGTTTGTTCTTAAAGTTTATATATAAAGTGGGTTTTTATAGACAGCATGTAGTTGGGTCTTGCTTTTTACTGAACTGACAATCTCTCTCTTTAAGGAGCTTCTAGAATGTTCACAGCATGCTCTTTTCATCATATGGAATCAAATTTCTACCTAGCATCTTCCCTTTCTGCCAAAAAACTTATCTTTGCATTTTATAGTACAGACTGGCTGGTGAGGAATTCTCTTAGCTTTTATTGTTGCTACTGGAAAATGCCTTTACTTATTATTTGATTATGTGTTTACCCTTTTTTTAGAAATATACTTTTGCTGGGGTGGATTTCTAAGAGAACATTTTTTTTCTTTCGGCATTTGAAGATAACACTTAACGTTTTGTTCTTCTGTAAGTAATATGTCTCCTTTCAGACTGCTTTTTAGTTTTATTTTTGTTTTTGAGACGCAGTCTCTCTCTGTTGCTCAGGCTGGAGTGCAGTAGGGTGATCTCGGCTCACTGCCATCTCTGCCTCCTGGGTTCAAGAGATTCTCCTGCCTCAGCTTCTTGAGTAACCTAGGATTATAGGTGCGTGCCACCATGCCTGGCTAATTTTTGTATTTTTTTTTTAGTAGAGACAGGGTTTTACCATGTTGGCCAGGCTGGTCTCAAACTGCTGACCTCAGGTGATCCACTCACCTTGGCCTCCCAAAGTGCTGGGATTACAGGCATGAGCCGCTGTGCCCGCCCTCAGGCTGCTTTTAAAATTTTCTTTTTATTACTGATTTAAAATACTTTGATTATGATATGTTTCATGTGGTTTTCTTCATGTTTCATATTTCAACTTGGATGTCTTCATGTGGTAAATTTGTGTGTTTATAGTCTCACCAAATTTGGAAAACAATAGGCCATTCCTTCCTTAGCTCTATCCTCTCTCTCAAAACTTTTCTTCTTTTATTCGAGATGGAGTCTTGCTCTGTCGCCCAGGCTGGAGTGCAGTGGCGTGATCTCGGCTTACTTGCAACCTCTGCCTCCCAGGTTTAAGCGATTCTCCTGCCTCAGCCTCCAGAGTAGCTGGGATTACAGGTGCACGCCACCACACCCAGCTAATTTTTGTATTTTTAGTAGAGATGGGGTTTCACCATATTGGCCAGGCTGGTCTTGAACTCCTGACCTTGTGATCCACCCTCCTCAGCCTCTCAAAGTGTTGGGATTACAGGTGTGAGCCACCACGCCTGGCTGTCTAAACACACATAGTTGCTAGATTGCTTGATGTTTCTGCACAGGTCACTGCTTATTATTTTCCAGCCCTTTTCTCCTCTCTTTGTACTATTTCTTCATTCATTTGTAGTAATATAAACTCAGGTTTACTGATCTTTATTTTGGAATATATGCCACAATCCAATTCATAGTATCTTTTACTCAGATGTTTATTTTTAATCTCTGGAAATTCCATTTGTCTCTTTATATCTCTCACTCATCATGAACAGTTTTTCTCTTCAAACTTGGACATATTTATAACATTTATAATAGCTCATTTAAATCTTTTTTTGCTGATCCTAGTATTCTTGTCATTTCTGGATCTGTTTTTACTGAATGATTTTTCTCTTGATTATGACCATATTTTCCTGCATAGCAGCTAATTTTTTATTAGATTCAGTGTGCTATAAAGCACAAACTGTTGAGTGATGGATTTAGTTGTTTTTCTTTGAAGAACGTTAGGCTTTATTCTGTCCCACATTTAAGTTTCTCATAGATCAGTCTGGTCCTTTCAAGAATGGTTTAGAAAAAAATTTGTTAGAGTGGTTGCAGAACAATTTAATCTAGAGCCAAATAGCACTACTACTAATGTGTTAGTTGCCCAAGGACTCTGCAGTCTCTCCACTTTGCTAGTGGGAATGAAAATTTTTCCAGCCTTTAGTGCTCCTAAAATTGTTATCCAATCCCTTTTGGGTGTTTTTCTTTGCCTCTAGCCTTGTGAAGTCTTACCCCAAGCGTGCTCACATGAAAACACAGCCCAGGACTGAAGATTTACCATGTGTCCCTGCCCCCACCACCAACACTTCGGGGCCTTGCTTCCTTCTAGGCACCCTCTCTCTGCTATTCTGCCCTGGAAGTGGGGGTGTCTTGTGCTTTGGGAAGTTTGATTTCAGTCTCTTCAATGCTTCAGGATTGCTGGACTTCGTTTGAGTCTTCCTCTGTGTGCTGTGGTCTGGACCCTGCTGCTGTAGTGAGCTGGGGGCAATCGAAAGTCTCACTTCATTGGTCTGTTGCACTGCTTATTATCCAATGTCTGAACACAGCTGTCACACATCTTGACAGGTTCCCTTTTGTCTGCTGTCAGAGGGAGATTCCCATAGCAGTGAGGCCATTTTGGATGTAAAGTGAGGAGCAGTCTCATCTTTTTGAGCCCTTGAGCCTTTCTTCCTAAGAGCCTTGTTGTATTGTCTTTTCTCCATACATGGAGCCATGACTGGGGTCTGGTGTCAGGTATGAAAAACCACACACTCCATTTGCTGGAATCCTACTGCATCAACGTTGAGAGAGCACTAGATAGTTAAACTGCAGTACCTCCAAATCATTTGAATGATTAAAGATAATTCAATCAATAAATCGTTTGAATGTACTTCAATTCATAAATACTTGTTGAGCAGCCTTCATGCTCAGGGCACTTTACAAGCAGTACAGGAAGAATTAAGACAAACTCCTTGCTTTTAAGGCTCACAAAATCTAATATGGAGATTGGCAATATGTCACTGTACGCAATGTAAAAACCAAGCAAGGGTTGTAGATGGAGGACTCAAGTCAGAACCCTGTGGTGAACCAGAGGAAAGACTGTAAGCATTTGGGAAATCACCTGTGTTTTTAAGGTGGAGATAAAATGTGAGACGGTCCCTGAAGGACAGGTTAAAGTTTAGAGATGAAGTTGGAGGAGTGAGGCAGACATGAGGTCAACCAGAGCAGAGGCATGGGTGAGAGAAAGCAAAGTGAATATCTGAGGAAGAGCCAGTTTCCTTATTTCTCTGAAGACAAAGTTTTTGGAAGGAATTGGGATAGCCCCTGAGGGATGCATGAAAACCTTAGAGATAGATTTGGTGGAGAGATGCCATTTGGGGTAGAGGGACTGAAAAGGCCCAAGGCTTGGATGACATGAAAGCAAAGGGCATATTCCAAGAGAGTGAAGAGTCCAACTTCACTGGGGCATAACGTTCACAAAGTAGGAATAGAACCTGATAACCCTTGGATAATAAGGTTGGGCTCCCTTATAGATTTCTCCAGAGATTCTACTTTCTTTGAACGAAAGGTGAGTCCTTAAGATTTTCTGAGTTGTCTGTTTGGAAACAAGTACCAAAATAATCAGATTTAAAAAAAAAAATCAAGCTCCTAATTTTTTTTGAAAAAAAAATGTAATTTGATTTTACTTTTATAAACTTTAAGAAGGCATTTCCACACTTTACAACACTCTCGTCATGTTTCAGGGTTTTTATTTCTTTCTTCGGCAGCATTTTCGGCCACGCGTCGAGCACTTGCCGATCTGTTCCTCCTTTGGAAGGCAGCTGAGCACAGCACACCGGCCGCCTCTGACTCTGCAATAATATTTCTGTAATGTGTTTATGATTCCTCCATGACCTGCAATGACAAAACAGCACACACGGAAAGGTTTTAGGAAGGCTTTTGGTACACGTACAAGGCTTGTGGAATTCCTCAAATAACTCATCTCTTGCTTTTCTTGTATTCTTTTGTTTCTTTTTCCTTTTTCTATAAAATCAGGAGGAAGATGAAGGTATGACTACACAACCCATAGACAATGTTTCTAAGGCTGCAGCTCAGCTGTGGACCCACAGTGGCACCGGGGAAGTGGCGTGACCCTGTGACTGCCGCAGGAACAGTGGGGGTGCTGAGGCTGTGGTGTCCTCAGAGGTAGCCCCAACACTCCACCTCCAACCATTGCACTTAGTAGAACAGGAGCCTGTGCTTCTATTCTCAGAGTAAATCAATCTTTCCTGCTACATTAAACTTTTATGTCTGATTCATGTCTCATCAGCTGGTATAATAATCTTCCCTTGAAGAGTTGGGGAAAGAGATAGCTTTGGGGAGCTATTTAGTTTCTTAATGATTCTTTTCTTTTTTTTTTTTTTTGAGGCGTACTCTCACCCTGTCACCCAGTCTGGAGGACAGTGGCGTGATCTCGGCTTACTGCAACCTCCGCCTGCCAGGTTTAAGCAATTCTCTGCCTCAGCCTCCCGAGTAGCTGGGATTACAGGTGCCCGCCACTGTGCCCAGATAATTTTTGTATTTTTAGTAGAGATGGGGTTTCACCATCTTGGCCAGGCTGGTCTTGAACTCCTGACCTCCTGATCCGCCCACCTCGGCCTCCCAAAGTGTTGAGATTACAGGCATGAGCCACCGCACCTGGCCTCTTAATGATTCTTGTCTGAAAAAAAAGTGGTGATGCCTAGTTCCCATACAACAAACCTGCTTGGTCCAAAGCACTCTGAAGGATGGAGAAATACTGACTCTGAATTATATATTCTCAATTAGATCAATCCTTAGATTTCCCAGCCCATCTTACCTGGAACAGGCACCAAAAACAGGAAGAGCAAAGCAAACAGAAGATAATGGATCCTCATAGCTGCTAGGCTTCACCCCACGCTGAGACTGGATGAAAAGGTGTGCTTGGTCACTTTATAAAGGTTCCAGCCACAGCTGCAATTCTTGTCATATTACAGTGATGACATTATGACATGTTTTCTGATGCATCATTCCAATGCCTCTCACCATGCAGAACACACCCACTCACTCAGTTAATTAGGAACCCAATGGTAAGGCAGAGCTCCCTATGGATTTGTGGCTGTCCGGGTGCTCTCTGGACTCCAGGGGCTTGTCTGGGTGTGGGTCAGATTGGGTTGTGGGTACAGATAGGGCTGGCATGAGCAAGTATGCCCCCTTTGGGGAATAGTCTCAGGGCATGTGGCTGGGGGCTGACTTGTCCGTACTTTGCTGCTTTGGAGCTTTTTTTCTCTTCCTAAAATGCTGGGAGAGTCTAAGACCCTCCTGGGGACCAAATAAATCCAGCCCTGGACATATTCAATATCTGGCAATAGGACTGGCTTTTTGGTAGTGAGGTAAGGGAGGAAAATGGGCTACATTCAAGGTTAGCTGACCAGCTGGCCCTTGGCCTATGATGGGGTGCTATAATTTGAGTGAAACATGTCTCATTCTTTCATTTTTTTTTTTTTTTTTGAGAGACAGAGTCTCACTTTTTTGTGCAGGCTGGAGTGCAGTGGCATGATTACAGCTCACAACAGCTTGAGCTGTCAGGCTCAAGAGGTCCTCCCACTTCAGCCCCCTGAGTAGCTGGGACCACAAACGCATGCCTCCACACATGGCTAAATTTTAAATTATCTGTAGAAAATAAAATGGGGTCTCACTATGCTGCCCAGACTGGTTTCGAGCCCAGATGTGAACTCCTGGGCTCAAGCAATCCTCCTGCTTCAGCCTCCTAAATTGCTGGGATTACTGGTATGAGCCACTGTGTGCGGCCCATGTCCGATTCTTCATCATTGTCTAAAACCTACCAAATTTGTGAGTAAAGAAGGTGTTTAATTTTACTTCATCAGAGAAAGAGGATGCTGGGATGATAGATTTAATAGACTGGCATCTCCTCCTAGTCAATGACTGTCCCTGTGCAAAAGAGGGGCTTCAGAATAGACATTTAAGACCTCAAGTTACTCTTGGCTCAGGAGCATTCAAGGCAGTCCAGGGGCCAGATGATTTCCCCTGCATATAGATTCAACGTTTAGAGGGAAAAATGCTAAAAAAGAAAAAAAAAAAACAGCTATTATACTTAAATGTTCAGGAATCCAGTGGATGGGTTTTATTTGGTTGACTATCAATTGGGAACTAAGTAAGTCAATGACAATTCAATTGGGAGCTGAAGTCACCGTGATGTCTCCTAGCTGCTGCTTCGTGTGAATGCAATTATAACGGATCCACTAAGGATCAAGGGTGTGTTAGTTCTGGGAGTGTGTGTTCAGAATTTGGGTGCACCACACCTGTCAGATTCAGTAAGAAAACTCTGAACACATACTATAGGAAGGGACAAGTATCATGTCTTCAGCATAGGTGAGGGTGAAGTGGATGAGATACCAAGAGGGACCAGTCTTGGTTCTTTCTCTCCAGAAGCTCCATGTAGGGCCAGGTAGATGGGCAGACAGTCAAATGATAAATTTAGGATGAATTCTAATGGGAGTCATAGGAAGATTTCAAGCACAGGGCTGCAGAAACGTAGAAGAAAGATAACTCATCATAACTCAAAGATAACTCTTTGAGCCAAGAGTGGAGCTCAATCAGCAGATTTAAGACTTTAGATAGGTAGATGCTACTTTTTAAAATCTAACTTTCCTCTTTAGTTCATGATTTGAGACAAAGCAATTGGAGATATTTATAAATGGGGGAAGGAGGTGAGTGTGGGTGGGATGGGTGCTGACTTCACAGTCTTACTATGTCAGACATAACGATGGCATTGGGCGTTGTAGAGGGTTAGCACCAGCTCTCAGCCTGGGGTGAAGACAGTCAGACGCTGGAGATGACTTGCTTTTCCACATGGAGAATAGACTTCCACAGGTGAACCCCTGGTCTAACCTGTTCCTTCATAGACTGGGAGGCATTTTTATGGCAACACCACTATTTCATAAAAGTTCCTTGGTGAGGAAAAATGCCACTTTTTCTTGTCAACTAGTTTGGGAGCTGGGAATTGGAGATTGGGCTGTGACAATCAGCCTTTTCAAGTTTGGACATACTCCAGACACACAAAATCCGTTTTGAGGGGGACTTACCTGTTTTAAGAAAATTATAAAAGTAATGCATTTTTATGGTAAAATTTCAAACAATAGAAGAGAGAGACTGTGTAATTTACTTCTCTACTCCAGGGAGCCACTGACAACTGTGAATTGCCCTCTTTTTGGCTTATTATAATCCTTTTTATGTCATAAATACTTTTAGCCTCTCAAATGATAAGAAGTACACATGTGCTGTCTAATAGTTGGGTGAATAGATTCATGTGTCTGAAGCCTCACAACACTAACGAGAGCTGGGTCTTGTCACTCCCTGCTCCTGGGCTCTGAGTCACAGCACTTGGAACTGCAGATCCTGCAAATTTTTGTACCCATGTGCTTGGTTTCCTTGTAGCTCTCACAGCCAGCATTTCGACAATTTTGATTAGGTTGAGCGAGGAAGAGAAACTTTAGTTATTTATCACCTTTGTTCATGTCAGACTTCCCTTTAATTATTATTTTTTAAATCCTGTTCTTAAAATGTGGAGCCGAGATGTGATTGGTCCAAGTTTGTGGCTAAAGGGCAGAGCTATGTAGAAGACAAGCACCAGGTCTGAAGTGAGGGGTCATTGGGCCATCACTCAGCCCTACCGTGTATGGCGTGGGTTTACCTGAATAAATTACCTAAGCTCTGTGAGCATCTGTAACTCAGCAACAAAGCACAGAGAGCAGTACATTTCCTGTTTAGGTCACAGTGAAAGCCCTATGAGTTAATGGTGTGAAATTGACTTGTACATTGCAAATTACCATGTGACCCATGTATCACCCAAGTATCACCCACGTGACCCTCGGTTAACAATATCAAGACTCTGGCATGGGCTCCCAGCACGGGAATCCAGGGTGTCAACTCTTCTTCATCTTGACATAGTCTAAGATGAAGGTTGGCTCAGCCATTCTCCTTTGCAGCCATTAATCTTGTCACAACCACCATTATATAAGTTATACAAATAAAGGCAGACATTTTTCCAATTTTATAGATGAAGACACTGAGGCTCAGAGAGGTTGAATGACATGCTGTAGTGAATTGCAGCATTGTGACCTGAAGCCAGCATGTCCAGTCATTTCTCTGCCTGCTCTCAGAGTCATCCCTTGACTATTGGTGATCTACACTCATGTGTAGTGGTCTATACTTAGGTGTGTACCCTTTTCCATCACCCCATTGTCCCTAAATTCTTTGCATCCTAGCATCTCAAGAAATCTGTCCAAACTACTCTTCCTAAGTCCAGCCAAGCCTTTTACATCCCCAGCTCAATGAGTTTTTTGTCTGTAATCTTCCAACCTGACCGTTTTGCAACATGTGCCTCGTAAGGCCACTTTCAGAAACCTATCCCTCAATTTCAATTCAACGTCCAGAGAACTTCATGGACATCTGCTCTGTATTAGGGTCTTAGGACATGGTGCTGTGCAGGAAAGAAAGATAAACAATATTTACTCTCTAGGCTCTGAATTTTCACTATTTCCCAGTCTAATGGAAAAAGATACAAGCTGACAGTAACATGATATAACAGACATCCGCTTTCCATTTTCTCCTCCTATCCTTCCCATTACTGCCTTTGATTCATCATGGAAGTTTTCCTCCTTCTCCTGTCCCTGAAGTCCCCAAAAGGGAACATCTTCAAGAATTTAACATTTTCATGGCAATCATAATGATGATGATGATGATGATCCTCCTCCTTATCATCATTGTCACGTCATTGTAACAGATCTATTGAGCACATATTATGTTCTAGACACTGTGCTAAGCAATTTACTTGCATTTATTTCATTTGAATCATGCAGTAATTTAATAATGTTGATACACTTATCTGCATTTCCCAAATGGGGAAAGGCCAGTTGATGCTCCCATGCTCCTAACTGTATTCCAGATGCTTACTCGTGGGCCTCTGCTGGCTTCATATGATCTTTGGGATGTGGTTATCTATGCCTGCATGCAGCTACCTTCCATCTTCATCTCTAGTCTGGACCATTTCCCCAATGTTCTCAACCAATCTTTACATCACTTTTTCTGTAAATATCAACTTCACTCTCCAAATTGCTTGGTGATAGATGCTGGAAACTAGGTTCTTTCTGACTCTTCTTTCTTTTTTTGGAGGGGGGGACAGAATCTCACCCTGTCTCCCAGGCTGGAGTGAAGTGGCACAATCTTGGATCACTGCAACTTTCACCTCCCGGGTTCAAGCGATTCTCCCACCTCAGCCTCCCAAATAGCTGGGACTATAAGTTTGCACCACCATGCCCAGCTAATTTTTGTATTTTTAGTAGAGACAGGGTTTCACCACTTTGGCCAGGCTGGTCTTGAACTCCTGATCTCCAGGGACCTGCCCTCCTCGGGCTCCCAAAGTGCTGGGTTTACAGGCATCAGCCAATTCTTTCTACAAAGTGGTTTGCATAATTTTCAGGGACCAACTCAAATACCAGTTCCTCATGATCTCAATCACCCCAGTTGAAAGAGATCCCTCCCTCCTCTGCAGTTCTGCAGAGCACATTTTGCATGACACTTGGAGCTTCTACCAAGTTCCATAATGAATGCCATATACTATTTGTGAACATTTCTTATTATCTTTAATAGATGGTGTCTTTTCATTTATGTCCTTATATTAATGAGAAAGTATATACTCAAGTCCTATGTTGCTTTCACCCTTTAGATAATAAGAATTATTTTCAAATCCTAGAGTATCTCCTAGGATGCTCAGGATGAATATCACAAAGAAGAAATACTTCCAGAAGAGCAAGGAAATAGGGAGAGAACAGTAGCAGCTAATGCAAAGACAACAAATGATTTACAACATGAGAACAATCTGAACACACTTATGGTTTAACAAAACATAAATAAATTCGTGAGATACTGAGTGTGGCAGGCAGCCACTGCAATGGCCCCCAGTAACCCTTGCCTTTAGGGAATGCTGGTATCGTGCTTTGGTGCAGATATGATATGGAGGGTGGAGCAGAGGCTTATGAGACTGAAGGCCAGAAGACCAAGAGCTGAACTCAGGTCTGCTGTGTTTCGGATGCCAGTGGGAGAAAGAGGCAGACCTGAGTGCCAGAGCCATCTAGAAGAAGCAATCAAGAGTTAATACAATGGTTGAGCATGAGAGAAGGAATTAAGAGAGGAGGCAGCCTAGGGATACTGTTCAGGGGACAGGGTAGGTGGCGGTCCCATCAATTAGAATTAAAGTGGTGATGCCAGCAGGCACTGAGGGAGACATGCTATGGAGAGAGAGCCAGGCTTAACATATGGCATCTTTTTAAAACAGGCTCAAACTAGTTTAGGAATTTACAGGCTTAGCAGTGATGTGGGGTTGCATGCCTTTCCCAGAGTTTCTAAAATCATGCCTGACAAGATGGGGACTGACTCTCCTAATTCCTATAGGCAAAATCAAGGAGGGGATAAGTGTATGAGAAATTCATATAAAGCTACCCTAAAGACATTTTTCTACCCATTTGGCAGCAATATTTTCACCACAAATAGAATGAAGTGCATAATACTACCTCACCTTCTGTTTACACTGGGTAACTCCAACCGGGTTCTTTCTATTTAATCATGGCCCTGTCCCAGTAAAAACACACCCTATACTACCTCTGGCCACCAGCCTACACAGTTCTGATGGCTGCTTCCTCAGGGAGGACTTTTAGGGGACAGGTGGCTCTTACAAAGCAATCATGAGCTCAACTCATCAATGGGCTGGCAGCTGAGGTGGGGAAGTGATGCATCCAAGGCAAAAGGTGTGACCCAGGGGACTTTTTGTTAAAACAGGTCGTCTGCCACTATCCTTTCTTCAGAACTGGTAATTGAAATGAGCCTATTGACTGATGTGGTAATAGGCCATGGATGACTATTAAATGATTTGCACATGGTGGCTAGTATCTATGGAGCTGTTATTACGTACCTGGCATGGCAATGGTGCTTTAATGCATTTCTCTGACAAAAAAAGGCATAAAGTAGGTATCAGAATTTTTACTTAAGGATAAGGAGGAGGCACAGTGGCTCACACCTGTAATCCTAGCACTTTGGGAGGTCAAGGTGGGTGGATCTCCTGAGGTCAAGAGTTTGAGACAAGCCTGGCCAACATGGTGAAACCCAGTGTCTATTGAAAATACAAAAATTAGCTAGAAGTGGTGGCGGGCACCTGTAATCGTAGCTACTTGGGAGGCTGAGGCAGAAAAGTTGCTTGAACCTGGGAGGTTGAGGTTGCAGTGAGCCCAGATCACGCCATTGCACTCCAGCCTGGGTGACAGCAAAACTCTGTTTCCAAAAAAAAAAAAAAAAAAAGATTAAGGAAACTAAGGCTAAGACAAATGAAATAACTTTCTAAAATTTGAAGCCCAGGACCATCAGGCTCACAGATTATGCTAACTACTTGCTTTATTATTCAGGTTATTGTAGTTATATTTTATATCCATGTTTCTGTCAAAGGTTTTTGGTGTGGGGTTTCCCAGTGGAAAGGTAAATGATTATATATGGTGGAGAATAAATGAGAGAGGGCTTGGGGAATGGAAGCCACACCTCACCCACTTGGCTCAGACCACAGGGCTACTCCTGTTTTGAGAATTTCCAGCTAACTGCCTTATAAAATTACATAGCATGGTATTTATGGTGCTAGAGCACCAAGAAAAATTCAATAAAATGATGAATTTGACATCTCTGACTCAATCTCCTCTTCCATATTTTTCAAGAGGTTTTATGATTGCATATATTAGGGGCCAGCAAACCTTTTCTGTAAAGGGCTAGACAGTAAATATTTCTAGGCATTGCTGGCCATGTGGCTTCTGTTGCAACTACTTAATTCTGCAGCTATAGTACAGAAGCAGTCATAAACAATACATAAACAAATGGCCATGGCTTTGTTCCAATAAAAATTTATTTATAAAACTGGGTGGCAACTGGATTTAGCCAGCAGTCCATAGTTTTCTGACCCCTGGCATAAATTTATGAGACACTGAGTGTGGCAGGCAGCCTCTACGATTGCTGCCAAGGATTCCTGTCTTTGTGAAATGCTGTGATTCATGCTCTGGTGTAAGCCACTCCTTTTGATTATGAGCTGGCCTCATTCACTCATTTCTAATAAATAGATTATAAGTCTATGAAGCAATAGATTATAACCTAATCTCAGAAGTCATGAGAGTAAGCTATAAAAAGGCTGTGGGTTCAGTTTTGGATGCCTTCTCACTCTTCTTGCTCTTGTGGAAGCCTGCTGCCATGTTTTGAGTCGCCCTATGAAGAGACCTACAAGGCAATGAACTGAGGGGCTTCTCTGGCCAACAGCTAGTCAGTCACTAAGGCTCTTAATATACCAGCCCACAGGGAACTAACTCCCTCCAATAACCATGTGAGTGAGTTTATGGAAGTAGATCCTTCCCTGTGTAGGCTTCAGATACAAATGCAGCCCTGGCTGACAGCTTAACTGCGACTTCATGACTGAGCTTGATCTAGAAGCACCCAGCTGGGCCATGCCTAGTTTCTACAATCCACAGAATGTGTGAGATAACAATGTTTCTCGTCTTCATCCACTAAGTTTTGGGATAATTTGTTATGCAGCAATGGATAACTAATATAGTGAGGTATAGTGCAAAGAATGGAAGAGATTTAGAGACCTATGTTTCAGTCCCAGTTTTTTTACAAATTTGCTATGTAAATTTAGACTAACTGTTGACCAAGTCTAGCCCTTCCATTTTTTATTCTGCCTACAAAAGGGAAAGGAATCATGGATTTCTGAGGTCATTACAGGTCTAAGTCTTCATGGTTCATTGAATTGTCAAGCTGATTCCTGCATCTAAACCAGAGTCTTGAATTGGAAGCCCATGAGTAAAATATAGTCCATCGAAGTATTTTGATATTAGGTGTCAACATTTAAAACACTAAAAATTTTGCATAAAAATTCAGTTTTCTGACTTCCTCAGAAAAATTCAATGATTAAACCACCAGGGCCCACGTTTCTACATGTAACACTGAGATTTATCCAAAAATCTCTTGTCCCGTTACATCACAGGTCCCCAACCTCTGGGCCATGGACCAGTACCCGTCCCTGGACTGTTAGGAACCGTGCCACACAGCATGAGGTGGGTGACAGGCAAGTGAGCGAAGCTTCATCTGTATTTAAAGCTGCTCCTCATCACTTGCATTACCACCTGAGCCCCACCTCCTGTAAGATAAGTGGTAGCATTAGATTCTCATAGGACTGCAAACCCTATTGTGAACTGTGCGTGCCAGGGATCTAGGTTGCATGTTTCTTATAAGAATCTAATGCCTGATGATCTGTCACTCTCTCCTATCACCCCCAGATAGAGCTCTTTAGTTGCAGGAAAACAAGCTCAGGGCTCCCACTGATTCTACACTATGATAAGTTGTATAATTATTTCACTGTATGTTACAATGTAATAATAGAAATAAAGTGCACAATAAATGTAATGCACTTGAATCATTCCAAAACCATCTCCCCCACCTTGGTCCATGGAAAAATTGTCTTCTACAAAGCTAGTCCCTGGTGCCAAAAAGGTTGGGGACAGCTTCCTTACATAGAATATGAGTGCTCCAATGCACTGCAGTACCCAATTCCTTACTATCTCTCACTGGCCTGGCTCTGATGGTCTTTGGAGAACCACTTGAATGATGCTTATTTTGAGATCTTCCCTAAAACAGAGAAATTATGTTCTTTTACCATCTGCTTGTATCTTGGGTCCAGGACACTGGCCAATTTTTATTTCAATATGGCCTTTGCGAAGTTCTGTGATGTCATAACATCTAGATCCACAAGTCCCGCTCACACAAACTTCAGGGAAATCCCAGATCAGAGCCACATATTCTTACATTAGAACATTAGAGCTCTTATGTTCTTCTCTCTCTTCCTCACATCTAGAATACATCTTATCCCTCCCTCTTTACAGAAAAAGACACACACTTCTACATACACACACACATTTCTAGTTTCACACCATTGTGGTTGGTAAAACATACTTCATATGATGTTAATCTTCTTAAATTTATTAACTTGTTTTGTGGCCTCACATGTTATCTACTCTGGAGAATATTCTACGTGCCCTTGAGAAGAACGTGTATTCTTCTGTTGAATAGAATGTTCAGTATATGTCTGTCAGGTCCATTTGGTCTTTAGTGTTGTTCAAGTCCACTGTTTCTTTGTTGTGTTTCTTTCTAGATGACCTATCCAATGTTGAAAGTGGGGTGTTGAAGTCTCTGATATTACTGAATTGCTGTTACTCCTTTCAGTTCTCTAAATCTTTGCTTTATATATTTATAATTGTTTTATTTTCTTGATGAATTGACCACTTTATCATTATATAATAACTTTATTTGTCTCTTGTTACAGCTTTTGACTTAAAGTCTCTTTTATCTGATGTAGGAACAGCCACTCTTGCTCTTTTTGGTTACCACTTCCATGGAATATTTTTCCCATCCCTTTACTTTCAGCCTGTGTGAGTCCTTCTAGCTAAAGTGAGTCTCTTGTAGACAGCATATAGTTGGACCTTGCTTTTTGATACATTCAACCACTTTACATGTTTTGATTAGAAAATTTAATCCATTTACATTCAAAGTGATAGGTAATGACTTACTATTGTCATGTTGTTAATTGTTTTTCTTTAGTGTTTGTAGTTCCTTTGCTTATAAAATCAATGCACTATTTTTTTTCTCTTTGTTAACTTCAGATCTCAGAGTATATTTAAGAATATCACATCTTTGAGCAGTTGCCCATTAATTCAATCTCAAAACTGGGCATCTTCTTTAAGTCATGCTATGAGTTCCTCATGCCGTTCTGTGCAATGGCAAACCAAAAATGTGTTTTAGTTTTTCTCAAAAACACATTGAAATCTCTTTATCTAGTTTTTGGAGACGGAAGATTATAGGAGTGGAAATCAGTACCCTCCTGTTCTCTATTCCTCTCTGATACAAGCATGTGCACAGAGGTGGTTTTTGGCATTTCTCCATTTCCTGGGGACAGCTTCTTTGAAAAGGAAGTCTTTTTCTCTATTTTTATTTCCATAAAGGCTACTCAGCCAAATAAATGAGGTAGCTGTTTCTTTCCCTACCCTGCAATCTATTTGTTCTTTTTTCAAGGTTCCAACTTCTTCTTACCTTTTTTTCCTTTTTTCCAGGAAGAAAAAAAATATTTAATTTGATCCTAACTTGAAGAATCCAGGTTCAACACCTCCTGAGATACAAAAAGAGGGTGACAGTGTACCTTAATGATCCAAGAAGGCATGAGGTGGAGCAGGAAAGAAATCAAATGCTACTTTGGTGAACAATGAGATCCTACCTCTTGGGGAAGTGAGAAGCATCTCAGTAATCATGGAAATATTTCTTTCTTCACTTGGGGTTGAGACTGTACTGTCCTCAGAACCTAACATTTGTCCTGGGGAGTTGTACAGATGTTCTATCTAACAGGTTCATGAGCTAAGAAATAAGTCTGTTTGCACTCACCCTGGTGGGCATGCATGGAGACAGCCTGAGGGTTCGACCAGTACCCAGTAGACAAGGCATTTTAGAGAACTCAGCCCCTCAGGCTTAATGTTCTCTGGAGCTTGGGTGTCACTAGATACCCATGATATTCCTGCTGCTATTCTCAGTGACTGCTCCAGCCTGTTTAAGCGAAGGGAAAGAGGTGCTGGAACAATCAAGTGGTGTCCTCACTGCTGGCAGGTGGGAGGGAGGGAGTGAAGGAGAGCAGTGAAGCAAGACTGCACTCCCAAGCAGTGAAGGAGAGAAGGAGGGTGAATGAAGGAGGAGGACAACTTGGGGTCAAGAGACTGAGGCTGGAACACGTAAGAGCCCACTGGCCTTTTAAAGGACCTAAGCAAAGAAACTTCCCTTTTGGAATCTGGGAAAAGCATTAATTTTCCAGACTTTAATTTGTTGCCCTTCTTTGATGAAATCTCCAGAAACTTTGATAAAATGTTCTGTTTGTACTGCATAGGTCTCGTACAAAAGTGTAAGGGAGTTTGAGGGAACTTTTGGTCAGGGGAGGGTGACTGTGGTCCACTGCAACCCTCCTGTGTGCTCCTGGAGAGAGGGCATCATCTTTTACATGGAGGTGACCACAGCAGAAGACCATGACCCCCAGCAGGGCCTCGGTTCCAGGCAACGCTCACAACACATAGGAGGACCCAGAAACACTTTGTTCAGGAAGAACCACAACTCTGTACTTCAAGCAATGGTTCTGAGCTCTGGATGCAGAATGAACACAATGAGGTATCTTAATAATAACAGCTAAAGATCCACCCCAGACAAGGAAGTCACATCACTGCAGGAGGTGCCTTGGCATAATATTTAATTTTCAAAAGCAGCTGAGATGGGGATGAGAACCAGAGGATTAGAGGAAGATGACTCCTTAAGGATGAGGACACTCATCTGGCTTAGAGACACAACCTGGCCTGTAGCTGATACCGTCTGCACCTCAGGCTCCTCCCTGTAAAACAACTCAGTGTCAATGGTAAACTCAAATGTGAAGCTTTTCCAGTTCCTTTGGTTTTGCTCACCTGTGACGTGCACCACACCTAGCATCGAACATCGCAGCTGAATATTCAGTCCTGAGTCACCATGACTCTGCCATCAGCTGGTCAGGCAGATGAGAATTCCAGGAAGCCCGAGGCTGGCGCATCCCCCTGCCGGGAAGGGACCTAGCC
Organism: Homo sapiens; assembly: GCF_000001405.40. Classification (NCBI taxonomy): domain Eukaryota; kingdom Metazoa; phylum Chordata; class Mammalia; order Primates; family Hominidae; genus Homo; species Homo sapiens. The sequence continues at coordinate 125,040 of NT_187570.1, forward strand.
TTTGCCCTGTCTCGTGGTGTGAATGTGCATTCCTGGTGCTGAGATTGCCCAGCCACCTTTACTCCCAGTCATGCTAGAGTCTGCCAGGCTTTCCTCACCTGGAGGAGGACACATGAGTCTTGTGGGAGGAATTGGATAGAAAGACACCCCCCTTTAGAGGAAGAAGGATGGAGAAGCACAATGATGCCGAAATGCTGCCTTCCAAGACTTCTTCAGCTGTAGCAACTTTCCCCACTTCCAGGCACTACCACATGCCTGGTCAATCCTACAGAGAGGCTGAGAGTCTCTTTGTCACCTGGTCCCCCCATTGCTGCCCCTCTACCCGGCCTGGCAGCTGATGCTTCCCTCCATGGGCTCCCCCACCCAGGATCTAGGCGCTGAGTCAACTGGGAGGCAGGAAGGGAGGACAGAGTCCCTTTGACTCTCCCCACATTCTGGTGGGGCTGATCTGTCACTCTTCCGGGTGCCAGCCACTGGGCTAGTTCTTAACTTCCTTCCTTCATTTCTTCCTTCCTTCCTCCCACTTTCATTCCTCCCTCCATTTCCTCCTTCTTTCCACAAACATAGGCATCGAGCTAAATATTCAGGAAAATAAATGGTGCACAGGTCACAGGCTCTGGGTGGCACAGGAGTCTGTAGAGGACAGCAGACACAGGAGGCAGTTGCATGGTGACAGACTCCAGCTCCAGGTGGGCCCAGCAGTGGAGGAGTCACAGGAGCGGCAGCCAGCCACATTCGGGCCTGAGTGTCAGCTTCCCGGAGAAAGTGTAGTCAGAGCTGCAAGCTAAAGGGTGAACAGGGGGAAATGTGAGCAACGCCCCAGGTGTAGGAACCAGAGGGTACAAAACTGGAAAATAAAAAGCATGTGAGTTCAGGAATTTAAAATACCTTGGGGCTGGAAGTGGTGGCTCAACACCTAAAAAAACTAGCAGTGTGCAATGGTGCATGCCGGTGGTCCCAGGTATTTGGGAGGCTAAGGTGGGAGGAGCACTTGAGCCCAGGAGGTAGAGGCTGCAATAAGCGGTAACAGTGCCACTGCACTCCAGCCTGAGCAACAGAGTGAGTCCCTGTTTCAAAAAACAACAACAAGAAAAAATACTTTGGGCTGGTTGGAGATGAACAAGGCAGCAGTTCTGGCTGGGGAGTTTAGCAGGGGCTTCTGTACAAGGGGTCTTGGGGACCCTATTGGGAAGTTTGGGGCTAACCAGGAGGACAGTGAGCAGCTTGTGATGGGGTTTAGGCAGTCAATGCGGGGGTCAGACTAGGCTTCAGGACAGTCAGCCTGGTACCTAGGGAGGCCTGGGAGCACCAGGCTCAGCGTCAGGGAGGCTCTTGACCTCCTTCCTGTCTGGTGCCCATCGCCCCTTTACGGGCCACCTGGCTTTGGTTTGGATGTCTCCGTCTTGCTTTTAGACCAAAACCGGTGGCTGAATCCATGCCCAGGGCCTGGGACCTGGCTTTGCTCTCTGCTGGCCTCCCTGTGCTTGCTCATCGAGTCTTTCCCACTTGTCATTTTCAGTTTCCATGCTGTACCCAGGATCCTACCATAGGAAGGAAGCCAGTTCGCTCTGCTACATTGAATTTATGCTTCTCTCTTGCTTTTCTGCACCATGCAGACCCACTCGGGGACCAGGGGAGCCTCCTGTAGTGATGGGTCTCATGTCTGAGCCTGACCCTTCTCTCTCCCTGCAGCCCTGCATTGGAGTCCCAGGACACGAGAAGCTGGCAATTCAAGGCCTGACAACAGGCTTAAGCCAGTGTCTAGAGGCATGGAACTGTGCCTCTAGTTCCATTTATATTTTTGAGTGGGAAATATGAACAGTGGGTTCAAACCTCTCCTTGGAAGTTCAAATGACAGGAGGAGAAGCCTGCTATGCTAACATGGATCAAAGGGATGGAGACTTTTGAGTGTAAAATCATCCACCGGCTTCTCCCAATACCCACTGCTGGGACAGACACAAATCTCCCTCCTTCCAGGACCATCTTGCCAGGCTCCTGTCTGCTTCCTTCTCCTGAGACAGGGCAGGGGTCCCTTATCTCTTAGTCTTGAGGTGAGCTGTGAAATACCTTGAGATGGCTTCCCAGAGCGGCATGGAGCAAAGCTCACAAGTCATTTTCCACCCTGCCCAAATCCAGGAACACATGCATTTGGCAGAAACCCCAACTCCTTTCACACATTCCCACCACAGTGAGAATAGGAGACTCCGCCCCTTTCTTCCACTTTACCAGCTGTGTGCTCTTGGGCAAGTTTCTTAACTTGGGTGAGTTTCCACTTCTTCATGTCCAAGTAATAATAACCACTTCATTGCAGATCAAGTGTAAAACATAAAAAGCAATTCTTAATGCATGGTCTTCTGTTATCCTTGTTATGACCACAGTGATTGTCACAAGCACTATTTATTAAGAGAGGGAGAGCTAGAAGTGACGTTGTGGGTGAACAGCATGTCTCCTATATTCTACGGCATAGGAACCATGTGGCATAAGGGAAAGTGCACCAGGTTGGGGGCCCATCAGTTTCCACCATTAACTTGCTTCATGCAGACATGCCTCTTGAACCTTAAAATAGACATGGTAAAAGTCTGCTGGCTCCTGGCTGTGTGGCTCTGGGTAAGTGAGTTCACATTTCTGAGTCTTAAGTATCTCATCTGCAGTGTAGGCATATTCATGCCACTCCATAGATGACCTGGGATCAATGCATGGGCGGTGCTCGGCACAGAAGCTGGAGTGGAGAAAGCATTCAGTAAGCTCCAACGAGCTGGGAGAGGTGGTGTTGCTAGGTCTACCTGCAGGAGGTGCTTGGGCCCCTGGGAGTTTAGCAACAGAGTTCTTCTATACCTGTATGCTGGACAGATCTGGTCTGAGCTCTGCATCTGCCTGGGCCTTGTCTGTGTCGGTGCTTGTGTCCCATCCCAGGGGCCTCCCTCTGGGTAACCACAGTGACCACGAAGCCCTTGCTAGCCTGTCTATAGGGTGGGCTACTCCTTTGTGTGCATTCTCAGATTTAGTCAGGACAGGCACATGTTTCCCTGCAGGCGAGACCTGTGACTAAGCTTCCAGTGGAGTCACCTGTAGAACAACCTGCAGGTGATCTAACACACCCGTGGCATCCCATGGGGAGGAATCCTGGAAACAGCTTGAACCTCTGGCATCCTGCCATCCCGAGGACCATCAGGATTTTAGAGATGCCATTTATGGTCTTCTGAGTGTGGCGGACCCTTGCTTCTCTGCAGAGTGAGGGAGGAAGCCGAGGACCCTGGGTGAATTGCTTTTATAATTTTGGGTGAATTTCTTAATTCATTCCGAACAGATGACATTATTTGTGTGCATAGAGGGGTATGTGGAAGGCAATTCCAAAAGAGAAATTTTAGTATTCTGAGGTATTGCAGTGTTATTGTTAAAGCACATAGCCTATGGTACTGCAAGAGTAGGATTTTGAAAGGTTTTCTTCTTTGTTTTGTTAAAAATCCATCTTATCCCTTTATTGTTGCAGTAGGTTAACAGACAGCCATTTTCAGTTGGTTGATAATCAGCCTGGGAGAGCTATGCTGCCCGTCTCTGCCTCATGTGAGGAAGGATAGGGGCTTGGAGGAGTTTCGGTGGGATGGACCTGCTCATATCGCCCAGCAAGGATTGTCATGGGGGTGGGATTTGGTGATAATAAATCACCTTCGGAGATGGGTGGCAGGACAAGAGCCTCACCTTTCTGTGACGATTATTTGCATCAAGTGTTCCAAGAAGTCGCAAGACAGACCTGACTGCCTTGATCTGAAGAGCCCAGACCAACTCTAAAAGGTTTAGACTTTGAGCTTGTGTGGGAGATTGGCTCATGCATGGGTGGTTTAAAAATCCATTCTAGGCCGGTCGCGGTGGGTGATGCCTGTAATCCCAGCACTTTGGGAGGCCAAGGAGGGTGGATCACCTGAGGTCAGGAGTTCGAGACCAGCTGGCCAACATGGTGAAACCCCGTCTCTACTAAAAATATAAAAACTAGCCAGGTTCAGGTGTGCACATCTGTAATTCCAGCTATTTGGGAAGGTTGAGGCAGGAGTATCCCTTGAACCTGGGAGGCGGAGGTTGCGGTGAGCCAAGATTGCACCACTGCACTCCAGCCTGGGTGATGGAGTGAGACTCAGTCTAAAAAAAAAAAAAAAATCCATTCTGGCTATAATTGCATAGTGAGACACTATGTGTAAATTATACATGTATCTGCATGTGTGTGTTTTAGTCACTAAATTACTCCACCTGTATGATGTTAAAATGCAATATGTATTCTTTCCAGGTTGACAACTATCTCAAATCACATTTGCTGTATCTTATTTGAATCAAGAAGATTCAATTATTAGTTAATAAAATGAATCACCTGTACAGTCCCAATACTGTATGGTTCATAGGAATTTCATGTAATCTTTGTTTTCAAAATCAAAGAGCAAACAACGTGTGTTCAAATTATCAAGGAAGGGCCAAAGCTCAGTGAGGTCAAGGACGGCAGACATAGGACAAGGACGCAGGCATTTTCATTCCTAGTTCAGGGCTTTTTCCAGGATGCCATGAGGCTCATTGGGGCATGGCTTCAATTTAGTGACATCCTGGGTCCCTTTTCTGTCTATGATTCCATGAGGGAGGGACAGAAGGTGCACATGTCATGCTGTCAGAGGCAGATGCTCAGTGTGGAGACTCAGGGGCCAGGGGACTTTTCACTTCTCCAGCCCCAACACGTCGAGCCTCCCTGTTAGCTCTGCCGCCTCCCGTGGGGTAAGTGTTAAGCCCCTGAAAATGAAGGGGTTACAAGTTCTGTTGTGAGGCCCTATAATAAAGGAGAGCTAATAAAGGCTTCGCCCCACCTTCTGACCGGATTGTAGAGATGAGTACCCCAATGGGATGGGGAGTGGTTGGAATGAGGAGAGGAAGAAGGCGGTGAAACCAGGGGATTGTGAGAGATAAGACAAGGATGCGGGCTTCAGGCTGTGACTAGGATGTGGCCGCGATCACAGTGGGGTTTCCCAGCATCCCCTGGTGAAATCTGCCCCAGTGCTTGGATTAAAAAGGACAGTAGTGGTGCACTGAAGAAGACCAGTGGTTGAGGCTTAGGTTAATTCACTCATTCCTTCCTCTATTTCATATTTATTGTTCTTCAGTGGTTACTAAAGATGTAAATATGAGTATTTATGTACCAGGCCCTGTCCTTGAGGAGCTCAAGGTCTAGTGGGAGGACTATAAATATGTAAATAAATGATGGCAACAGAGTGACAAGACCCTATGATAGGATGCACCGAAGTGTCTGAGGGGCAGAGACGTAGAGCAATTGATAATGCCAGGCAGGAATGCGGGGAGAGGGCCAGGAAAGCTTCAGAGTGGGGTTGAAATTTGAGCCAATTTGAGTACTAGGAGGGAACAGCTCTGTCATTCCTGGTTACTGTGTCATCTCAGGAAGCTGATTCCTTAGAGATACAGTGGAGATGATCACACTTATCTCAGAAGAAAGAGCTATGTGAAAAGTATGAGGATTTGCCAAGAAAAACATCCTGGGCCCCCATTGGACCAGGCCTAGTCCTTCTGCCCCTGCTGGCTGGCTGGAGCTCCGGCCCATCACCAGGCACCCTCCTGCCCCTCTTAGGGTTGGCAGAGGGTTCACGCACCTCTGAGTGCCAGCCAGAGAAGCAACTTGCGATGTCCTGGGTCTCCCAGCACCTCTTCCCAGCTTCCCCTGACCACAGGCTGAAGGTGTCTTAGCAAGGACAAGGCAGATGAATCCTCAAGTTGAAAACAGATCTGGACGGAGGGCAGGATGGGGTGGACATAATCACTACTTTTATTTGTCCTCGCACTGAGGATCATACTCCGGTCTCTCACATGGATCCCTGAGGAGCCAGTCCACGGAGCACAGCCGAGAGGCAGTCCAGGCTTAGTCAGAGCCACAGACCCTGGGTGAGGCTCCTGCTCTTCGGCTGCAGAGAGCTGCCTCCTGGCCTCTGAAGCCGATCCACCTGGGCCACCCTGCGGTCACAACTCCAGAAGACAGGAGGCAGGAAGAGGAAGTCTCTACTCTCCTTATCCACAGCGTTGTCTGTGCTGCTGGCCTGTCCCTGTTCCCAAATAAGAGCAGATGCCTGACAATGCCTCAATAAATATCCCTGCTGATTCCGTCTGAACTTAATTCATTTCCGCACCCCCGGCGTGAATGGTACCCTGTGCAGGGCAGAGACGAATGAGGCACTGTAATCAGTGCCAAGAGATTCAGGCCAGAAGCTTTGGTAACCTGGGCCCCCTGGCTCTCCCCTGCGGTGACCCCAGCTGCTCCTGTCCTTAGCCCAGTGCCCAGCTTCAGAACAAGTGGTCAAAAAAAAAAAAAAAAAAAAAAAAAAAAAAAAAAAAAATCCCATCTGCAGGCGCCGGAAGGGCAGCGCGCCCTCGCGTGGTAGGTGTTGGTATTGCCGGGATGCCTGCCTGACCCAAGCCTTTCAGGCTTTGAAAAAGAGCGTTTTGGGGATTCTGTCTTAGAACCACGCCAGGACATTTTAGGACTGAGTTCAATCCTGTCACTTTACAGATGGGGACAGGGATGCTATGGAGATCTGCCCAATATCCCAGAGGGGCGGAACAAGAAAGTAAGCCCCAGTTTTGGGGGCTCTCACTTGGTCTCTGGGCTGATCCAGTCAGATTCATTCTCAGGCCTTACAGAGACACTTTACATTGAAAAAAAGAAAAAGAAAAAACAGCCAAAAAGTAAACAAAAATTAAAAAGGGAACAGAGCAACTCCAGAGCTCACCACTGAGGACTCCAGGAGCCTGCACCGCCTTCCCTCCCGTCCCTTCCCTTCCCCTCTCCTCCCCTTCCCTTCCCTTCCCTTCCCTTCCCTTCCCTTCCCTTCCATGTTTGCTTCCCGGAAGCCTCAGCAAACACTCCCAGACAGCCTGTTTTGTGCTGGGCAACGCCATAGGTACTAGTTTTTTACCATGCCTTACAGGTGGACAAACACTTCCTTTGGAGAAATTTTACATAAGAGGGAGATGACATTTTCCACAATTTAGATCAGCCCAGGCCCAGGGTCCACCTTAAAAATATTAAATAATACAGCCTAGGGCCCACGCGAGTGCCCTGCTGGCCGGCCCTGGACTCTGCAGAGGGCTCCCTGGGGGTTCTCACCTGCAGCACCCTGGCAGGGAGGGACGGGGTTCCCATCCTCCCCATCTCACCTGGTGGAGACCCCTTGGTCCTTGGGTGAGGCTCTGCTTCCACACCCCCAGGCTGCTGTGCTCTGATGGAGTCTGAGATCGAGCCCACCTCCTTCATTTCATTTCTGAGGAACATGAGGCCAAAAGAAGGTGCTGCTGTCTAACGGCACCTGCCCAGAAGTCCCATCCTTATGGAACCAGGCTCCAGCCCCCCAGTGGCCCTTCATGTTATTTTGTGTTTCTGGTACACAGATCTGCTGGTGTGGGTTGGTGGCACTCCTGGCTGAGAACGTGTCTGCCAGTTCTGAGGCATGCACGTTTGCTGCGTTTCACTCTGAGCCAAGGCTAATAGGGGCCAATGCCCTTCAGGAAGTCATTCCCTTCAGGGATGGAACAATGGCTCTCCCCTCTAGAGGCATGACAGAGAGCCCTGCAGAGGTGCCTGTGCCTAAGAGAGACTTACTCTGTGCACTTCCAGAGGTCTGTCTGATTGCATTTAGAAAAGAAAAAAAACAAGAGTGAGTTTAGAAGAGGTTGCGAGAGGCCAAAGGCAAGATGACAAATATTCATTGCAACTTGAGCTGGGAATTGAGACTGTAGCCCCAAAGTGTACATTCTAGTGGGCTCTTTACAGCACCTCAGCTCATTCAGAAGCACACTGGACTCAGGCAGCGACAGAAACAGGAACACAGAGCATCTTCCCAAGCCACCTGTCAGTCAGGAAAAAGCTTGGCATGTGGTCTCTATCTCTCAGCACGTTTGTTTTTATTATTTTTTAAATTCCTTACTTGTAATTGGTGTTCACTACTATTGGAATTAGTATTCAACAAATTCAAGCAGGATCCAGAGAAAGGCAAAAGGCAGCTAAGCATTCAGGAATCTCCATGAACAGGGGCCCTGCCTTGCTCCAATTGCACAGAAATATGTTTTTTAGAAGGATCATAGAAGAATGAATGCTGACTGATAGGCATACTGAGAATGCCATTTATGAATTGCTAGCCTGGGGGAAATGTGCTTCACCTGATGATTTTCATTTTTCTTTCATTCCTAAAATGGACCTGCTTACCCCCTATTATACACACTATCAGCTTGTTGTATTAATAAATTGAAATAGCCTAAGAGTAAATGCTTGAAAACAACACTATCCTACTGAAATGTGACCTGTTGGTGTTATTGCTTGAGGAGGCATAAAGGGAAAAGGGATAAGGTGCATTACCATCTGGGTGAATAAGCAGGAGAAGGCTAGTGCTGGGTGTGGTAAGAAAGATGTCATCAGAAGGAAAACAGAGCAGCAGATTGGTTGCATTTATGTCTCTCTGAAAATCAGTTTGGAGCTCGGTTTCTAGTCAGTTCCCATCTCCAGATACTTAAGAGATATTCCCTTGACTAGGAAAGGAAAGTGGAATATCACAAAATTCTGAGACCCCTTTGAAAAGGCAGTACATGGAGAAGTAAGGAAGTTAAAAAAATGTCTTTTATCAGCTCTTCACCTTTGGTGCTAAATTCATTCAACAAATATTTATTGAACACCTACTATAAGCCACACATTCCTTTAAGCCCTTGGGATACTTCAACATCCCTGCCTTCCGGGAGCTTATATTTTAGATCCCAGATCTGCCATCCATCTCTGGTTTCTCTTTTCCTTCTTCATCTGTATTTGATACGCAACACCTATTCCAGGGATCAGAGCAAATGTCACGCTTTTTCTCACCAGAATGGCAGAAAAAAAGTCTGCAGATCCCTTGCTGCATATGGCAGATGGTATTTCTAATTCCCGGTGGAACATCCCCTATGGATACAACAGAAGAGAGTTGACATTTAACTCATATAGTGCAGAGAATAGAAGATGACCCCAGCCCGCTGCCAAGGGTTATATATTCTGACAAGGCTAAGTACTTTTGGACAAGCCCCAGTTTAACCGAACTTTGGCCTCTTAGCTTTAAAACAGGAACGATAATTTATATCTGAAATGTTGCCAGGAGGATGATAGGGTGTGTTTTATGAATGCTCACCTGGCCCATCTAGGCCCTAAAAAGTCCACACAGATCCTAAATGAGGGTCCTCGAGCCTCCCGGTGAGAGATGTGCACTAGAAGGAAACAAAGGGAGTTTTGGAAAACAGAAGTGGTCCAGAATAGGACAGGTCTTGGTCTCTAAGGAAATTAGAGGTATTAACCCATTCTCAACTTATGGCCCAATTTTTAGTTTTATGTCCTACAACGAAAAGGAGAAAATAAAACCTCTCTCCTCACCAGGACCTGTGGGCTTGTAAGTCACAAATGACCACCTAAATTTTTATAACAACAGGACATTGGGCAAGAGATGGTTGAAAGAAAGATCTTACTTATGTCAGATCTGCAAATGCTACGTACGATGACTTTAAACAGCAGCAACAACAGCAGCAACAACAACAACAGCACAGTGTTGGTCTTGCGTGATTAGGAAAACACTCTTGCACAACATCCAACCTCCAAACGGGGTCTAATCCCTGATTCTGTATCATCTCAGCCCTGTCACAGCTTGGAGGAGACAGCAAAGTGAAGAAGGTGGGGGGTCCACCTTTAGTCAAGACAGAAGAGCCCCCAGCCTGGAAGCGTGGAGACTGGATTCTGGTCTTACTTCTTCCAATATCTCATTATGTCTCCTTAGACAACTCATTTAACTGGTTACACTTCAGCTTGCCCATCTGTAAAATGTGTTCTATGTGCAAGCAGGGGGAATATTATAAGTTTGAAGACCTACTATGACCATAAAGATTCATTGCACCATGGTAAATTAACACTTTCTCTGGACTTTGGTTTTCTTTTTGTAGAGCATGGGGCTGCTATAGACAATCTCTGATTCCCTTCCAGCTCTGACATTCATATGACTATAACTTCCTTCTGAAAACTTTTCTCAGACTGCAGTGAGTGCTTGCCACTTGTATCAGAGCAAGCATACCCCTTTGTCTTGTGTCAAGACCTTTATAACACTTATTTAGCTTTTAAAAAACTTCACAGGGGAGATCAAAATTGTCCAAGACTGAGCCCCACAGTGGCCCACCTGCATCCACTAACAACATACAGACACACCTACACACTGTCCATACAGACACACACATAAATGGAATTCCTGCACTACCTTCCCCAGGGCTAACCAGGAGACATTTACCTGAGTTTGTTTGGACCAAACAAAAGAGAACAGCAAACAGAAAAAAGACCTTCATGTTTTAAGGTCCGTTGAACCTCCCTGCCCTCCCGTGAAGGAGAGCAAATATGATGAATGATGGAATGAAATGGAGCGGAGAAGGCACAAAATGGGACATTTATAGGTTTTTGGGAATACTGATCAGCATGAGCATATTTATCTGCTCTACTGAGTAAGGCTGTTGGCAGAAGGTTACTGACTACTCTTCCCTTTCTGCCTAAAAATAGACTGGCTTCCTGATATTCAGAGAAGCAGGGATCAACCAATAATTCCATATACGGATATTAAAGAGGAAAGTGAACCAACATTGAGGTGTGGCTACTTAGTGCCAAGCCCTGTGCTAGGTGCTAGAGACATGGTTGTGTAAAGATATATTTTCTGCCTTCAGAAAGCTGCGGTGTCCACCACAGTTGAGCAGATAATTAGCTTATTTCCCAGCAACATGACTCCCATCTACCAACAGAAACATAGGCCCACGTGCATTAGGAGACATGTGCACGAACGTTCATTGTAGCACATTTCCTTGCAGCCAAGAGAATGCAACCAAATAGTGTATTATGACAACAACAAAACACAATGTATTTCCACACCACAACAAGAATAGAAAAACAAGAAGATGTGTACAACAACGTGGATGAACCTCACAAACGCTATGCTGAAAGAAAAAAAAACAGAGATAACATACCACATTATTCCAAAAATTTGGCAAAATTCACCTATTTGTGAAGAGCCAGGATATTGTCTACTTTGGAGGAAGAGGACATGCTCTTCTCTCATTTGATGAAGTTATCCGCTGTCGGAGGTGACAGTCTAGTGAGGGATGCAGAGAGCCCCCGGCAACCACAGGGCTGTGTCATCCTGGGCTGGAGGGAGGTTTGTGGGCTCTGGGGTGCTGGGAGTTGTGAAAACAGAATCTGCAAGGACACGATATTTTTGTGTGTGGGTTTATATAATGTGTGGTATTAAAACACACAGTGGATAAATCTGCACATTTTGCCCCTATTTGATTTTAGTCCCAGGATCACTTAGATTTATTTCCCTTAAAATTCTCTTAAGCAAAAGGGGCAAGTGAGAAGGATGTCTTCTCTCCTGTCCCCCTGGGCTTCATAACAATTGCTGTTAGCTTCTTATTAATCCTTCCAGAGGTGTCCCATGTGTATGGAAGCAGAGATGAATCCATAACCCATTTTTATGTAAGCAATAGCAGACTCTAGATATCATTCTGGACTTGCCTATATTACTTGTTATAGCTTGCAGAGCCTTGTTATTCTTCAGATTAGACACATCATATTTTCTGCAAGCTGTCTTCTGCGTTATTTAACCAGTCTACAACAACCATATCTCACCATGAGTCTTACCTAGACATGGATTTTGAAAAAGAGACACCAAGCAGTGGTCTTGGACTTTCTGCATGGGTGAACAGTGTGAGCATCTCAAAGAGGCAGGGGCTGGGTGTTCATTTTGAACTTTCCACCTCTGGAGAGATTAAGCAGGACAATGTGCCCTGGCAGGGACTCTCTGACTCACAGACCTTTCTGTACCTTGCAAAATCACCTTTGAAGTTAAGACTTTAGGGAAAATTGGGCACTCCAAGCTGCTTTTGACCCTCCACCAAAAAAAAAGAGAGAAAAAAAAAAGTTACCTTAAATGTTAGCTATGTACTAAGTAATTGTAAAATAGTTATGAATATTTGTGAGGGTCCAACTCAGTACTTTAAGAAATCGATTAAAATGTGAAATTCTTTCTCTGTGGAGCATTTGTTCTGAAGACATCTCTGAAATCTCTCATTAAAAAAAAAAAAAAAAAGAAAGAAAGAAAAGCAATTTCATTTGCCCCTTAGGGAAATTGGCTTCCACACCAAGATGATACCCTAAGTTCAAGGGTCCCAAGGAATAATGACAATTCTGAATGTATCCTGTGCATGGACAAAGTGGCTGTACGATACATGAACCATTGTTTGATAAAAACACTGAGTGTGGATATTCAAAAATTTGAGTCATTTTTTAAAAGTCACTAAGATGACTTATAGATAAAACAATAAAATGCATATTTTATACTTTACATTCATTCTTTCTATTTATACTACACGTTATTTGGAAAGGATCCAAGGTAAAGGTGGATGGCATATTTTTTCTAGCAGTACAGTTACTAATCAAATCATTGTGAAATTATAGTTTAGAAAATTTCTGTATAGTTTGGAAACAATAAACTATGTTGGAAAATAAATTCATTTGGGGGAGAAATAAATTAATAGTATTAAATTTTATCATGTACCTTCTCCTCCAGACTTGAATCCATTTCCAAATCACAGACCCAGAAAGCAATCCCCACGGAACTATTTTGTGGATAATTCTGAAGAATAAGGCATATCATTTCAAAGAAATCAAACTAGAAAATCACGCTTATTGGCTAATTTTGTTAATATCTGGTTATAGGTTCATAGGTTCATATAATTGCAGAGTTGAAAGGAAATAGAGTTCAATTTGTCCCAACACACAAGCTAATTATTCTGATGTGCATCATACTCATGAATGGAAAAGAAGAGTGTAAGGAGAAGAGAGGAAAGATAACTTTGGGTTTGCAAACATTTGATAGTAGAAAAAATGTTTCTATATTTTAAAAAATATTGATACAATTCAACAACAAAAAGACAAACAACACACTTAAAAATGGACAAAGGACTTAAATAGATTTTTCCAAAGAAGAAATTCAAATGACCAGCAAGCACACGAAAGATGCTCAATATCATTAGTCATTAGAAAAATGCAAATCAAAACCACAATGAAATATCACTTCACATCTACTAGGACAGTCATAAAAAAAATAAAACTTCAGAAGCAGTGGCTCACACCTGTAATCCCAGCACTTTGGGAGGCCAAGGCGGGTGGATCACAAGGTCAGGAGTTCGAGACCAGCCTGGCCAATATGGTGAAACCCCATCTCTACTAAAAATACAAAAATTAGCCGGGCAATTAGCTAGGCATGCTGGTGGGTGCCTGTAATCCCAGCTACTCAGGAGGCTGAGGCAGGAGAATCGCTTGAACCCGGGAGGCGGAAGTTGCAGTGAGCTGAGATCGGGCCACTGCACTCCAGCCTGGGCGCCAGAGCGAGACTCTGTCTCAAAATGAAACAAAACAAAACAAAATTTTTGAAAACAGCAAGTGTTGGTGAGGATGTGGAGACATTGTAACCTTCATATGTTGCTGCTGGGAATGTACAGTGGTGCAGCTGCTGTGGAAAAGTCTGGCAGTTCCTCAGAAAGTTAAACAATATGAGTTACCAATATGGCCTAGCAATTCAACTCCTAGGTGTATACATACAAGCGGTGAAAATAGGTGTTCAAACAGCAACCTGTACATGAGTATAGTGTTCATAGCAGAATTAGTCACAAGTGTCAACGGTGGAAGCAATGCAAATGTGCATCAGTTGATGAATGTATAAGCAAAGTGTGGCGCATCCATACAATGTAATATTATTTAGTCACAAAAGGAAAAGAAGTAATGCCACATTCTCCAACATGGAGGAACTTTGAAAATCTCACATTAAGTAAAGTAAGCTAGGCACAAAATACCACATATTGTATGATTCCATATATATGAAATGTGCACAGCTGGCAAATCCAGTGGCTGCTTACTGGTGTCTCCTTTTGGGATGATGAAAAAGTCAGCTGGGGGTTTCTCCCCACTTTTTTATCCTCATGGACAATGCTAATGTTACTCCTCTTGCTCCGGAGGTTTTATTTATTTATGTATTTTGGGTTTTCAAGAAAGAGGCAGGGTTTGTGTTCATGAATTTAATCTCTCTTTATGAAGGCATACTAACTTTCCATTTTGGTCTTATTATTTATTTCCATTTTGGTCTTATCAACTAAGGGAGATTCCCTGGGTGCAGAAGGTCATTTCCCATGACCCAAAGAGGTAAAAATAAGCCAGGTGAGAGCAGGTCAAGCCTGCAGAGTTGCGGTGACGACCACATGTAGGGACAGGAAGAAAAGATTAGAAGCGCCCATTATTTATGTCACACGAGGTGCAATGGGGTGGAATTGACTGAGCCTGCCCACCTGTTCCTTGCCCCGCAAACCTCAGGCATTGAAGAGAAGACAGGCTTCCTGATGATGGGGACTCTCTGAGCAATGGATGAGTCAGAAGGATCAAATCCCGGGAAAAGCTGCTGGGGTGCAGGGGAGGGAAGGATGCTGCGCGGAAGGTGGGCGTGCAGAGTGGAATACAAGGCAGTCAGGTGTGCTGCAGTGCGTTCTGAGACAGCCTCCAGCAAGCTTCTGTCTAAGGACCTCTTCCCACTGCGTAAAACTGGTGGCCATAAAACCTCATCAGGGCTCAGGGGCCTGTACTAAAAAGCTGCTGTGAGAACAAAGAATGCATAACTAACGGAATTGGTGGCTCAGGACTGACCTTGAGAACCCATTATATTTATTCAGTTGTCTCCAAGCAGGATGGCACATTTGTTTTTTTAACGTCTGTAATTTTTATTTATTTTTATTTTATTTTACTTTAAGTTCTGGGATACATGTGCAGAACGTGCAGGTTTGTTACATAGATATGCATGTGCCATGGTGGTTTTCTGCACCCATCAACCCGTCATCTATATTCTAAGCCCCACATACATTAGGTATTTGTCCTAATGCTCTCCCTCCCCTTGTCCACAACCCAGCACTGCAAATATTATAATATCAAAGAATGAGAGGAAAAAAAAATCAGTTTCTACCTGTTTGTTATGAATCCCAGGTAGGCTCCAAAATCTCCCTGGGTAACATGCTTTAAATGTCATATCATCTTTTTATAAAATTTTTATTTATTTTTACTCACCGCTATGCAAACAAGGAGTCTTATCATCTTACTGCCCAGGAAGCGCTTTCTTATGTTAACTCTGTGAGTTTCTGGATGCAACTTAAGTCTACAACAGAATGTCTTTGCTTATAATTAAGTGATATCTTTGTATATACATATATATGTTTATTTTTAGGCACATTAATTTTGTTCTTACAAATGTATATTTAACATTTAAGAGTAATGCAATAACTTGATGGTATTTTTAAAGGTGCAAATATCTAAAAATCACCAATAATTTTAACATTAGAAACTTTATTGTTTTTAAGCATACTTTTCACAGTTAATTTTATATCAAATATGTGAACATTGGTATCATAATTTTTAGGACATGTAAGTATTTTGAAAATGTTATGCATTTTGATGGTTTTTCACTGTGTTATATTTATTATACCTAAGGAATATGTAATATCTCTGAGTAGATTTATTGTAGTTTGCTAATATAGTGCTCCATTTTGAACTTTTTAGAGTTTTTTTTGGTTTCTCAAAGTATTTTTTTATTTCCCAGGATAATTTCTGAGCAGAATAACTGAAACAATGAGAACGAGTATTTTATATCTTACATACATATTAAGATTGCTTTACAAAGAGGTTATTTAAGTTACCAGTGCTTCTGGTTTTGTATGTGAGGACTAGTTTCATATACCTTCATTATCCGTGGGTATCAGCCCCGTGTGAGTGTGCCCATATATAAGTTGATTAAGGAACATCTTTGTTCAGAAAAAAAGCCTGGAAAGGTGGTATTCTGTAAAGGGCTCTGTGTACCTAGTTTCTTTCCTATGCTGAGCCCCAGGATACTGATTCTTACCCAGATGCTTATATTTAGGTTGGTGCAAAAGTAATTGCGGTTTTGACCGTTATTTTCAATGGCAAAAACCACAATTACTTTTGTAGCAATCTAATACATAACAATATTTGCAGGAAGTTTTAATTTATGGGGATTAAAGAAAGCTGCAAAGAGAATAATGAGCTCAAAGTTTTGTGATGTGCAGTTTATTATTAATTAACTTGAGCCTAAAATAATGATCACTGATGAAGATTTTATGGACAGATTAGGCAAATATCATTATTTCTTCCCTATTTATTTATTAAAGACATCCATGAAACTTCTTTTAAGTAGAGATACCCTACAGAAAAGTTTAAGACAAACAGCAGATTCTACCCACATTCACTCTTTGCCACCTCTCACTCGCTTGCTTACCCTACCAAAGCAATCCTGCACAGCTGGTCTGCATGAGCAAGCAGATGTTAGCGGTCAGTGTAAAACTAGCAGAAGTGAAGTCAGCACTTTTAGAAACTGGAAGAGACTTAACTGAACTGGAATATGTGCGATTTCAATGGAAAAATGCAGTTTTAAAACAATCAATATGTATTTATTCCTAATGAGATTTGAGAAACTGTGGTCAGCAAAATGAGAATTAGATCCCATGAGAAAGTCACACGTTGAGAAAGAAAGGGACTATTTGCAAATATAAGACTATTTAAAAATAATTAAAAATCTAATAACTGAACTTGAAAATCCAAAAATAGTAAAAAAAAAAAAAAAAATAGAAGGGCTCTACAGAAAGAGAAACTGATATAAAAATAAATATCTGCAAAGTAGAGAACAAAAGGGAAAAGCATGAAAATTATGGTTGAAAGATAATGAGAGGATATTTCAAGGATAACTGGGGTTTAAGCAGGAGGCATTCCAGAGAAAGGGAAGATAATTGATGGAGGAAAGAATATGTAAGGTTAGATATAAAAGGAGCACATGTACATGGATAAGAATAAAGCGGTAACCTGGCCGGGCGCGTGGCTCACGCCTGTAATTCCAGCACTTCGGGAGGCCGACGCGGACAGATCACCTGAGGTCGGGAGTTTGAGACCAGCCTGATCAACATGGAGAAACCTCGTCTCTACTAAAAATACAAAATTAGCCGGGCATGGTGGTAGACACCTGTAATCCCAGCTACTTAGGAAGGCTGAGGCAGGAGAATTGCTTGAACCTGGGAGAATCGCTTGAACCCGGGAGGTGGAGGTGGTGGTGAGCCAAAATCGCACCATTGCACTCCAGCCTGGGCAACAAGAGTGAAACTCTGTCTCAAAAAAAAAAGAAAAAAGAGAATAAAGTAGTAACCCAGTAAAACTATTAAATTTTACAGAAGAGAAAAAATGATCAATAAACAAAAGAAAAAACGCTCAACTACACAGTAATCAAGGGTGTGCCAGACTGATATCTGCAAGATGGTGGACTAAGAGGCTCCAGCCTTTCCTTCCTTCCACGGATATACCAAAGAAATATCAACACACAGATCGGTTCTTTCTGAGAGAAAACGATGGACTAATTGAAAGACTACTACACATCAAGCAACTGAGAAAATATTCATGTGAAAACAGGTGGGAAGAGCTGAGACACACTCCCCGCACAATCCCTATCCCAGACATAACACCTTACAATTAATTGGTAAGGAAGTCCCAACTCCTAGCTTCTCCCTGAGGAGTGAAGGGTTTGGACCACACATATAGTACCCTGACCTTTATGCTTCCCACCCAGGGGTTTGGCTCCTAAATCACCCAGCTCAGGGTTGATAGAGCTGGGCATCTGCAGGTCTCCCTAAACCACAGACACCAAAGAGATGGTGGGACACAGATTTGCAAGCACTTTTGGCAGCTCTCTCCCTGGGCTCAGGCCAGAGCAGGCAGGTAAATGCCCACCTCCCGGTTTCTACCTGCAAGGGGTTTATCTACCCATTTTCCCATCTGCTGCCTGAGGGTTGACTTCTGGGTCTGTATCTGGGAGCCAAAGGGGCAGGGTGAACAGTAGACCTGTGGGAGCCTGAACAGAGGTATAGGTAGGCACTGCGCCTGCTCCTCTCGACTAGCTCCAGCAAGAAATCCAGGTCTCCAGCTTCTCCCTTGAAGGAGAATACTTCAAGCACAGTTTTATAGCTGCCACCTGGGGGACTGGCTCCTAAATCACTTATCTCTAGAAGTTAATGTGAGGCAGGAGAATTGCAGAGGAAATTGGAAGTTGGATAAAGGATAGAGTGAATAAAAGCAGAAACAGAAGCAAGGTGAAGGGGTGGGTGAGCAAGAAGCAAGATAAAAGGCAGAAGTGAAGCAGCCAAAAGAAAAAGTGAGATAAAGAAGAGAGCAAGGACCCCATGGCCAGCAAGATCCAGATCAAACCAGGAAGGGGCAGCTCTTCAGAGATAGGCATGCGCATTAAAGAGAAAAAGTATCCTTAACAGGATGCTGTATGATAATCAGCTCATTAAAGCTCATGCATATGGACTACCTATCACGCATGTAGTTAAAATTATGGGATGGAGACAATTCACAAGCCCGCACAGGCTAAAGTAACTAAGCAACACACCTATCTATCAAAAGGCAGGCACCGGCAAAAGATCAGGCAGCCTTGCGAAGAGAAGGGGAAAAAACACATAAAAAGACCCAAGGTACACCGAAGCCATGCTAATCTCATTTGGCAGAAGTCAGCCCACTCTCCCCTCTCCGGGAATGTAATACTGCGCTTCACACACTTTTGCTGCTTGCTTTGCTGTCTGAGTATCACATCCAGTTCTTTGTTCAGGACACCAAAAGCCTGGAATTGCACAGCACCATCGGGTTATAAATGGGTCTCTGCATTTTGTGTCTTCTAAGGCCACAGAGAACAAATGGGTAGTTTTAAAGGGGCACAAGAGGACTTCCAGAGGGTATTCTTCCAGGTTTAGCACAAAGAGAACAGGCAGTAACTCCCAGCTCTCAGTATCTCCCCAGAAGGCATTTGCCTGCACACTCTCTCAGCTGCTGCTAGAGAACAGGGCTTCGAACTGGCCTGCAGGTAGGAGATGATGGGGCTGATGGAGAATGGGTTTGACCACACACCTGACACCTCAACTACATTTCACAGTACTTAGAATAGAATGGACTCCATTGCACAGTACCTAGAATAGAAGTAGGTATTCAAAAAATAGTTTTTAAATAAAAGAACAAATTATTTTAATTCTTTCTAATAAAAGTTTATGATATCCACATTTACTAGCACAAATTGTGTGATTTTGAAAATTCTGTTCATGTCAAGCTAAGTCATCTTCTGTAAGATCACAGGTAGCATTTTTGTCATTTATCTTGCCACAATAAAATATTTGAACTGTCTGGCACAAGTGGCAATATCTCCGCTCCCTGCTGCTCAGACACTTCCGCAAAAAACCTGCACCTGATTGGACAACGTGGCCCCGGAGAACAGGTAAGTGGCAGAGCTTTGTTTCTATATCAGCAACATCAGTTTTAATGTAAACAGCAGGCGTCTTTCTTTTTAGAGCAGTAGCCTACTTGTGTTTCCATATAATTACAGTATTCTTGGCAGAAGCCTTCACTTCTCCTGCAGTCAACAACTTTTAAATCTGATGCAGGTTCTTCATTAAAAAAAGAAAAAATCCAACATTAGCTTCTTAAGACCATCTCCAGAATCAAACAGTGGTCATTTGAGCCGTGAGGGACAGGGTGGGGGTGGCATGGATATGAAACAGCTTTCCATAGTTAATAGCTTCAAGTTCCAAACTAAAACATCAACTCCAGATATATAGCTCTGCCCCACTAAATCTCCTTTAACCAAAGGAAGGAATAATCCTGTCTCACAGGAATACTGTTAGACTAAATAACACACGCCTACTATTGCACCTGTTTATATTTGTTGTGTAATAATTGAGTTTTCTTTTTCCCTTCCCTTGGGAGGAGATCCAGATGAATGAGTCCTTTGGAACTGTGGGCCAATTAGAAAGGGATGGGAGGTTGGGTAGGATGCTGCAGGCATCAAATTCAGCAGGACTTTATTTGCTGGATGTCACAGCAATTTGCCAACACCCTCCTGTCTTTCTTGCTCTTGCCCACTGATCTGCTAACCTAGTTCTCCCTGTCTTAGGGTCAGCAATCAGCTTGGCATTAAAGAAGCATCTTGGAAACTACAGGCTCTTCCAGGCCCTTTTGGATTTGAAGCTGGTCCTGCCCAGGGGTTTGGGGGCTGACCAGAAGCCTGGCCCTTCTGGAAGAGTCCAGAAGAGTGGCTGTGGGCTCAATTGTCCCTTGCCATGTCCTGCTACCTCCTTGCCTGAGTAGACTGACAATACAGTCTATTCTCTGCCCCCATCCTCAGGAAGCATTTCCCAGACCTCAATGGACACCTGAAACTTAGTAGGTAGGTATTCAGTAAATTCCTTGAACGGGAACGACCTCCAAAGCTAAGGGCATGGGGCTGCAACCTGGCAGGAGGCCATGTTTCCACCAGTGTCTCCTCTGGCACCTGTTCTTGGAGGAAGCCAGCAATTACAGGTGTGGCTTCAGATAAATTGCCTTTTGGCCCCTCAATACTCCCACGTTCCACAAGGCCCTCAATGATCCAGCCCCAGGGGAAGCTGTGAGACCCCGTGGTCTCCCTGACAGGCAGGGCAGCCCAATGCACCCGCACCATGTCTTCCCCAAACAATGACTGCTCACCCACCCCGACCAGCACAGACATCTTCCCGTCTATTTGTTCCCTCTACGTCTCCCCAGTGGATGCACTTGTTGCACGTGTTGGTCCCTGACTCACCTTGGTAAGGTGGGGTGCGCGGTTGTAAGAGGTCCCGTTTCACTGCGTGGCGTAGCAGCTGAAACCCGTTTGTGCCTTGCCCAGGGGCTCTTTCCCTGAGTTCTCCGAGAGCCTCAGTGGCTGAGTGGTTCACATGTCTGGCTTGAGACGATCCTGTGCAAGTGGAAACACACGTCTGAGGATGCTCTGAGGCCTCCGCCTGGCAGACCCGTCAGCATGAGGCACCTACACTCTACCAGGTGAGTGAGCATGGGTGATTGGGTGGGGGAGTTGGGAGGGGTGCTAGTGTTCCGTGTGTGTGCACGTTTGTGCACATGCGTTGTATGCACCTATGTGTAGAGAGAGAAGGTGAATGAAGTGTAAGAAATGTATGCCATGAATGGTGAGTCTGAGCACCTCCTCAAAGCCAGCACAGCCAGAGAATTTATTTCAAGTGTCACTAATGCAGTTGTTAAGATTCCCTAAAATGTAATGTTCTTCTCTGTAAGGGAAAGGGGAATGTTAAAAGGATAAGAAAATGGAGTCGGGGAGGGACACTCTTCCCTGGGAAGCAAGTGCCATCAGCCAATTCAGAGTGCCATTTATGAACCCAGTTCAGAGACTCGTACCCAAAGCTCCACCAGGAATACATGCCCCAAGGACTTCATCTCTCCCTGTCCAGCCTGGACTCCCATACCTCAGATGACCATTGCAGAGAGATTCTGGCACCCAGACCCGGGTCACCTTTCCATTTTACCTGGAAACAGCAGGGCCACAAGGAGAAGGCTGGTGACGGACGGGAGCAATCGTTGCCTCATGTCTGCCAAGAGCACTGCAAGCCAGAAAGCACCCAGGGTGGGTGGGCAGGCAGCGGGGCTCCTTTGATGGAGTGAGGCTGGGTGTGTGGGCCCGGAGCGTGGGAAGAGCTGTGCTCCAGGATGACTTCTCATTCTCAAAGGACAATGTGGACACGCTACTATCCCACTGCTGGTGGAACAAACACTTGAGACACATATTTCAGGAAGTAAATAATACGCCTGAATGCCTTGGGTGGGTTTGGTGAATAAGGAAGAACAGAGAGAAACAGAAAGATGAAAGGCATGGAGGGGCAGAACAAACATAACTATCATAAAGTTGCCAATGTCCTCAAACGCTTCTCAAAAGCCCCCTAATGTTCATGAGAACAGGGACATAAATAAACTGCCATGTCGATTCTATCCTGTTGGCTGAGCGTTTTTATTTTAGTGTTAAAAAATCATGCATAAGACACACAACATAACAGGTAGGACCTGGTTTTACAAACTATCCCTTCCTGAAGTTATACAGAGAGTTCCAAGGCTGCTCAAAATGTTCTTTTAATTTTCTTCTCCTCTCTGAGTCTCTCTCCCTGTTTCTTGGTCCCCTCCACTTCTCCTTCCTCACTTTGGACCCCCCTCCTTTCTATTTTAACTTATTTGAGTTGTCTTGATTTTTCTCTCCCCTTTCCATTCTCTTTACCCCCAGACACCTCCTGTTGATGTCACTGGGTCCAATTCAATTCTTTTAAAAAAGAAAAAAAAAATCTGTGTTTGAGTCTGGGTTTTCTCCTCTAGTAATATCCAAGCAGAGGACTTGTCTTCCCTTCTCCTTCATCTTTTTAAGCATTTTAACCAAGTGTGTGTTTCTTACTTGGCTGCATTAGCTCAGGTATGCATGTAACCCAGACAGTCTGCTCTGGACTTAACTAAAGTGAAGAAGGCTTTGGTTGAAGAGTTTTGTATTCACATAGCATCCAATGTAACATCAGTGATGTCTGGAAAAGATAGTGCTTATCTCATATGTCTCATTTGCATGTATATTTTAATCCAGACAGAGAAAACAACTTAGGTCATTTGTGTAAATAAAAATACTTACTCTCTACCTGGAGAAAGCTGGAAGCAAATGGAGAAAGAGGCAGCAATGACAATAGAGACCTGGGCATCCGCTGAAGCACCAGCAAAGGGCGGAAGGTTTGCAGCTGCGGACAGGTGCACATAGCAGCTGCCCTGGCAGCACAATGCGGAGGCCACTATCTTTTGGGTCTCAGGACAGATTCTCCACTGCAAAGCATGAGGTGCTGGTCAGGGAGAGCAGGAGCATCATTCACATCCTTTCACTTTAAGGAATTAGGAAGTCTTCCAATTTCAAGAGCACAGGGCAACACTGCGGAGATAGGTGACAACTGGCCCATGATAAGTTTCTTTAATCACTTACTGCATCAAATTCTGATAATTGGATGTTGGAAGAACATAGACAGTCAAGAAAGGAGGTAGACAGCTGCTCTACCTCAACCCTAAATGAAGATTTATTCGCTCATCTACATACTCTGGGTATTTTTTATACTCTAGTTCAATAGCAACTTCTTACAGTTGTATTTGTAATTATTTAAACTTGGAATGTGGATCTTTTATAACAGTGATGGAAATTTTGGAGTATATTGGTAACTTATTTCTATATATTTTTATCTTCTCTATAAAAGGAAAGAAAACAAAAACAAGCCTATTCCACCATTCAGATATTAATAGTAATGAATCATTAATCAAAATCATGACTTAAAATATAACAGCATTTGAGTAATTACCACCCAGGTAACGGAATCTTCTTTTAAGTCGTTAGAATTATTTGAAATTATTTAAATGAAGAAACTGAGCCAAAAATAGTTAGATCTCACTTCCTTTGTCTACGTCTTGAGATAAAGTAAGCCCCCTCTTCCATGCTTCTGAAAAGAACAATCTTAAAAAAGAGCAGCCGGGAAAGCCTAGTTCTGCTCTTTGACAGGCAAAAGCTGGTGAAGTCGTAATAAAGGCAATTAATGTTACATCTGTCCTAACACAACAATGCTCTCAGCTCCTGTCCTCTTCTGCCAGATTTCTGTGTCCTAAAAAAATCTTTGAATAATTCTCTTGCTAAAAGCCACATCCATCCTGAGGGGGAGGATGGCAGAACCCATTATAGAATATTCTAATAATTGTTTCAAGTTTTTTTTGGTCCATTCAATCAATAAATCATATTCTTTTTTTTTTAAGCTGCTTAGTATGTGGTATCTTGATTCGTTTGGACTAAGTAGGTGGGCTAAAGTAAAATGATCAAGATTTTATTGTCAAATAAGAAGTTCTGCAAATACATATTCCTGAAGGATCTTATTGGAAATTGCACACATGTGCAGGGGGTAAGATTTTCCACATCGGCACATCCTCCTTCTTGCTTCCCAAGTAGCATCCTGGTAAATCCTGGAAAATATGAATGCGAGAAGGAAAACCCTATTGTAGCCCAGTTTGGAATCAGAAGTTCTCTGCAGAATCAAATTTAGACTCTTCTTTTGCATTACTAAATGACCCAGTGAAAGTTTCTCTGGAGGAGACTCACAGAAGAGCGAAGCAAAGATTCCTATGCAGATTTTCTTATTCTTAAGTCTGAGATTGTAACATGCTAACCAGTCTGTAAGACCAACTAGAATGCCATTTACAGAGGCACAGATTCCCCTCTAGGGAAAATAACTGATATATGGAAAAGACACAAATATTAGAGTCTTCTTTGGAAAAAGCAGTCAGGAAGAATTACATGATAGGAGAGAAAACTGCTTTTGGATCGTGGTTAAAGAAGTAGCTTTGAGAATTGTGCAAAAATATTCTTTGGTATTTTGTTTCTTTTTCATGCACAGAATCACAAAATGAATTGTGTTTTCAGAAGTCGATTTGATCTGTAGCCATTTCAGCCATCCCAAGAATGCTCTTAAGGCAGCATATGAAAGAACACAGGAAATCCTTTCATGAGCGCTAAGGCATAAACACCATTTAGTTTTGGTAATAAAAACATGGTATTGTTATAAGTTTAAATAAATCTGTTGAGATTGCCTATTCTTTTTCTTGAGACGGAGTCTGGCATTGTTGCCCAAGCTGGAGTGCAGCGGCGCCATCTCAGCTCACTGCAACCTCCGCCTCCCGGGTTCAAGCGACTCTCCTGCCTCAGCCTCCTGAGTAGCTGGGATTACAGGTGCCTGCCACCGCGCCCAGCTAATTTTTGTATTTTTAGTAGAGATCGGGTTTTCACCATGTTGGCCAGGCTGGTCTTGAACTCCTGACCTCAAGTGATCCTCCCGCCTCTGCCTCCCAAAGTGCTGGGATTACAGGCGTGAGCCACCCTGCCTGGCCGAGGTTGGCAATTCTGACGAAACAATCATAACATTTTGGAACTGAAAACTGTCTTAGAGACCTAACCAATATTTTAAGAAGAGGAAATGGAGGATGAGTGAAAAAGCGATGTGTCTATATGTGTTAATTAAAGACTAAAGATCTGGAGGAGGCTATGCACTGCAGACACTATTAACAGAATGGAGTCCATGTAAATAAACAAAGGGGTGCTCAAAGTTAAAGGGAAAGGCAACAGATTTGTTTGGGGAAGAGCAGGAGTTCATGGTGGTCACAGACATAAGAAGAAATGTAGTTTTTCACGGGAATAGTATCTTTTCTCCACGGTGCCATGATGCTTTTATTATTTTGGGTGTAATTTCTCATAACTGGAAAGCATTTCAGCCCCTTCCCAGTCCTCAGAGGTTGACCATTTTTTTCTCTCGGATTCAGCCACAAAGGCAGCTCTACCACTCACCATGTGTCTGTCTTTGACTTTGTCATGTTGGGAAGACTCAGGACCCCACCTATTTTTACCCACAGGGCCCTCTGTGCCTATGAAACTGAGGTCCCAGCAGTCCTTGTGGACATATCACAATCTAAAATTCAGGGATAAGAAAATCTACATAGGAATCTCTGCTTCACTCACCTGTGAGACTCTTCCAGGCTAATTTTCTTTGGGTCATGTGGTAATGCAAGAGAAAGTTGATTCTATAGCAACTTCTGAGCACAGACTTGGCTGCAATATGTTTCCCCTTTACACAGTCATATTTTCCAGGATTTAATGGGATGTCTCTTGGGAGGCAAGAAAGAGAATATGCCAGTGTGGAAAACCTTAACTCCTGCACGTTGAAAATTTCAAGTTCTGCTCTTTTGGATATTTAAATAAGGACCTGGGTGGTGATTTGCTCACCCAGAGATTTTCTCTGTCAATCTCTGTCTCTCTCTCTCAACTTCAAATAATAAAAAACGCATAAATTAAAAAGTGAAAAATATCCAAACAATCCTTCCTTCTGTTGATTTTCATTAGGCACATTTCAAAGGGTTACTGATCATTCATTATGAACTACAGACTTCAGATCTGTATCCATCCTTTGGAGATAGAAGATAAGTAGCAATGTTATTGGGTTTCTGATTGTGTTTGTAGTGCATCAGGTACAACTTATTAAATATTTCCTGCCAATTCTGGAAACAATAAAATAGAACAATCTATCTTTGTTCTTTTACTGTAAAGCCCTGAAATTAAAGTAGTGCGACTTTGTGATGTCGTTAAGTGCTGAGGATAGCAGTTCATTAATATGACTATGTGAATTACACCTGAGGGCGGGAGGGGGCGCTGTTTCAGAATCCAGCCTCTTTAGAGAGCAAAACAATAGGACACCAGGACGGCAAGCCAAACCCAGGGCTCTTCAGTGAAGACCACGATACAAGGCTTTCTACGTTATCTGACAATGAGATAGCTTTGCTTTCTGCTTGTTCTTGTCTCTCTGGCCACTACGGCGGGTGGCGTTGATTAAAGTCTGTAGAAGTCCCTTGCTTTGCTCTATATTTACATTGGGAGGTACAAGATGGCCTCCTTGGCAAGGCATCAAATTACATTTTAAAAGGAGACAAAAAATAATTGTAGCACAGGGTCAGCAGTTGGATCTCTGTTTGTAAGTGTTGTTGGGCAGAATGGCCATACGGCAGGAGGGGAAATCAAGGTACAAGTCAAATAAGTCACCTTCCCAAGGTCCCCTGCTAAGCAGTAGAGCTGGGATTCCAGGCTTTGCGTATTTGTACATGCCATGCTGTGCTGCCTCTGAACTGCACTTGAGATGTGGGGTCTAGGCCTGGTCTTGCCTAATATCGTGGCCAGTGTTAGGAAAACCACTAATCCGTCTGAACCTTAGTAACAGTGCCTAAAAGGTGAGGATGTTGACACTTACCATGCCTAATTCAAGAGTTTATGGTGAGGATCAAAGGAGATTATGTATTAAAAGTATTTTATAAAATACAAAATATGAGAATAATGAAAAGAGTCTAAAAAAATGTAAGACTAAAATAAATGTCACATTGTCTTATAGCGTGTTCTGTATGTTGCATTTGGAGTGTGGCATCCTTGGGGGTGGTTCAGTAGTTTCTTCTTTTCCTGTAATTGCAGTGTTGAGACCTAGGGGCTTGCCCAGATATGCACTCAATTTTCAGCACAATATTTTATAGATGGAATAGAAGTACACATCACCATCTGTGCAAGAGGCCTTGGAGGTAAACAACCTGAGGCAGTATGTGGACCTTCCAGGATCCAGATTCTAATAAATCAACTCTTAAAAAGGCACTTATGAAATGCTCAGGGTCATTTGAATACAGATTGGCTGTTAAATTGTATTTAGGAATGAATGCTGATTTTTTCCAGGGGTGATAATAGTGTTGGGGTTCTATTTTACAAAACGAGTTCTTTCCCCCTGAGTTACACCTTCTAGAGTATTTTCAAATGGGCACCTTTGAAATAATTTATTTTTATTTGAGATAATCTAGGAGAGAGTTATCAAGGGATGAAACAAGACTAACCACATATTGAGGCTGGGCGATGCCTACGCGAAGGGCCATTACACTGTTTTGGTAGAAAGGGCACAATCCAGCCTCAGTTTCCACCCTGACAAGGTGAGGATGATGCTGCTTACCATGACTAGAAGCTCGTACGTGGCATTATGTCCTTCTATTAGGAAGCACAGGGTAGCAGGTTGTCTTTCTGGCTTATTTTAATCGCTGTTGACATTCCTTGGCTAGATCCCTGTTTCCCTATGTGTTTGCAAAATGGCGACACTCCTCATTTATTAGCTGGACTGCTTTCGAAGAGAGAAGCTTTTGACTACCTTAAAATTTGGTTTGGACAGGAAAGGCAGGCAGGTCAAATGTTTCATCACTCACCTTTCTTTACAGGTTTTCAGGATCAAGAATCCACAGCTCAGCGCAGGGCTGCTCTCTGCTGCCCTCTGCTGGATGGGACCCTCCACAGACGCCCACTTGATCAACCCCTTAAGCTCCAATGGGTTCCCAAGCTTGTCATCACACATCACCTCTTTTGTTTTTCTCCTCAGAGGTCTATGTTTTGAAATATAGTGTATTCTAAACAAGGCACACTTAACATTGATTTACTTTACATTTTAATTAACACACGATATATATAACTCCTGAGCAAAACTTTCGATCGGAAAAGAAAACCAATATTATCAGGATAAAAATGATGTTTTTCTTAGGTTTATAGCTGATTAGGTAGACATATTTTTTGTTCAACTTATAAAGTGTTGAAACTCATGCTTAACTCCCATTGTTATTCTCCATTATCACAACCAGAGGCGGCTTTCCAGCCTGTATTCTTCTTCAATCTCCTGTATTGGCTTTGCATTGAGTGGAAGCTCAGCAAACCTTCTTTGATAACTGAACCCGTGGTTGCAATGGGGATGTCCTTGCTGCTAGGCCGCAGGAAGGAAAGCTACTGAGGTCCTACTTCCAGCGACTCTAGGGACCAGCACTACTGCGTTTCAGGGTTTTGTACGATTCAGTAAGCTCTCATCCCATTTTCTCAAACAGCATGCATAGGTGTTGGGACATCTTCCAATTCTGTATTCTTGGCTGCGACATTTCTTCCGGCAACGGGCAGTCCCATAACCACATATTCTGTCCAATTCAAATTCGCTTCTCACTAGATAACAGGATATGGCACTGTCATTCATTGCTTACTGGCACCAAAAGGCAAGGCTTTGGTAGAAGGTGTTTTCGGAGGGGGATAGAGAATGCTAGTGCATGGTGGTAGAGGTTTTCCTGGACCCCCATCCTCCTCCACTTTCCTAGATGATTGATTTGACCTTCTGATTCCCAACCAGCATGGATTTTATTTGAAAATGTACATCATTCCATGTCACACTTATTTTCAAAATCCCTACAAGTTTACTATTGTTTTCTTTATTAAATCTCTCCAAGCCCCTTACTTGGTCTCCAAAGCAATCGTGATCTGATCTTGGGCCACTTTTTCAGACTCATGCTTTTCCACTGTGGCCCTCACTCTGTCCATGAAACTCTCGCCGGCTTCCCTTCTGTTCCGTGTGAGCTTACTCTTTGCTATCCTGGTACCTTCACGTGCACTGTCCCCTCTGCCTGGAAGGTTTTTCTTCCTTCCCATAAGTGAATTCTTTGAACTTTTATGTCTCAACCTTAAGTTCCCAATATTGGGCAAATCTTTCTCTGTCCTCTTCGTGTATTCAAATGCCCCAAAAGTATTTTTCTCCCTATGCATTTGTTATTCTTTTATATCACCTATCGCAAGTTGTAGTTATATATCTATGTATCTATATAGGTATATATATATATACATATATAGAGAGAGATACATACAAACATAGACATAGATATAGATATGTATATATGTATGTATATTTTGTTATTTGCTATTCTCATTCGAACTATGAGCTCCCTGACAATGAGGCCCATGTTTATGTTGCTTACCATTGTGTAACTGCTACCAGGAACATAGCCTGTTCTCAATAAGGACGTGGTGAGTAAATGATTGGATAGACTAGACCAGAATAAACTAGAGTGGTTGCAAGTAGAGAGGAGGAAACTAGAAAGGAGCAGAATCCTGATTGTTCGGCCGTTGGCCCAGAGCAGTTTTCAGGAGACATGGATTTAGCTTCTCAGTCTCAGGGTGCGCTCTCTGAGGCTGAAAGCAGCTTTGTAAAACTCATTATCTCACATGCCACACTGATAGGATCTTACAGAGATATCAGGAAAACCCAGAAGCAAGGCTGATGGTAGGGAGGACAGCGTAAGGTGGACCGAGAGAGTCTCGCTGGAGAGAGCTTTGCTAGAGGTTCTCTAGCAAACTCAGCAGGAGCCAGGCTTGGGAGAGGGTGTCAGAAGAACCCTGGGGAGAGGAGAGTCAGGGCTGCAAATGGACCTCTTTGCAGAGGTCGGGGCCCAAGAGTCCTAATTTCATCTTAGCCTTAAGTCCTTCTCCCCTGTTGCATCTGTTCCTTTTCTACAAAGCAGAAACGGGCTGCTAATCCTCGCACCAGGGTTTTATGTCTTTCATTTGTTCTGGTAAAGAGAAGCCTCCTGTTTCTGATGCTTAGGTATCAAGGTTCTTTGTCCAGGATGTAGGTGAGGACTAAAAGGAAGTTTGACCAATTCATGTGCTGGATAGGATATTGAAGGGGTTAATATTTGGAATGGCCCCACAGTGGGTGATGAGGAAAGACTGTTTTGCTGTAGGCTTCATTCAAAAGCAAGCCCTTGTGGTCACAGTACAAGGCAATGAAGAAAGGAGTGAGGTGGGCTGCAGTGTGTATCATGCTGAGGGAGTATGTGGAGGTTGAGTAGCAGATATGTGCCTTCTGACATATCTGTGGCAGGTCACTTTACAACCTGGAGTTAGAGGAGGAAAAAGAGGACAGCATGCTTGCTCAGGGAAAACGAAGCTTAGCGTTAGGGGAGAAGGAGAATAGACTAGGAAGAGAACACAACCTTTAAAATGTTAGACTGTCAGTTTCAAACAAGCCCTCACAGGCCATCTATTTAGAGATGGGAATGAAGGCTCAGAGAAGGAAAGTGACTAATCTGACGTCACACAGCAACTTATGTGTCAAAGCTGGAACAGAAACCTAGTTGGTATGTCTTACAGTCTCAGTAAACAGAATGCAAAAGGGAGAATGCAGTCCATACACTAAGGCTGAGTAATAAACATTTCCTAAGCAATAAATACATTCCAGGGTAGACTACACTA
The DNA here is from genome assembly GCF_000001405.40 of Homo sapiens. Taxonomy (NCBI): domain Eukaryota; kingdom Metazoa; phylum Chordata; class Mammalia; order Primates; family Hominidae; genus Homo; species Homo sapiens. The sequence goes on from NT_187570.1 coordinate 155,702, forward strand.
CACTAGTTTCTTTCTTGCATAAGCAATTTTCCTCCTCTGCTCTACAGACCCAGAAAATCTTAGGCAGGTCTCAGGTCTTAGTTAATGTAGAAAGTTTATTTTGTCAAGGTTGAGGACACACCTGTGACACAACCTCAGGAGGTCCTGAGGACATGTGCCCAAGGTGGTTGTGATACAGCTTGCTTGGTTTTATACATTTTAGGGAGACATAATACATCAATCAATACGTGTAAGATTTGCTTTGTTTTTTTTTTTTGTTTGTTTGTTTGTTTGGTTTTTTTTGAGACAGAGTCTTGCTCTGTCGCCTAGGGTAGAGTGCAATGGCACGATCTCAGCTCACTGCAACCTCCACCTCTTGGGTTCAAGCGATTCTCCTGCCTCCGCCTCCTGAGCAGCTGGAATTACAGACATGCACCACCACACCCAGCTAATTTTTGTATTTTTAGTAGAGACGAGGTTTCACCGTGTTGGCCAGGCCAGTCTCGAACTCCTGACCTCAAGTGATCTGCAGACCTCAGCCTCCCAAAATGCTGAGATTACAGGTGTGAGCCACTACACCTGGCTGATTTACATTGGTTTGGTCCAGAAAGGTGGGACTATTCAAAGTGGGGGTGGCGGGGGGCCTGTGGGGGTGCAGTGGGAGTGTGTGGCAGGTGGCCTTCCAGGCTATAGGTAAATTTAAACATTTTCTGGTTGACAATTGATTGAGTTTGTCTAAAGACCTGGGATCAATAGACAGGAATGTTTGGGTTGCGACAAGAGGTTGTATTGTGGAGGCCAAAGTTGTATCATGCAGTTGATGCTTTTAGCTAGCAGGCTTCAGAGAGAACAGGCTGTAAAATGTTTCTTATCACACTTAAAGTCTGTGTTGATGTTCATGATGGAAAGTGTAATGAGGCATGTCCAACCCCCACTTCCTTTCATGGCCTGAAGCAGTCTTTCAGATTAAATTTTAAGAGCCCTGGCTGAGGAGGGAGTCCATTTAGATGGTTGGGGAGGGGGCTTAGAATTTTATTTTTGGTTGACAGCACCCATCCCCAGTCCCTGTGGGTATCTGAGGGGCTGACAGTGTGTGACAGCCAAACTTACCCAAAGCAGGGGTGGCAGGAGAAGAGGCAGGCAGTGCATGTCATTCACCCTCACCCACTTCTGCCACTTCCCTCCCTAATCCTCTTCCTGCTAATGGTCTTTCTCAGAATTCAACTGCAGAGGACAGTCTGACCCAGCCCTCTGCAGCCAAGTGTGGATAATGGCAGCCAGCTCTGCGGTGCATTCTTCGGGATCTGGAGGGATCCCTGACCCAGGCTTTCCATCCCAAGTTCTTTGTCTTGGGATCAAAGGTTGAAGAAAACCTGTTCTTTGATAAATTGCTATCATATTTTAACAGACCTGGAACATGCCCATAGCAGAATTTCACAGAAGTGTCTTTGGGAAATGACACGGGAAGAAAGAAAAAGGAAGAGTTAACCTAAACAGGTACCCTCTGAAAAAAAATCATTAACCCATCTGAATCACAGTGGAGGCACAGCCCGGAAGGGCAAAAAGATGGGTGCTGGGTGTCTGTCAAAGCCCCATAAAATTGACTGAGCAGCTTGGAAGAGAAGATCCGATGGCTTCTACGAGTCAAAACAATTGGTTTCGTCCCAGCACTGCTAGACTTGTTAAGCAACTCTAAAAATCTTATTTTCTCTCACTGTACTATAGAGAATGCTGCTCAGCTTGTAAAAGAAGGGAATTAGATTAGGTGCTCTCTCATATCCATTGCAAATATATTAAGAAATACATGCTTCTGGGGACATAGATTAACGTAGGAGTCAGAAGATTGCTGACATCTCAGTCTAAAATTTCCTGAGCAGAGTTCAAAGGCACCTGCTATTTGTGTTGTCAGTAAATTACGTTCTTGCCTACTGAAATCACTGCATCCCCTTTAACCCTAATCATCTGACTTGATATGAAAAGTTGCAAAATTTAGGAGGATGAGTAGGCGCCCTTTTCTGTGCAGAGTAAAGCTGTTCAGAAGGAGGAGGATGGGGGAAGGCATCTTATTCTACAAAATCAACAATGAATAATTGCTGTTGCCCTGCAATGGAACAAGCATGGCTAGTGAGTCCTCACTGCTGAGGATTCCATGAGGAATTGTTACCGTGTGTGGCCAGGGTGCCAAGGACATCTAGGACTCCTGATCCCTACGTTTCTTTTTTCCTCCTTGAGCTAGTAAGCCTCGTGGCTGTAAGGTGCATACAAGGACTGCCACATACTGCATTTTACTAATGGACCCAATGAAAGCAAAGAGAAAAAAGGCTGAGATTGAAGAAGGTTACTCCATCCTTCAGGATTTATTTTCTAAATCAAATGTTTTTCTTCTCCCCCTGTCATCCCCAGCAACTGTGTATATTTCCAGCTGAGAGTCCCTTTTTACCTGGAAGATCTTGATAGAGTAGAAGAGAAATGGCTAATAGCAGCACAAGTCTCTGCATAATGCTGGGGCTGCTGGCGAGAAGCAGACGCAAGTCGGAGGGAATCACCCCAGGCAGGAGCAGGGCAGGTGTATTTATGGGCAGAGGCTGCTCTTGATTACTGAGGCTTATCAAAATGCAGCGTTCCTTGGTGAACACTCACCAAGGCACAGTGTGGGGGAGGTGTTGGGGCTACAGAAATGCCAGCTGGGCAGTGTTGAGGGTGGGGAGAGAGTATTACCATAGGTAAAGTCCAAGTCACTTCACTTGCTTCCCTGAATCGTTTCTGAAGCAAGAACTGGATTAGATGATCTCTAAGATACCTTCCAGCCTTGACATTCCTCAATTCTGGTGAGAGGACTTTCTCTTCCATTTCAGTACATTTCAGTCAGGAGATTCTTGTTGAAAATTGTGATGTGGCTAATGGAATTGAAGTCCATAGCCCCCAAGACCTCTCTGAAGTAAACATTGAAACAAACATACAATGTCAAGGAGAAGAATGGCATGGAGCGTGGGGAGGTCATAAATGCGTGAAAGGTCCCAGGACATTTCTGTGATAGAAAGAGTGTAGGATGAGGATGACAAGTGACAACAAGGAATACTTGATGGCGGGCATTGTCCAAGGGTGGGATTGTAACCACAGAGCATCAGGCTCACTTAGGGCTTAGGTGAAAAGGAGGACAAGAATGAGAAGAGAGGTTAAAAGGAGACAATTCATGAGAATGCTGTATTTCTAACAATGGCTTCAAATAAAACATAACCTTCCAGAGAGCATACGCCTGGCCCTCAACCAGGGGTATATGCTCCCTGGATTTAACCCCAACCCCACCCGAGGCAAAACATATAGAGCATATGCTCCTGGCATTTGCCCTTAGGGAAAACACCAGATAATTTTATTTTAAGAAAAAAAAAATACTTCATTTCTCTAAAATGAAGTATTTTAGAGAAAGTAAAAACGTCCAATCTTGGAAGTTGACATTCTCGAATAAGCTCCCCTTATTCTAGAACACAGATTAGACAAAGCCTGACAGACATACGTTGCTTGCACATCCTAAGCAAAATCTAGCAGTCAGTGTGTCTTCCCCAGAGTTCTCACTTAGGGGAGAATGTGATGGAAAACCAGGTCTCCTTTCACAGTAACGGAATAGAATAGAACATCAGAAATCATAAACTATGCCAGTTTGGGTGCTCCATGAAGCATTTATCAACAGGAATTAGAAAGGAAATAAATTTATTGGGAAATGCCTGTGAAAGATAAAGGGGGGCCAGGCGCAGTGGCTCACACCTGTAAATCTCAGCACTTGGGGAGGCTGAGCGAGGGAGGAGGATCATGTGAGCTCAGGGGTTTGAGTCCATCATGGACGGCATAGAGAGACCCCGACTCTACACAAAAAGAAAATTAGCCAGGGATGGTGGTGTGTCCCTGTAGTCCCAGCTACTTGGGAGGCTGAGGCAGGGGGGTCTCTTGAGCCCGGAAGTTCGAGGTTGCAGTAAGCTATGATGGCACTACTGCACTCCAGTGTAGTAGGCAATACAGCAAAACCTTGTCTCTGAAAAAAATAAAATAAAATAAAAATTCAAAACAAAAAGATGATGGGGAGAGGGAGCAAGATTGAGTAGGGAAAGTCTTCAGAACATGACGTCAATTAACACCTGTGAAAAGGTTTGGAGTCGGGGGAGCCTCAGACTACAGTGCAGAAAATTTCAGCATTGCCAGTGGGGAACCCCAGGGCAAAGACTGTCCTACACCAGCAGACATGGCCCAGCTCTAGTCCACATTGTGCTCATTCACTGCCTGGAAGCAGCCAGGGCAAGAGTGGTAGCCATGGGAATCCTGCCGCAGGTTACAAACGTGCAGCACGTAGAGGCCGTCGGATACTCTCCTCACAGCAGACACACAGCAAGCACAAATGTGCAGGATCCATGGGACCCTCCTAGCCTGCCACATGTCAGGCTTTAGTAATTTTTGATGATGAGCTTCAAGGGAAAAACATCAGCCAATATTCAAGGTCATCTATGTGACCAGGATTCTGAAGAAAACTGAAAAATTCTGATGATAATAAATATTCAGCAATTCTTCAAAAAAAAAAGGTAATTCATATACAGGGACTGAATAACCAAACTTCAAAAGAAATCCTATATCTTCTTAGGAGAAAAAAATAATAAAAGCTTTATTTGCTGAGTCCTTATGAAGTATTTCAGAGTTCTGGTTTCGGTCGCTACAAGTAAAAAGACTGAAAGTAACTACTTTACTCCTTAAAGAAAGAAAAAAAAAGCCAAATAAATGGAAAAATCAATGACTTTTCTTGGACCCATTAGGGAACTGAGGGCTCCGGGCAAACCCATTGCGTGGAAATCTGGAGTCACAGCTGAGATGAGCTAACCTGGAATGGAAGCTCTGAAACCATAAACTAGCAGGAACACTTACGGTGACTTCGACAACTTGCTGGAGGCTGAACGTGGACATTTAGGAGAGTGAAAAACTGCTAGAGACCATGGTCAAAGGCTCTCCCTTCTCAACCCCTGCTTTCCTGGGTTTTAAATCCAGGAAGCCCCCAAGGTTATCATGGTGAAGAGCCAGAATGGAAGCCCTCATTGCCCTGAAAGGAGAAGGGAAGAGTGATATTGTGAAACATGTCCAGAGGATTCCCCATAACCAAAGCCTCCTCCTCTGCAGGAAAAACAATTTTACTCGAGCCATATCCCACCTGGAGGGGAAGACGTTTCCCTATTCCAGCCCCATCTGACCTTCCTGTCTCACTTGAGGGATGGGGGTAGCTAAGAATTTCTTGAGAGCCGGGCACGGTGGCTCATGCTTGTAACCCCAGCACTCTGGGAGGCCAAGGTGGGCAGATCACAAGGTCAGAAGTTCAAGACCAGCCTGCCCAATATGGTGAAACCCCATCTCTACTTAAAAAGTACAAAAATTAGCCAGGTGTGGTGGTACACACCTGTAGTCCCAGCTACTTGGGAGGCTGAGGCAGAAGAGTCACTGAACCTGGGAGGAGGAGGTTGAAGTGAGCCAAGATCATGCCGCTGTACTCCAGCCTGGTGACAGAGATTTAAAAAAAAAAAAAAAGTTCTTGTGACAGTCACAGTGCAGGGACACACAGGCTCAGGTAAAGATGAGATTTACTTATGAGATTATAGAATGCTTCCTTTTCCCCTGCCTCTTTTTTGTTCATCCCTTGCAGCTGTCTGAGACATAAGATCCTTAATATCATCCTCAGGTTAGTCCCATTCAACCATCGCCTCCATTTGCAGGCTTGACCAGGTCCCAGTATCATGTGGATAAATTGACAAAGATCAGGAAGTCATGGATTGTATGTTTAAATGAGGATTCTAAATTCCTCAGCAAATTCCTGGGGGTTTTCCTTTGGGTTAGGGAAGTCTTTCACTATTTCTGTCAGTTCGGATTTTGACCAAGACATAAAGGTAATTAAAGAAGGCAGACACAGTTGATCTGAGGAACTAACTTTAGAAGGCATTTTCCTAACTTGCTTCTCATCTTCATAGTAGAAAGGCAGCTGAGTGAAGAGGGTAGTGGAATCAGAGTAATTAGGCAGAGGAAGAAGAGAGACAGGAGGAAAAGAAGGAGCATTGAGAGTTGAGTGAGTCAATGTGCAATTTTTTATCATCACTGATTAAGTGCTTAAGCTTTTAATTTGCCTTTTGTAAAGAGTCTTTAAGAAAGGCAAGTTTTGATTTGCTTAGTCTTTTAGAAGCTTCTGCATGCCAATTAAAAACATATCTCATTTTTTTGAGGCATTTAAGATCACTTCTCTTTCAATGTAGCTTATAGATGAATAACTGTTTAGGTTAAAATTTCTTCACTGTGACCAGTGTAATTCTAAGTTGTCTTTAGTAAAGTTTACACATTTATTTAGAAAAACACAGGTTCTGGGTCCATAATTTTTATACATGAACGTAGCTAGAGTCCCAGATGGAGAGGTTCCAGACTACCTGGATACAGATGAACTCATGATTCTTTGTCTTCCCTAAACCCTGCCTTCTTAAGACCTTCTGTTGGACCCAGTCCAGTTTCTGCTGGATCCAGACACAGAGAGAAAGCGGTGAGTAAAACCGGCTCAGCTGGTAACTACATCTGGCTACTCATTGTCCCAGGAACCATTATCAGGGCTTCTTTGGGTCCCTCTTCTGACAACAGAAGTATTAAAAAATAAACTTAGGCACATAAAAATCTTAGAGTTTTCTTTTGAGCAGATATCAATTTAAGAATCGGGCAGGCTCCAAATCACAAGTCTTTTGGGGCTCATGCAAAGAGGCACGAGGAAAAGGCTTTTATAGGGTGAAAATGGAAGAAAGGCAAATTAAACATCTAATTGGTTAAGGTGGAGTATAAGCCTTATTCGAATCATTCCATTCCCTTGTTAGAGGTTAGTTGGTGGTTTCTGATTGGTTAAAGTTTTCTTTTACCATTCAAACCGAGTTGGGTTTTAGTTTGCTTATGTAGAAACCGAGTGCACTGAAGCTCCCGCAGTCTAATGGCCTCTCATTTAATTATTTTAACAAGAGAAATATTCTGTGTTCATATAATAGAGAATTTAACGTTAAGATGTCAATATTTACAACTTGACCTATAGATTAAATATAATCCCAGTCAAACTTTTAGCAAAATATGTTGTTGACATTTCCATACTGATTCAAAAGACCTAGGATCGTCAATACAATACCGGAAAGAACAAGGTTGGTGGATGATAGGGTTTCTGTCCCCATCTAAATCTCATCTTGGGTTCTTGCTCCCATAATCCCCATGAGTCATGGGAGGGACATGGTGAGAAGTAAATGAATCATGAGGTGTTTCTTTTCTGTGCTTTTCTCATGAAAATGAGTAAGTCTCACAAGATCTGATGGTTTTATAAAGGTCAGTTCCCCTGCACACGCTGTCTTTCCTGTCACCATGTAAGACATACCTTGCTCCTCCTTTGCCTTGAGTCATGATGGTGAGACCTCCCCAACTGTGTGGAACTGTAAGTCCATTAAACCTCTTTTTCTTCATAAATTACCCCATCTCGGATATTTATTTATAGCAATGTGAAAATGGGTTAATACAGTGAACTTACACTACCTTATATCAAGACTCACTAAAAAACTGCAATGATGAAGGCAGTGTGGGAGTGGTGAAGCAATAAATAAATAGATCAAACAGAGAAACAGAACAGAATGGATAGCTCAGAAAAGATCAAAGCAACTCCTCTCTATCAAAGAAGCAAAGGTAATATAATGGAGGAAGAATAGTCTTCTCAACAAATGGTGCTTGAACAATTAGATATCCCTATGCAAAAGAGAAAGAGAAGGAGAGGTAGAGAGGAGAAGAGGAGGCAATGAAGTGGGGGAAAAGAGGGAGGGAGGGAGAGAGAGAGAGAGAGAGAGAGAGATGGCCTACGATGAGGGAGTGATTAAACAAACTGTGGTTCATCCGTATCCTGGAATACTGCCCAACAATAAGAAGGAAAGAGCTATTGATAAATGCAACAACCTGGATGAATCCCCAGAAAGTTATGCTGACTGAAAAAAGCCAGTCTAATAAGGATATATACATTCTATTTATATGGCATTCCTAAAAGGACAAAATTGTAGAAATGGAGAATAAATCACTTATACAGGGGTTAAGACGGAGGTGGAGGTGTGAGGGAAGAGAGAGTGGCTCTGAAAGGGTAACATGAGAAGTCCTCCTGATAATGGAAATGTTATGCATCAGTGTCAATAACCTGGTTGTGATATTGCACTATGGTTTTACAAAGATGTTACTATTGAGGAAAATAGAGTAAAAGATCTGGGTATCTCTCTGCATTATTATTATTATTTTTGGAACTGTAGAGGAATCTACAATTACCTCAAACTAGAAAGTGTAACTAAAACATCCTTTTCGTGAAAGGGTTATTGATTCTAATAGAATTAAATCTATCGACTTTGAAAAATTAAAGGGGAGGTAAGGCAAGATTTCTGAGCCAGCAGGAAACCAAAACTAACTCTTGAGCACTGGAAACATGATAGGAAATTCTTACTTAAACTAAGTAATTGTCTCAGTCCATTCATGCTGCTATAATAAAATACCTTATGCTGGGTGATTTATAAACAATAGAAATTTATTACTTACAGTTTTAGGGGCTGGAAGACCTCAAAAGATTTACTATATCCTGAGGACCCAGTTTGTGCTTTCAAGATAGCACCTTGTTGCTCAGCCTTCACATGGCAGAAGAGACAAACGCTGTGTCCTCCCATGGTGGAAGGAGCAAGGCAGTTTCTTTCAACCTCTTTTATAAGGGTGCTAATTCCATTCATGAGGGCAGGGCCCTTGAGGCTTAATCACCTCCTCAAAGGCCTCATCTGTTAATCACCAGAGTGGGGATTAGGCTTCAGCATTAATTTTGGAAGAACACATTCCCACCATAACAGTAATTTTGAGGCTTAGAATCAGAAGGTAAACTGTCAGCCAGTTCCTAGGAAAATCGTAGGCAGTGATTTGGGGAAGAGGGTCTAAATCACTAGAGTTACTGAGACTCATAGAGGTAATTATGACTCCCTTGCCTGTCAGCAAATTTTATCTCAGACTTACGTGTAGAGAACAAGTCTATAGAAAATATTTAACTAGCCCCAATTAAAGACATGGGGTCATGATGATTAATTTAGACAGGTGTGTGTGTGACACATAAAAGTCTTTGATAAATGGACCGCCTATCCATCAATTTGTCGTTCATGTAGCTATTCATGTAAATGTATGCTCATTTATGTGGGCATATGGCATGATGGTAAAAATTTTTAAAAAGTGTGCTCTTGCGATAGTTTGATGAGAATGATGGTTTCCAGTTTCAAGGACAAAAAACCAAACACCACATGTTCTCACTCATAGGTGGGAATTGAACAATGAGAACACTTGGACACAGGAAGGGGAACATCACACACCGGGGCCTGTTGTGGGGTGGGGGGAGGGGGGAGGGGAGAGGGGGGAGGGATAGCATTAGGAGATATACCTAATGTAAATGATGAGTTAATGGGTGCAGCACACCAACATGGCACATGTGTACATATGTAACAAACCTGCACATTGTGCACATGTACCCTAGAACTTAAAGTATAATAAAAAGAAAAAGAAAAAAAAGAATAAAATTTTGTTTTGTATTAAAAAAAAGTGTGCTCATTTCTCTACCTATTCATCTTCTTTCCACCTCCCTCTCTCTTTTCTTTATTTTCTTTTGTTTACTTCTTTCATGTCAATAGGTTAGTAAGCGCCAACTTACTAGACTGAGCACAAGCTAGAGATTTGTTGATTTCTAGTCTCTTCTAGTCCTCTTTTAAGAAAAATTTCAGATGGCTTTGGGACAATTTATCTACTCCAGAATGATAGAAAAATAAACCGGGATGGAGGGAGCATCAAGGTCAGGCAGTGTTGTTCTCCTTTCTAAATGAAACACTTGACAAACTGAGCAAAGACAGTCATTTATTTTTATTAAAGTGTCTGCCTACAGCAGAGGCAAGAGTAAAAAGAAGCTAGGTTATGTATGCTTCTCTGGAAACCTAAATCTTCTGCATTAATCTATAATGCTCCCACATGGCTGGATGGTCCGACAGCATTTCAGAGACTTCTGGCAGAGAGCAATAAGTTCTTCATTTTTCCCGCAATTGTTCTTGCATGTCCCTTTAAGTTTGTTGCATTTCTCATCAAAAAATGCATTCTTGGCTACACGAGGGAAGGAGCCATTTGGATTAATTCCCTTTTCAGACATGTGTGTTTACCAGATACGGTTGTATGACTACTTGGTGAAGATTTTTTCACAAGCTGTCATAGTGCCATATCCTACCGGTAGATGAGATGGTAGGGGACCTGATTTTTATCTGATATTTCAGTCTCATAGTCACACAGGGTGAAATACCGGAAAGAATACATTTGTCTTCCAGCATTTGAGACCAAGCTGTGTAGGAGCTTTGGGAAACGTCCCTAAGCTATGGTTCTTTAATCGAAATCTGTTGGGGATAATTATCAACTTGTTCCCATAAACACTCCCAGAGGCTGCTAATTTTCCTAGTGCACTCTCAGAGGCTGCTACTTGGTGAGAGTAGAGCAAGAGCTGAGACTGAGGAGATAGCTCCAGACCAGAGCAAAGGAAGGGATAAAGGTATAAAAAGAGAATGAGTTTACTGTGGTAGATAGAAACTTGCTTGGAAGGCTCAGCCTGATTTCTCCTCCATATTCACCAAAGCAACGACTGCGGAAAACTTGTGCTTTAGAGAAGGAGGGTGCAGCATGTTGGGAATGTTTTTCTAAGATTTTCTCAGTTCATTTTGTGGAGAATTCCAGTTCCCACCTTAGGGCTTTATCAGTAGCAGTCCCAAGAGCAGCCTGCTTCAAGTTAAGGACAGACAGCACGTCTTATCAGGATCAACATTTTAGAGCTGCCCAATTTGTGTATATATAATGAAGGCATCAGATGTACAGAGATTGCATTTAATGTCTATACTATAATGTATATACATTTAATGTCAACATATAAAGGTGCCTAATTCAAATCTACATAAAACTTACAGCCAGGTGGATTAGTGCCAGCATATGCACTAATGATTATCCAGGATCAGCACATCAGTTCATAAGTGAAAATACTCCACTATTTCAAAGCTCGATGAACTCTGGCTCTCACTGGCAGGGGTCTATGTTCTCTCTGCCCTACTGTAAGGCAGATACTAATATAATACTATACTATAGACTATAGTGTGGTATTCAGATAAAATCTTTTTGGTTTAGTATAGTATCATAGTATAGATTAGTATATACTATAAAAATACTAGTATTATAGTATATACTGGTATAATAGTGTATACTATAGTATTATACTAGTATATATACTATACTATATACTAGTGTGTTATAGTAGTATATATACTATATACCAGTGTATTATACTAGTATACTATACTATATACTAGTGTATTATACTAGTATGTACACTATACTATGTACTAGTATATAATACTACTAGTAATAATATAGTATATATACTATATTATCATACCAGTATATATACTATACTATATACTAGAGTATTATACTAGTATATATACTATATACTAGAGTATTATAATAGTATATATACTATACTATATATTAGTGTATTATACTAGTATATACACTATACTATATACTAGTGTATTATACTAGTATATACACTATACTATATACTAGTGTATTATACTAGTATAATACACTATACTATATGCTAGAGTATTATACTAGTATATACACTATACTGTATACTAGTGTATGTACTAGTATATACACTATACTATATACTAGTGTATTATACTAGTATATACACTATACTATATACTTGTGTATTATACTAGTATATACACTATACTATATACTAGAGTATTATACTAGTATGTATACTATGCTATATACTAGAGTATTATACTAGTATGTATACTATGCTATATACTAGAGTATTATACTAGTATATATACTATATTACATACTAGTATATAATACTACTAGTAATAATATACTAGTATAATATAGTATCTGGCCAGGTGCAGTGTCTCACACCTATAATCCCAGCACTTTGGGAGGCTGAGGAGGGTGGATCACGAGGTCAGGAGTTCGAGACCAGGCTGACCAACACGGTGAAACCCCGTCTCTACTAAAAATACAAAAAATTAGCCAGGCAAGGTGGCACATGCCTGTAATCCCAGCTACTCAGGAGGCTGAGGCAGGAGAATCGCATGAACCCCGGTGGCAGAGGTTGCAGTGAGCTGAGATTGTGAAACTGCACTCCAGCCCGGGGAACAGAGTGAGACTCTATCTCAAAAAAAAAAAAAAATATGTATATATATATATAAAATATATACTAGTACAATACTATATAGTATATAATACTAGTACAATACCATACTGTAACATCAGTAAATAATTATAGTATATACTATGCTATACTATAATACTAAACTAAACCAAAAAGATTTTCTCTAATACTATTGTATTATAGTATTATACTCTAGTATATCTAATAGGTAATTATTAGATTATCTAATAATTATATAACAAGCATTATGTAATTATAGATAAGTATCTGTAATTACATAATAATTATAGTAACTAATTATACTTTTATAATTATAGTATTATCTAACAGATAATTTTATAGTATATAACATCTTTTTTTTGACTTATTATATAATAAGTATGAGTGATCTGAAAAAGATACCTCTGGCCAGTTTCGAACGTGCATATCAAAACCAGTGGCCTGAATACGGCATAGGTCACTGTGGGTCCTAGATCCTCATGTTTTGACACAGAATCTACTCTCACAGGCTTGTCACAAAACAGACCAGAGCTATGAGCAGCTGATGTGAAAAGTTGAGCATCATACCTGCGATCGTATATCACTGGTATCTGGCACAAATTGGGAGTTACTGTGGGCTCTGAGAATCCCTTTCTTCAGCTCTCTGGAGGCTCACATGAGCCTGGTCTTAAACCTTAATTTTGAAGAGGATACAATTGGAGCCACTGGAGATTCCCAGGAGCAGGAGAAAATGAAGAGAGTTTTGATATGGGAAGGGTGTCTTTAATGCCTCTTACTGTGGCAAGACAGTTGGGCTCCTACCCTGGCTTTGTTTTGGTTATCTATAAGACTCTGAGAAGCACTGAGCCCATCTGAGGCACAATTTCTGCATCTGTAATAAAATTTGTAAAATGGACCTTCAAACCCAAAAAGATTTTCTCTAACTTCCATTAAATTAGGGGTAAGACAGAGTTTTCCGTAAAGGCGCTGGCACTGGAAGACTAGATGCATTTTATGTGAAGCTCTCATCACAGTACTTGGCTTGATGATATGTGATCAAGAAATGGCAGTCCAAGTTACGCTGCTTTACCTGTTGCCATGACTGGCATGAGTGCATAGGTGTCTCTAAGCTCAGATCCTTACCTGTCCCTTCTCCTTACCTGTCTCAATCTCTACCATAACTACATTTTAAAAGGTTCATAGACTGCTATCCTTGTTTTTAATTTTTTCTCAATTTTTGTTTTTGTTAGTGAGCATGAGATGGGATGCCAAAAGGCATCTTTCCTGGCCTTCTTTTATTCTTTCAAACCTGTGACAGCCCCTCCTAGATAACAATGTAAAATGCAAAGGAATTACAGAAGAGGCGTTGGGGGATATCACCTCTTGTAGTAGATGGGTTGATCACGCCCAGGCATTCACTGAAGGGGACCCTGTCTGTGGGACACCACCTCCGATCACCTTCCCTGTAAAGATGCCCATTTTACCTGGGGTCAGAAAGAAGAGCACGGCAAAGAGAAAGAGGAAAGTCCTCATGACTGGGTGGGTCTTGAGAGATCAGCACCGTGTCCATGAGGAAAGAGCCGCAAACACCCACATTTATACATTTCTCCAGACCAAGTAACATCTTGATCAGTGAGGCTTAGCAGAAACGAGAGGATTTCCATGCTCTGCTGCACAGAGCCCACCCAACCTCAGTGGGTGTCACTCAGTCTACAGCTCATCATATTTCTGATTCTGGAAAGTTTTGAAGAAGGAAAGTGGGGATGAAGGGAGGACAGAGTAGGGCAGACACAGAAAAAATAAAAAAATCTGGAGTCCAGTAGTTTGGTTTCTAATCCTGGCTGTGTTCCTGAACAGCTTTGGTTTACTCATATGTAAAATGGGAGTAATTATACAATATCTCAATGCTTCAGTTAAGAGCTGAGGAACCGTAGTGAGGTGGAATCTGAATTCCAGATTCAGTCTTTTTGAGCTTTGTAAACTTGGCAAAGGGCTTGACCTAAGCATATATTTGTTAAAAAATGTGAATCTTGCTGTATGCTGCACGCTTTTCGTGCTTGGTCCTGCCATGCTGCTCACCTGTACCATGGCACTGTTGGCGCAGCAAGGGGCTGGTAACCATCATGCCTTGCCCTAGACACCTGGGCTCAAGCAATCTACCTGCCTTAGGCTCCCAAAAGCTACGATAATAGACATAAGCCACCCATCTGGGCCAATATTCATGTCCTTAATGAATTTAAAATATGCAGTAATTATGGCTTTGGTGCGTGAGGTGATATCTTACAGGAAAGGGGACTCAGAGCTAACTTGACAAAATGATTGCTACCCCTCCTTTTCTCCCTGTGATACTTGTAGAGAATAAAAATGAAAGCTAGAAAAGTGAGAGTCCACATTTATTGAGTTCTTACATGGTACCAGGCCTCCTTCCAAGCATTCCACATATTCAAAACACTTTTGCATTATAATCATACTAGATTCTTACAACACCTTTAGAGGCAGGCAGAATTTGCAAGTGGGTTCTTATTTTCTCCCAGAAAACAGAAGCTGGAAGAGATGAAAGGGGTCACTATCTTCTGGCCCCTGCATTAGTATGGTGGAAACTCACATGGCCCCTGCTCTTTCAACCTCTAGCCTGGTGTTCTTTCCACTACACCAGTTAGACTCCCCAAAATAAAAGGCTTTCTGGATGCCAAGGGTTATTATCCATGATATCATCCCTTTATCCTGGGAAATGGAGCATATAATTGTGTTTTATTGATTCACTTCACGGATCAAGAGCATCTCCCCATTACTTTTAAATAAAAATGAGCCTCTCATTTGGGTCTTCTCAAGGAAATCCCAATCTCTATTCCGAAGAGTCTTCCCTAAAAGATGGCCCTGATCAGGAAGACATTTTATTTTCTATTTGCTATGTTCTTCATTTTGGTTCAACTGCCATCAGGTAAGTAAAAATGGATGGGATTTTGATTGGGCAGATTATAAAGCCTGTTGATTCTTCCATGTTTGACCTTAATGGTCAAGCTCTCATGGCACCTGTCATGGGAATTTCTTAGACCTACAGTGACATTTACTAAGAGCAAACAGCATATAGTGTATTTTTTTTTTTTGTAATTTGTTTTTGCTGGTTACCTGGAATGCTGGCCTTGAGAAACAGAATAAAGATTGCAACTCTGTGATCTACTGTCTCCTGTTATGCTATGTCACATGTGAAGTTGGGAGTGTTTTATACAGTGTTAATTCCTGTGTTGATTTTAATTTTCAAAATGTATTTTGTTTTGAATTTAGGGTGCCAGGCAGGACTTGATTTTTCCCAACCATTTCCATCAGGTAAGTTAAATCTCTTGTATATAATTATTTTTTCTCTTAGGAGCTCTGGCGCTGTTAGCTCTCTCTGATGTCTGGAGGCAAAGAGGGGACAGAGATAGTGGCAGAAATAGAATTGTCTGAAAAATCAGTTCACTAACTTATCTCCTTCTCTTTCTCTTGTTCCAAGTATAATATTTGGATATTTTTGATTTCACAGAAAAATATCTTTGTGACTGGACTGTAATTTGGCCATAGAGATTTGGACTCAGTGGCTTTTCCCATTAGCTGTTGGTGCTCACTAAACCAAGTTCTTAGATTTATTCTTGTACCAGCCAATTAGCACTGCTCTGTGAACACGCCTGCCCATCTCTTGCAAGCTCTGCTGCTAAGTCTGGTAATAATATATGTCACAAATGCATGAGGTTAGTTGAAGGAAGCTCAAATTAAAGAGTGAGGTTGCCTCAGTGAAAACTCAGCACCATTGCAGAAAAGCTATTCATAACGAATAGCCCCCAGATCTTTTCTTTTTCTTTGAAGTCATCTTATACAGAAAGAAAGGACATTGTAAACAAAACTAAAAGAAATATTGTAGACAAAGTTGAAATGGTTTTAGACAGAATTTCAAAGTGAGAAATATGAAGGTTGCTACTAGTCCTTGAGTGTTTGCTCTGTACCAGGCATCCTGCTAAAAACTTTACATGGACTTTGTCATGTAATCCTCAAAACAGTCCTATGTGGTAGGTATTATTATAATGAAAATATTTACATATAATATTCCATTTGATCCCTAAACTGATTTAAAAATGTAGTCAGGTGCTTCTAGAATGGCCACTGGACAAATGAGAATATGGACCTTAACCTGCCGGCTACTAGGCCCAAACTAGAGTTGATCTTCAAGGATCTTTAAAAAACCACAATATACCCCTCCCATTTTTTGTCTAGTAAACTTCACAGTCATATCAGGTATGTATTTTTATAGTTCTGTAATATGTATGTCTCTTTGTCTGTCTGTGGTTTACTTTTGATCCCTGCCAGATTATAAACACTTGGAGAGTAGGAATTGCGATGATCTGTTGCATAAAAATTAACTCTCCCCAACTCCCTACTGCAAAAAGCAGAAACTATTTTTGAAAAATCTGGGCTGATTCTTGAAAATATTCTTTGTAATCATACGTACGAACTGTCCCTTTTTTTTTGGTGGTCTTTGACATGTTCCCCATTTCTAGACATTTCCTGGAAAGCTCCCTCAGCAGCTCTTTCTTGGCACAGGTGAGTTTGCTGTCTGTGAGTCGTGCAAGCTTGGTCGGGGAAAATGCAGGAAGGAGTGCTTGGAGAATGAGAAGCCCGATGGAAATTGCAGGCTGAACTTTCTCTGCTGCAGACAGAGGATCTGACAAACCAGACCAGCACACTTCTGGCCTTAGAAGCAGACCTGGATATTCAAAGAAGTTCAAGAGAAGTTATGTGGCTTATCCAAATCACACAGTGAGTGAGTCTCAGAATCATTCTCATTTCTTTCTCCCTTTGTTACGTTTTATTGCTTATTTTTTAAAGATGACTTTTTTTCTTTTTTTTTTTTTTGAGAAGGAGTCTCACTCTGTCGCCCAGGCTGGAGTGCAGTGGCTCGATCTTGGCTCACTGCAACCTCCACCTCCCGGGTTCAAGCAATTCTCCTGCTTCAGCCTCCCAAGTAGCTGGGACTACAGGCGCATACCGCCATGCCTGGCTAATTTTTGTATTTTTACTAGAGATGAGGTTTCACCATGTTGGCAAGGCTGGTCTCGATCTCCTGACCTCAGGTGATCTGCTCGCCTTGGCCTCCAAAAGTGCTGGGATTATAGGCATGAGCCACCATGCTGGGCGAGATGACCTTTAAAAAACATCAAGACATGAGTGTGTACCTAGTATCTGCTCAATCAGATACCACTACTATGTATATGTAGAGTACCTTACAATTTATGAAGTATTTTCCATACTTCTCTCATATGACTCATGATTACCTTATGAGGTAGGTTTTATTACTGCCATTTATATTTGAAAATATTGAGGCTCAAGAGGCTGTTAATTCTTCAGAGCCATAGCTAGGATCCAGTAACTGCTGTGCACATTGCTGTCATGTTTTATGTATCCATCTATATGTACTAACTATGTTAATGGAATAATAATTCTATCAAATATAATACATTATTTTTATATTCACATTATTTCTTGGTTTGTCTAAATATTGTCATTCATTGATTCTAGTACTTATGGTGTATTTACCTGTGAAAGAAAATGATTAGAGATTAACTTAAAATGTTCAACACAGAATATGCATAAATGGTTGACTGTCTAATTTTGCCTTGTGAAATAAAATCCAGCTTCACAAAATAAAGGCCAAAATTACCAGCCCTATGACCAGTGACTTGAACTTGGTTACTTAGTTTTAACGTATGAGATTAAACAATGTTTTGTTTAACATTTGGGCCTATTATTTGTCTCTTTGTGCTCAAATCTGTTCCTTGTTTTTTTCTGCTTTGCTGAGTAAAATGGGAACTATTAGTTGCAAACTACATTTTCCAGGCTTCCTGACTTCTGGCTAGTTTTGGTCAATGTGTCTCCTAGGAGAATGGGAGATTGAAGAAGGAAGGACAATGTGAATTTCTCCCCGACTCCCTCTCTTTTCCAGCAGTGGCTTTTCATGCTCAGCAAGGCCGCTGCTTTTCTGTCTTCTGCACTCACCTGGCAGTCCCACCGCAAGTTTAGCTTCTGCCAGCCAGTGCTGCTCCCAGGCTCACACAAATCCTTCCATTTTTCCTCAAACCTTAGGGCAGTGGGAGATTTCTGCTGTGACTATCAGTAGGGTTGCCTCATTGCTCCCGCTTTGCATTGTCATCTTTTCCAACACTTTATCTGTACATATTAAATTCTTTCTATAGAACTATCCATTGGGGGAACCCTTTTAATGCTTGATTGGTTCAATTTTTAGATTCACTCTATTTACATATGATCCACTGTTTTCCAAAAGAGATTTGAAACACAGCCCTCAAGAAG
Source organism: Homo sapiens (assembly GCF_000001405.40). Lineage (NCBI taxonomy): Eukaryota > Metazoa > Chordata > Mammalia > Primates > Hominidae > Homo > Homo sapiens. The sequence goes on from NT_187570.1 coordinate 174,294, forward strand.
CCTAGAGTGTTTCCTTCATTTACACAGGAATTACCCCAGGGAAGTGGGAAGTGGGGTATTTGGTCTTAAGAGTCCAGTTCACAGTAATTTTCTGCTGGCAGATGGTCTTCCTCCCCAGGTCTCCACAGTGCAAATGCAGCTGCTAGCTTACAGAACACCATGAAACTGGAATACTACTTACTCATTCCAAATACTGCATTGCTTTATCTTAAAAAAATGCTCTGGAACCTAGTTGAAGTTTCTTTTAATGAAAGATTCATGTGAGTGTCTCAGAGTCATACAAAGTGGTAGACCAGTAGCTGTGCCCTGATATTACCTCACTAATGACCTCATGTAGCATCCAGATGGCAGCTGCAGAGGACACCTCCCACAGGTGCTCACCTAGTCACAAATTGTTCCCTTTCATGGCAGGCCAAGTCTCACTAACGCAAGACTCCATAACAACTGCTTTAGTACCCACTGAGGGGTTAAGTTAAATATTAAAAGCTTAAAAAGCCAGTGCCCTGATATAAAGGCTTGAATGTAACAAAAGCCCACTAAGAGTTTTGCTTAGGCCTTTCCTGGGCCTTAAAGCATGACAAACTAATGAAGGAGTTCTTAACAGGACCCGTTTAGGATTAAACAAGTTTATAGGAGGTCTGAAGAAACTCCCCAAATATCAGTGATTTAGCAGGAGACAAGGTGAGGGTAATAACCCCAGCACCTGGACCCATTTAGATTAAGTACATTTACTGAGGCTCCAGAGGAAGGTCTTCGGGACTCAGACCTTAGTTATAGATTAAAAGAAGTTAATAACTTATGTCTTTAGATGAATGCACACTTACACATAAACATATAGCTTGGAAGGTATATAAGCTCTGGAAAACTTTGTAATTTTAAGTTGGTCTGGCGATAATTTCCAGGACTTCTCCCTATAACTGGTTGCAGAAATAAAAACTCTCTTCCTCCCGAGTTTATTTGCATCTTGTTATTGGGCTGTGAGAAATAGCAGCCCAACTCTCCGTTTGGTCCAGGAACACTTTCTTTACACTTTAGATTCATGGAAACAAAGAGACTGAAAGTAAAAGGATGGAAAGAGATTTGCCATACAAACAATAACCAAAAGAGAGCTGTAGTGGCTATACCAATAGTGTACAAAACAAACTTTAAGACAAAATTGGTACTAAAGATGAAGAAGGGCATTTTGTAATGTTAGCAAGTTAATCTATCACGATAATATAACAAGTATAAAAACATGCACCTAACAACAGAGTGCCAAAATACATGAAGAGAAAATTGACAGAATTGAAGGGAGAAATAGAGAAGTCAACAGTAATAGCAGGAGACTTTAATATACCACTTTTAATAATAGACAAAACAACTAGAAAAAAGATTAGCAAGGAAATACAAGATTTGAATAGCACTGTAACACAATGACCTCAAAGCGTGGAACACTGCACCAATTACAGCAAAATACACATTCTTCTTCTGTTCACATGAAATATTCTTTAGAATAGACTGTATGTTAGATTTAAATACAAGCTCCTCAATACATTTAAAAGGATAGGAATCATACAAAGTATGTTCTCTGAACAAAATGGGATAATAGAAAGAAATTTGGGAAAGTCACAACTATGTGGAAATTAAACAGCATAAATGTGAATAAATGATGGGTCAAAGCAGAAAACATAAGGGAATGTAGAAAATATTTTAAAGGGAGCCCCCAAACACTTTAAAATATACAACACAACAGCAACTTACAAAAACTGTGAGATGCAGCTAAAACAATGCTTACAGGAAAATGTATGGTTGTAAATGCCTGTATTTATAAAGAAGATAGATTTAAAATCAGTAAATTATCTTCCATCTCAAGAAAATTAAGGAAGAGCCAACTAAACCCAAAGCAAGCACAAGGAAGAAAATAATAAATATTAGCACGGAAATAAATGAAATAGAGACTAAGAAAACAATAGAATAAATCAACACAACAAAAATTTATTTTTTGAAATGATCAACAAAATTGGCAAGCCTCTAACTAGACTGACTAAGAAAAAAAGAGAATACTCATATTACTAAAATCATGAGTGAAAGAGAAGTTTTACAAAAGATCTTACAAAAGTATTTTTTAATATTATTAAGGAATACTATAAACAATTTTATGGCAACAATTTTGATAATCTAGATGAATAAATGCCTAGAAATGCATACATATCAAACCTAATTCAAGAAGAAATAGAAAGTCTAAAATGGACCTATAACAAATAAAGTGCATGAATTGACAGTAATAACACTAACAAAAATCCCACATAGTAAAACCCAGGGCCAAATGGCTCCACTGGAACATTGTAAAGATGTTACTCTATTTTATTTTGCCTCGATTTTTTTTTCAGACAGGGTCTCACTCTGAAGCTCAGGCTGCAGTGCAGTGGTATGATCTCGGCTCACCCCATCCTCTGCCTCCGGGGCTCAAGTGATCCTCCCACCTCAGCCTCCTGAGTGGCTGGGACCACAGGTGCCTGCCACCATGTCCAGTTAATTTTCGTATGTTTTGTAGAGATAGGGGTCTCATTATGTTGCCCAGGCTAGTTTCGAACTAAACTCCTGGCTCAAGTGATCTGCCCACCTTGGCCTCCCAAAGTGCTGGGATTACAGGCGTGAACCACCACACCTGTCCTGGCTTGCATATTTTTTGATGAGAAGTTTGCTGCAGTTATTCTGTCATCTTTCTACAGGCAGGAGGCATGTATGCCTTCTCTGTTGACAAAGGTAGAGGATGTTCTTTATTTTTCTTTTTTAATGTGCTCCCTTCTCCTCGTTCTCCTAGCTTTAATATTTTGTTTTGCATTTTTTTAGATTGTTCATTCACCAGTGCCGTACAAACAACTGTTGTTCTTCCCTCAGTTTCTTAATTAAGAAATTAAGACTTTCTTTTCCATAAAAGAGAAAGATTCTTGCAAGCTTTCGTTCTTTCTCACAGTGGCTACTGTTCCCCTCAGCCGACTTACATCATGAAATACTCTAATCTTTTTTGTAAGCACCTGCTGAGTCTATGGAGAAGACATTAGAAGTTGCTGTGAACTTCTCTTTTGTCTGTGACCCCAGACATTTATATTGTTTCTCTAGTTTATGCTTGCTCTTAGCAATTCTCTACAGACTTTACCTGAAATCTTTTAAATCATATTCTGGGGGTAATCTGCTTCAGGTAAGCAAGCACTCATGGTCTTTATTTTTTGGAGGTTCCTGTCTTTTCTTATATTTCTAGGTAGGTGGCTGATTTGTGACCTTAGCTTTCCAATGAGTTCAAGAAACTGAATATTTGCAGTCTGCCGTGTGTTTTGCTGTGTACTTGTTTCATGTGGGATGATTTTCTTTACGTATTTCTACATCTTAAGCAGAAGCCATTCTTCATTTAATAACACACTTACTTTCTTTAAGACATACAGAAATACTTATATTTTCTGCTAATTCTTGTGCCAATTTTGGTAAGTTAAATTTTTGAGAGAATTCTTTTATTTTATGTAAGTTGTGAAATGTTTTGGCATATACCTGTTGACAACATTTTTATATTAGTTTAATGTTTCTTGGATCTGTAGTGATAACTTCTTTTTCACTTATTCTGCATACTTGGGCTTACATTGTTCCCTTTTCTAAGGTTCTTAGAGCATAATTTTAAGTCATAGATTTAAACATTTCTTCTTTTCTACAATAAGTATTTGGATACAAATTTCTTTCGAAGTCATTGTTTTGTTGTGCTCCACAAAATTCGATATACAGAAATGCTTTCCAATTATTCTCATTATTTATTCTTTGATACAAACACAATCTAGAATGATGTTGCTTTATCTCCACATATTTGAAAATATCCTAAATAGCTTATTTTATAGATTGCCAATTTAATCCCCTTGTGGTGAGAAATACACTCTGAAGTATTTAAATGTGCTTAAACACATCAATATTTGTTTTATGGCCTAGCATATGGTTCATTTTTATGAATGTATCATATGTACTTGAAAAAAATGTGTATTTTGCAGTTGTCTTATGATGTGTTCTATAAATATCAATGCAGTCAGTGGAATGGTGGTATTGTTCAGATCATGCATGACTTTGCTAATTTTTCCCTGTGTTCTATCAGTTGCTGAGAGAGTGGTGTAAAAATTTTCTACTATGAATATAGAAGTGTCTATTTCTCCCTTTAATTAAATCAAATAATATAAAAACATGTTAATGGTTTTTATGTATTTTCAATGGATTAACCCTTTTCTCCTTAAGCAACAGCACTCCATGCAATACAGCGAGACCCTGTCAAAAAAAAAAAAAAAAAAAAAAAACCTGCACACGTACTCCTGAATTTAAAATTAAAGGTTTTTGTGTGTTTGTTTTAATTATTATTTTAAGAATAGGTTTTATGTAAAATCATGTACTAGGAAAAGCGTGGTGGCTATATATCTTATAGACATGGTAATACTTGAGATAAGACTTGAAGGAAAAATGAGAGAAGTCTAAGCAGAGACACAGAATAGAATATTCCAGGCAGAAAGGCAGGGTTCTCTGCGTTTGTCTCCCACAAATGTGGTTTAGTTAAAATCTGATCCATCAGCCCACACATTAGTCAGTGGAGCATGGAAAATAGTATGTTCCCAATGAACATTACAAACCGAGGATGACTTCCAGTCCCTTCAGGGCAGTAGAACATATTTTAATCAATGCCCCTTGATAAAAGAGCTTGATTCCAGCTACTGCACTTCCTTCATCAGCTCTCCACTGATGCCTGGAGCCATGAAAATATTTGTCTTTATTTTGGCTGCTCTCATTCTTCTTGCTCAAATTTTCCAAGGTAAGAGGGAAATTCTTCTAGAAGTAGAGATGACAGTCTGCTCAGGATCTGTCTTTTGAGATGAAAGCTCAACTTTTACAAAGTTGAAGGTTCCAAGGCAAACCAGTCACTGAAAATCTTTTCCTGAGCTCCGACACAAAACAATGGGACCACATTGACCGGGACCATCTCCATCCATAATAGTTTCTAGTCAACTTCCCTAACAGCTCTGCCAAGGAATTCAGACATCTTTGTACTTTTAGATCTCTTTCCTCCTTTGTAATCTGCAACGCAGGTTCAGCATATTCTTTTTTTTTTTTTTTTTTTTTTTTTTTGAGACGGAGTCTCGCGCTGTCGCCCAGGCTGGAGTGCAGTGGTGCGATCTTGGCTCACTGCAAGCTCTGCCTCCCAGGTTCATGCCATTCTCCTGCCTCAGCCTCCCGAGTAGCTGGGACTACACGCACCCGCCACCACGCCTGGCTAATTTTTTTGTATTTTTAGTAGAGACGGGGTTTCACCGTGTTAGCCAGGATGGTCTTGATGTCCTGACTTCGTGATCCGCCCTCCTCGGCCTCCCAGAGCCCTGGGATTACAGGCATGAGCCACCGCGCCTGGCCAGCATATTCTAAAGTGATTTCTTTAAAATGAAAAAAAAAAAAAAAAAAGAAAGAAAAGATTATCCAAGGAAATGCCAAACATATTTGTTAAGTTAGGGAAGTACAGCCTTTGTAGTCTAAATTAAACTAAAGTTATGTTACTAGATTCTTAGACAGCTAATTTTTTTTCATGTCTGAGTCGTCGGTCCAAATCTCTTATCCATACATTATTTTAGACTTTTTGGCTTTCACACACTGGTTGGAAATTATGCCATTAAAACCACTAAACTAACATCTTGCTTACTATTCTCTTAAGTCTTTGCGTCTTTGAGATTCTCTTTGCTTCATACAACCACGACTCTGTTCCTAAGAAATGTTTATGTCCATACCTCCTCAACTATCCTTCGTTCCTTCTGTTGTGAAGCTTTTCCTATTAGAGGTTCTCCATGCATCATGAAGCCCCCTGTCTGTTCCTTCATGGCTCCTGAATTTCTACATTCCTTTATTACACATTCTGTCCTCAGTAGTCCTAGAAAACCAATAGATATTGAATGTGTGCTAACCACTTGTAAGAAATTGTTCTGTCCACTATGATAAAGGTAGGTAAAACGAAGAGGTAAAAATATAAAGCATGGACATTGACCTTAATTTGCTTGAAGTTATTAGTCTATTCCTTCTATGTTGTTCGAAAATAGGTTGCTTGTAGTGGTAAATAAGCTTTCAATACATTTAACATGTATAAGTAAGTATATCAATGAGACAGGAAAATTCACAAATAACTTTAATATGAAACAGTTTTCACAAGTGCCATAAAAGATGCAAATTATAAAGAGAAGTCATAGATGTGGAAACTTGGTTCTAACTAGGAAATGCAGAAAGGCTTCCTGGGAAGTAGTATTTGTTTTGCACATTTGGAAATAGGCAAGACTAGAACTAAAGAACAGAGCCAGGGAACAATGTCCCCATGAAAGTTTCAGTGACTCCATGAAAGTCTCAGTTGTAAAATCAGTTCCCGATTTTCTGCCCTCAGCATCTTTTTGCAGATGTCAGACAATGCTCCAGAATAGATAAACTCATTTAAAATTGTCTTCTCCATCCACTTTAATCAGTACTCCAATTTATTCAGATCAGTCTATAGATGTGGATGCCTAATAGCTCCCTGTCCACAAAACTCATCTCAGATGTATTTGAATTACAATAATAAGCATAGTTTGGGCACAAATTAGAACCACCACCATCACCATAATCACATAGAATCTCAGAGTTAGAAGTGAATTTAATGATCAATATAAAAGGTGTAGGGGTGGGTTGCCCCTACCCACCTGTGGGTGTTTCTCGTAAGGTGGGACGAGAGATTTGGAAAAGAAAAAGACACAGAGACAAAGTATAGAGAAAGAAATAAGGGGACCCGGGGAACCAGCATTCAGCATATGGAGGATCCCGCCAGCCTCTGAGTTCCCTTAGTATTTATTGATCATCTGTGGGTGTTTCTCAAAGAGGGGGATGTGTCAGGGTCACAAGACAATTGTGGGGAGAGGGTCAGCAGACAAACACGTGAACAAAGGTCTTTGCATCATAGACAATGTAAAGGATTAAGTGCTGTGCTTTTGGATATGCATACACATAAACATCTCAGTGCTTTACAAAGCAGTATTGCTGCCCGCAGGTCCCACCTCCAGCCCTAAGGCGGTTTTTCCCTATCTCAGTAGATGGAGCATACAATCAGGTTTTATACCGAGACATTCCATTGCCCAGGGACAGGCAGGAGACAGATGCCTTCCTCTTGTCTCAACTGCAAGAGGCATTCCTTCCTCTTTTACTAATCCTCCTCAGCACAGACCCTTTACGGGTGTCGGGCTGGGGGACGGTCAGGTCTTTCCCTTCCCACGAGGCCATATTTCAGACTATCACATGGGGAGAAACCTTGGACAATACCTGGCTTTCCTAGGCAGAGGTCCCTGCGGCCTTCCGCAGTTTTTGTGTCCCTGGGTACTTGAGATTAGGGAGTGGTGATGACTCTTAAGGAGCATGCTGCCTTCAAGCATCTGTTTAACAAAGCACATCCTGCACCGCCCTTAATCCATTCAACCCTGAGTTGACACAGCACACGTTTCAGAGAGCACGGGGTTGGGGGTAAGGTCATAGATTAACAGAATCTCAAGGCAGAAGAATTTTTCTTAGCACATAACAAAATGGAGTCTCCCATGTCTACTTCTTTCTACACAGACACAGTAACAATCTGATCTCTCTTGCTTTTCCCCACATTTCCCCCTTTTCTTTTCGACAAAACCGCCATCGTCATCATGGCCCGTTCTCGATGGTCGCTGTCTCTTCGGAGCTGTTGAGTACACCTGCAGACTAACAACAGACAAAACAGGCACACAAGGATTAATATGAGATTTATAATTGTAGTACTTCCAATGGTCTTAACCCAAGTGACAGGGTTAAGATTTGCGAGGCCATCAGCAACTCCTGCAATTGCCTCAGTTCCTGGCACCAAATTTAAATGGGCTTTTGATGCTTCGAAAATTTGTTCTTTTAATTTGGAAATGTCTAAAGTGAGATTATCTTCTCTTCCCTGTAGATGGCGTCTAACCATGTCCCAGTGATGCTCAGAGTCATTATAAATTTGGGGTGTAATACAAAAATCTGACGTATTCCAGTCACACTGTAACTGGAAACGATGTTCTAAGCTCATGAGTCTGTCTCCCATCCAAATGACAGTTTGTCTAAGATCATTAATTTGATTTGCCAATTTTTGATCAATACTAGATTGTGAATTCCACAATCTTGTAGAATTCTTTTGCCCATCATTAACAAAGTTTACTGACTGAACAGAAGAGTGCAATGCAACTCCTGCTACAGCAGCCGTAGCTGTGACTGCAATTAATCCCATAATCACTGCAATTAAAGTAAAAATGAATCTTTTGGATCTATTTAAAACACCTTTTAATACTTCAGTCAAAATATGGACGGATGGTGAGGCCTCCCATGGTCGGTCCATGGACACAGGGATCCACACGCCCTCTCTTGCTCTCACCAGCAGAATACGGTGTTGCCAATTAAAAGTTGAATCAATGCAAGTAAGCAATCTACAATTTTCACAGGTTATAGTCTGGGAGTCTGGTTTAATAACTATATTTCCTACAACTAGCATATAAGGGGGCTTTACGCAACTTTGTAAAGGAAGTGTTAGACTGGAATTTAGGTCGACAGTATAAAATGGCTTACGATCTCTTGTTTCTAAAGTTTGATTTCCAGACCAAATTCTAATGTGGTGTGAGGCCACAGTAAGCCTCCATAATTCTGGATGTTCAGGACCAGAAACAGGACTTACTATTTTTGGTCTTGGGGTAGAGATTCTTTTTTCTCCCCATTCCCAAGGGTAGAAAGACTGCAATTTTTTATGCTTATGTTTGTCTAAACTTTCTGTTAAGTCGCTATCAACAGCTGGACTCACTTGTGCACTTGGACACGACTGAGTTTGTCCTGAGCAATTGTGGTAGAATTGACCTCGAGGTGCCCAATCTATAATAGTTCCAAATTCATTGTTTTGTAATATCACCGCACTATTGGCCACACATTCTTCCCAAACTAAAACTTCTGTATTTTTTGATTCTTTGGGAATTTCCTTGGGGCAAGGTTTCCCTTTAGGTCTAAATTTTAATGATCTTTGATAAGAAAAGTCTTGTAAATAATTTACCCGTGGCCTGAGTGACATCCCGCTTACCATGTGATAAGTGAATCTACTGATGGGACTGACAGTAGGTACTTCTACCAACCAATTTTGGACTGCAGGCATTAAACATCCTGGTGCTCTCCCTAGGCAAATAGGAGGATAACGATACCCAATGGAAATATTTATCATCATCCCTTCTTCCTCAGGTTTGGCAGGGCAGCGATCATCTATGGGGCCAGGTACCCATACACTATCATTAACATATACTTCTATAGGATTATCCATCCATGTGACTGCCCGAATTAAGGGCGGGAAAGGCACATAGGCCCAGTTGGTATAGTTAGCTACAGCTGCTCCTGCAGGCATAGGGAGACTTACCACCATTGATACAATCATCAAGGCTGCAAGCAGCATACTCTCTGGGGTTTGTGTCACCTTTGTGTTCTCTAGATATTTTGTAGCTAACTGCGTCAGCTTCTTTAGTTGTGCCCAAGTCGGCGGCTCTGCCTTCTTGGTGGATGGCAACTTCATCTGTTCTTCTGACGTCACCATTTTGTTCATCTTGTGAGTCAACGGTGCTCGATTGCGGTGTCTCCGTCTCCGCGGAGGTGCTTTTCTTTGCATCTCTGATGGGTTCATTGTAGAACTTCAAATGTCTAGTGGGTATCCAAACAGGAAGCTGATTTTCTCCTGGTGAAACACAAGCAAAACCTCTCCCCCACGTTATCACCTTCCCTATTTCCCATGTCTTATTTTTATTATCTTTCCACCAAATTAGTTTTCCTTCATGTGGGCTGTTCTTTTTACCAGTAAGATGTTGTTCTGCAGAAGTAGTAGTCTGATTTCTATAAATGTTTAAAAAATTTAAAGTATAGAGTGCTAGATTAAGTTGCATCTGAGGAGTGGTACACTCCTTACTGTCTCCCCCTTCTTTTTGTTTAACTAATTGAGTTTTGAGTGTTCTATTAGTTCTTTCAACTATGGCCTGTCCTTGGGAATTATAAGGAATTCCTGTTGTATGTGAAATTTTCCACTGACTTAAGAATTTTTGGAAAGCTTTACTACAATATCCTGGTCCATTGTCAGTTTTGATTTTTTCTGGAACTCCCATTACAGCAAAACAAGACAATAAATGTTTTTTAACATGGGAAGTACTTTCTCCTGTTTGGCAAGTTGCCCATATGAAATGTGAATAAGTATCAACTGTTACATGAACATATGATAATCTTCCAAATGAAGGTACATGCGTGACATCCATTTGCCATAATGCATTAGGACACAGACCTCTGGGATTAACTCCTGCCTCTTGAGTGGGCAGGTGTAAGACTTGACACTGGGTGCAATGTTGTACAATATCTTTTGCCTGTTTCCATGTGACATCAAATTTGTTTTTTAATCCTGCTGCATTTACATGAGTCAAAGCATGAAGTTCTTGTGCTTTTATGAGTGCAGATGATACCAGTAAGTCAGCTTGTTCATTTGCTTTAGTCAAAGGCCCTGGTAAATTAGTGTGTGCTCGAATATGAGTAATATAAAATGGGAAATTTCTTTTTCTTACAGTTTGTTGTAATAAATTGAATAGCTGGTTTAACTGATCATCCATGCTATATTTAATTAGAGCTGTCTCAACAACCCTTGTAGCCTGTACTACATATGCAGAATCTGATATAATATTGATAGGTTGGTCAAAATCTTGTAACACTGTAATGACTGCAACCAACTCTGCTCTTTGAGCTGATTGATATGGAGTTTTGATTACTCGTTCTTTCGGCCCTGTGTAAGCTGCTTTTCCATTGCTGGAACCATCAGTAAATACTGTTAGAGCATTTTCTAAAGGTTCACGTCTGGTAATTTTAGGTAGAATCCAAGTAGTCAGTTTTAAGAACTGGAAGATCTTTGTTTTTGGGTAATGATTATCAATAATTCCCACAAAATTAGCAAGACCAATCTGCCATGCACCAGAATTGATAAAGGCTTGTCTAACTTGTTCCTTGGTTAAAGGGACAACTATTTTGTCTGGGTCATTTCCACATAATTTTATTATTCGTAATCTTGTCTGACCGATTAATGTAGCTATTTGATCCAAGTACAGTGTAAAAGTCTTAACTGTACTGTGAGGAAGGAATGACCACTCCACAAGATCAGTATTTTGAATAATGATACCTGTTGGAGAATGTGCAGTGGCAAAAATCAAAAGTTGGAGTGGGGCTAAGGGATCTATTCTATTTATTTGTGCTGACTGAATTTTTTCTTCCACTAATTTAATTTCTTTTGTTGCCTCTGGGGTTAATATTCTTTTACTATTTAAGTCTGAGTCTCCTCTTAAGATAGAGAACAAATTTGACATGGCATAAGTAGGAATGCCTAGAGTTGGCTGAATCCAATTAATATCTCCTAGTAATTTTTGAAAATCATTTAGTGTTTTTAATGTGTCTTTTCTTATTTCTATTTTTTGTGGCTTAATTTTTCTATTTTCTATCTGCATCCCTAAATAATGAAAAGGAGTAGAGGTTTGGATCTTATCAGATGCTATTGCCAGTCCAGCACTGGCAACCTCTGCTTGCAGAAATGTATAACAGTCAATTAATTTATCTTTCGTTTCTGCAGCACATAAAATATCATCAATATAATGAATAATATAACAGTCTGAAAACTTTTTTCTAACTGGTTGAAGAGCTCGACCTACAAAAGTCTGACAAATAGTTGGACTATTAAGCATTCCCTGAGGTAACACTTTCCACTGAAACCTGGTGGCTGGTTCTTTATTATTTATGGCTGGTATAGTAAAGGCAAATTTTTCGCAATCCTGCTCTGCCAGAGGGATGGTAAAAAAGCAATCCTTTAGATCAATTATAATTAAAGGCCAATCTTTTGGGATCATGGCTGGAGAGGGCAACCCGGGTTGGAGAGGCCCCATGGGTTGAATTACGGCGTTTACAGCCCTTAAGTCAGTTAACATACGCCATTTGCCTGATTTCTTCTGAATTACAAACACAGGAGAATTCCAAGGTGAGAACGAAGGCTCAATATGACCCTTTTCTAACTGTTCATTTGCTAATAAATGTAAAGCCTCCAGTTTTTGTTTTGGTAGCGGCCACTGATTTACCCACACCAGTTTTTCTGTTTTCCAAGTTAATGGTATGGGTTTCGGAGGCTCTATAGTGGCCACCCCTAAAAAGGATACCCTATTCCTTCTCTTTTTTGATTTATTTTAGCCTCAAATGGAATTTTAATGCCATCTTCATTTTTCCCTAGTCCCTTTCCTGGTATATATCCCCTCTTGGTCATGATTTTTTGACTCGTGGGGCTATATAATGGAGCGGGCATGGTGATTTCCGCACCCCATTGTTGTAATAAATCTCGACCCCACAGATTAAGAGGAATTGAAGTAATCATTGGCTGAACAGTACTTTCTTGATTATCTGGCCCTAAGCAATGTAAAATCTCCATACTTTGATACACTTCTGAGGCTGTGCCTATGCCGACAAGTCCTATAACAGCCTTTTGTTTAGGCCAATTTTTTGGCCACTGATTTAAAGCAATGATAGAGACATCTGCTCCAGTGTCTACCAATCCTTCAAACTGTTTTCCTTGAATAATGGCCTTACACACAGGTCTGTTCTCTGAGACCTGACTTGCCCAATATGCAGCCTTTCCTGTTGGATCAGTGCTTCCAAGCCCTCCTATTCTTTTTATTTCACTATTTCCACCCTTAATATATGGCAGGAGTAATAATTGAGCAATCCTGTCTCTTGGACTGGCACTCCAAGGAATTGAAGAGCTAATAACCAATTGAATTTCGCCTTTATAGTCTGAATCAACCACACTAGTATGAATTTGAACTCCTTTTAGATTTAGACTTGATCTTCCCAAGATTAGTCCTACAGTCCCCTCAGGCAGTGGGCCATATACCCCTGTAGGGATTTTTTGTGGGGGCTCCCCTGGAAGCAGAGAGACTGCTTGTATAGTACATAAATCTACTGCTGCACTGCCGCTTGTGGCGGGGGACAATTGTTGTATTGTGGTAACTGGCTTATTCCCTGAAACACTTGGGACAGTGGGGGTTGTTGTCCTGAAAACCCTGAGGAACAAATGGCTGAATTGGGAATGCCCCAGTTTGTTGTGGGGCCTGAGGCTGGCCCCTTTGCTCGTTTCCCGACAATGGTTGCCCATTTTTATCAAATTTAGAACGACATTGACTAGCCCAATGTTTTCCTTTTTTACATCTTGGACATAAGTCAGGTGGCTCTCTACCTGTTGTAGTTGCTTGAATAGTTATATTCTGTTTGTTTAAGACTGGGCAATTCTTTTTTAAGTGACCAATTTGACCACAATTATAACATTTTCCTCCAAATGTTCTAACTTGTCCTCCTAAAACAACTCCTGTTATTGCTTGAGCCATAAGCATAGCTTTATGCATAGCTCCTCCGATTCCATCACAGGCTTTTACATATTCTGAGATTACATCTGATCCTGCAGGAACCTTTCCTTTTAATGGCTTAATGGCTGATTGACACTCAGGATTGGCGTTTTCATATGCCATCAACTCCACTATGACCTTACGGGCTTTTTCATCGGCAATTGACTTTTGAGCAACATCTTGGAGCCTTGCCACAAAATCAGGATAGGGCTCTTTTGAACCTTGTCTTACTGTATTAAATGAGGGGCAGGTACTTCCTGGGTCTTGGATTTTTTCCCAGGCTCTAAGGCAGATAGCTCTAACTTGCTCAATGGCCTCATTTTGCATTAATGCTTGTTGACTAATAGTACTCCAATTTTGACCTATTCCTAATAGTTGATCTGCATCTATGTTAACTGGAGGATTGGCAGCCCTATTTCTTCGGACCTGTTCTTGTACCCCATCAATCCACCAAGTCTTAAATTGTAAAAATTGAGAGGGTGAGAGAGACGATTTTGCCAGAATCTCCCAATCATAAGGAATGAGTCTATGTCCATGAGCAATGGAATCTAATAATGTCCTCATATAAGGGGAGTTGGGTCCATACTGTTTTACTCCCTCTTTCATATCTTTTAGCATTTTTATCGAAAAAGACTTGTATCTGGCCTCAACTGTGGGAGGCTCTCCCTCTTGGGCTCCTTCTCCAGGTGGCATCGGTTCTAACGTTACTGGGAATTGCCATGCCTCAGTATCTCCTTCCTTTCTTGATTTATCAATAATTTCATGTAATTCACTACCCTGTCTACTAGGTGGTGCCGTAGGATTAAGTCTCCTAGTGGGCGGCTGAGGGTATGGCTCCCTGCCCTGTGGTGCTGGGGGCATTCCTGGATATCCATACTGACTTTCTGGGGGTGGCCGATACTGAAGTTCAGCCGGAGGCCAGTATTGATAGGCTACTGGCGGTTGGGTCTTATTTTCTTTAACCTGCTTTTGAGGTTGTAATGTTACGGGCACCTGACCTGCTGGAAGAGGACTTGTGCCTCGTGGTTTAGACTCTGATGGCCCCACTAATTCTGGACCTTTTCCTTCTAATTTTAACGTTTCAGGATATATCACCTCCTGTAATTGATTATAGTCAACATTTTGCGTTGACTGAGCCATTACCGGCTCTGCTACATATTCGCAATGTAAACTTTCCGTTTCTTTCTGGGATTTTTTCCTTGTGTTTTCATTACAATCTATTAAACAGCTTCCAGGGGCATCAGAAACTGAAATGCTATCTTCTTCTGTTTGAAATGGTTCTAAAGCTGCTTTAATAATGGCCCAATCATTCCATACTGTAAGTGGAATGATATTACCCTTCCTACCTGCTTGTTTTAGTTCCTTACCAATTCTTTTCCAATCTTTTAGATCTAAAGTTCCTTGTTCTGGAAACCATGGGCAAAATTGTTCTATTATTTGAAATAGCTTGATTAGATTTTTTGTAGATACTTTAACTCCCCCTCTTTTTAAAAGAATTTTAATAAAGCTGAGATAAGAGGCATATTTACTTTTAATTTTACTTTTAGTTTGCCCCATTATCACCCTAGCTTCTTCCGAGCGCACAAGCTTACCGTAAGGCTGACTGTAGACGTACTCGGGATCTCTCGTCGACTTGTCCTCAATGACCACGCTCGAGCGTACCTTCACCCTAGAGAAAAGCCTCCACTTTGGGCACCAGATGTAGGGGTGGGTTGCCCCTACACACCTGTGGGTGTTTCTTGTAAGGTGGGACGAGAGATTTGGAAAAGAAAAAGACACAGAGACAAAGTATAGAGAAAGAAATAAGGGGACCCGGGGAACCAGCGTTCAGCATATGGAGGATCCCGCCAGCCTCTGAGTTCCCTTCGTATTTATTGATCATCTGTGGGTGTTTCTCAAAGAGGGGGATGTGTCAGGGTCACAAGACAATTGTGGGGAGAGGGTCAGCAGACAAACACGTGAACAAAGGTCTTTGCATCATAGACAATGTAAAGGATTAAGTGCTGTGCTTTTAGATATGCATACACATAAACATCTCAGTGCTTTACAAAGCAGTATTGCTGCCCGCAGGTCCCACCTCCAGCCCTAAGGCGGTTTTTCCCTATCTCAGTAGATGGAGCATACAATCGGGTTTTATACCGAGACATTCCATTGCCCAGGGACAGGCAGGAGACAGATGCCTTCCTCTTGTCTCAACTGCAAGAGGCATTCCTTCCTCTTTTACTAATCCTCCTCAGCACAGACCCTTTACGGGTATCGGGCTGGGGGACGGTCATGTCTTTCCCTTCCCACGAGGCCATATTTCAGACTATCACATGGGGAGAAACCTTGGACAATACCTGGCTTTCCTAGGCAGAGGTCCCTGCGGCCTTCCGCAGTTTTTGTGTCCCTGGGTACTTGAGATTAGGGAGTGGTGATGACTCTTAAGGAGCATGCTGCCTTCAAGCATCTGTTTAACAAAGCACATCCTGCACCGCCCTTAATCCATTTAACTCTGAGTTGACACAGCACACATTTCAGAGAGCACGGGGTTGGGGGTAAGGTCACAGAATCTCAAGGCAGAAGAATTTTTCTTAGTACATAACAAAATGGAGTCTCCTATGTCTACTTCTTTCTACACAGACACAGTAACAATCTGATCTCTCTTGCTTTTCCCCACAAAAGGTAATAAACATAGGTTATTAGGCCAAACTATATGAGTTTGGATCTCAGTGCTAATCTTTATAAGCTGTATGCACCCTGTGTTTTACTTGCCATTCTATAAATGATAATAATAATAGCATTGTTTTGAAGATGAATAAACTTGTTATATTAATTAGAAACTAACTTGTTATAATAAAGAATCTTAATGATAGAATGACTGAAGAAAGACAAAACCTTATTTCTCTTTCATGTAAAAGTCCAAAAATAGCTAAGTTGACTAGGTGCGGGTAGAGGGTTCTTTTTCACCAAGTTATGTTGTGATTTGGGCTGAAGGTCAACCCTGCCATCCTAAACAGTTGACCATTTTATTTGGTTCCAAGGATATTCTAACAGGCAGGGTTAGAAAGTATAGAACCTGATTAAGATTACATAGAAGCAGCTCACATCATTCCACTCCTTTTTCATTTTTCCAAATTTGTTCATGTGGACATATAGAAATAGGAAGCTAGGAGCTGATGTGATTAGCTAAGTATTCATGTGTCCAGCTAAACCCAGAGGTTCTATGACTAAAAGTCTGAAGGTAAAACTGACTGCTTTGGGACAGTTTAACAATCTCTCTGTATAACTGCTTGAGCAGTGGCAGGCACATACTCTATGCTATGTTAGAGTTTACCATTGTTGGTCATTTGTTCTTCTACTTATTTTTTTGTTCTCTGTCCTGATTCAGTATTGAACACCCTATACATGTATATATATATATATATGTGTGTGTGTGTGTATGTGTGTGCGTGTGTGTCTCAACTGATTGTCCAGTTGCCTGATAAATTTAAGTGATCTGTAGTTCACAGTATCCCAAGTTCAACTTTGGACTATTCAAAAATTTCTCCTTAATTTGAGCAGAAATCTAAGCCCCTGCAATTTCTTTCCATTAGTCTTTGCCTTAACTTGGCACTAACAAAATATATTCCACATGATAATATTTCAGATATATGGCAGCTAATATGTACTGTTTCTCCCCCAAAGTTGTTATTTCCAGGAATAAACATTACTCCTTTTGAGAAGAACTGCTACTTCTTCCACTATTGTTTCCTAAGAATGTATCTTACCAATTAAAAAAGATTCCTGTTTTGACATATTTTTTCCTCTTCAACCTAATCTCTGTTATGAATGAACACACATTGCCTATGTCTCTCTAAATTTGCTTGCCAGAGCTAAATACACGATTCCATTGGTGTTCTTTGCACAGTAAATTGAGAAGGACTAGCATCATGTTGTTTATCTTTCTACCTAAAACTGTGAGACTCCGAAATCATATGCCAGGGCATATGATCTACTATTGGCCTGCCTATAATGTAACAGAACAATCTTTAACTTTTGCTATAAATCAGAGACTATTTGGATACAGGGGAAAAAAAATCTGTTGGTAAGGATCGTTCATTGGAATTAGAAAGTATTTTGTCATCTTCCTTGGAAGAAACATTCTGTTTCTGTACAAGCTAGATATGATTTTGACATATGAAAATCTTTTCTGTTTTTTTCCAATTGGCTATTTAATAAGGACATTGATTATATTGTACCAGGGGTCTGAGCTCAGACATGACTGTTCAGATAACATCTGATTTTTCTAATTTCTAGGTTTATAGTCTGTGTCTCTAGGAGTTATGGTAATGAGGAAGTCTGAATTTGGCCTGGGCGATGTAATTTTATCTTACAGTTACTAATTACTAGATAACTGAAGACAAATTGCTTTCTTTACTTAGCCAGGACAGCAATTCATAGAGCACTAATTAGTAAGAGAATGGAAGGTCACTGTGAAGCCGAATGTCTTACCTTTGAAGTAAAGATTGGGGGCTGTAGAGCTGAATTAGCACCATTTTGCTGCAAAAACAGAAAGAAACATTAAAAACTAAGCACCAGCTGCAAGAAACAAAGAGGTGAAGATTCTCTGGCTGCGATATCAGTGGGATAAATCTCTCTGGACCATCTCTCTTTGATCTGCAAAGGTTGGATTATCTGAAGCCATGTCTGTCCAGTTCCCAGTGCTACAAGGAGATACCCTTCCTAGGCTGTGAACTTCTTCCAGGCAGACACTATATCTTGTTGACCTTTGCACTCTCAGTTCCTGACACAGGGCCTATTAATGATTTCTTTTACTTTATATAAATGTGAGCCATTGAATACACAGATAAAACAGATGGAATGGAATGGTTGGACTGGCACTCAGGTGAATTGAGTTCTAAAGTCATAGCTCTGGCTTTAAACAGATGTAGGACATTGGGCCCTCTGTGCCAGGATTCTGGTATCTATAATGTGAGCAGATTGAACCTCTCAGTAAACGGAATACCTGCTAGATGCTCATTGTGGCTGCTTCAGCAGTATCACTGTCATGTACTCCTTTCTCTCTTTTATAGGTAGGAACTCTTTAGATTCTTGTTCATTTACCTGTTCGATCTAAAACATCAAGTTTTAGAATGAAATGCACCCATATCAAAATTCAAGTTGGCTGTAGCTTGAGCAACATCTTCATTCTGGCCATTTGCAGTGAGAATTGATCAAATCATGGGTTTCTGAAGCAGTAAGTTCCCCAAAGGTCATCGAATTCAGTGCCCTTATTACAAATGAGGAGAGTGAGACTGAAGAAGATTATACAGTTACTGACTTAGTCACATTTATATTCCAACTTCGGGCTTTCTGGACTTGTCTGCTTAGCATGTCCACAAAATAGCAGGCTGGAAGATAATAGAACAACAAAAGGCAGTCCTAAAGATGGAACGTTTCTCAGCGGGTTCAGGTGAACAGTTAAATGGAGGAAGAAATTGAAACAAACTGAAAAAAAAAAAACCATAGAAAGAAAAAAAGACACTTTCTAAGAATCTCTTTTGTAATCCTGCAAACCCTGCCCTTTCAGAGCATAACAATGGCAAACTGAGGCTTACCTTTTCCCTAATTTGCCAAAATTTGGAGTCCCAGCTTTCCAGCAGAAGAAAGCATATATCACAGACCATTTCATCGTAGAAGATTTATAGTACACCATCCCAGAACAGAAGAAGTAAAATCCCTCTGCGCTGCTCTAGAAAATGTCCTTCTCTATTCAGTTAAGCTGGCTTCCTGTAGAGATGTAAATAAAAGAGGAAAAAAAATCTGGAACAAGACAACGTGTAAAATGTTTTAAAATAAAAAATAAAATGTGTTTTGAAAGATCTTCTGGTATTGCCACTTGTCTTCATGGTGCTAATTTTCTTATTCTGAAAACTATGCTGGAGGAAAATATGTAAAGTTATCTGTTTCAATCAGAGGATTTTTCTGTTCTGCATTTTCCCTAGAAATTCCTTAAACATTGTCTCAGATAAAACTAACTGCCTTTGAGAATCTAAGTGTGTTTAGACTTTCTCGTTTCTTCATTTTTTATTTTTCCTCTTCTTTCTCTGTCAGTCAAATGACTTGAAATATAGCATACATTTCCTGTCTCCAGTGTTTTTATACCCTGTTTCCTTCTCAACCTATAGAAATCTCTTAAAGCCAGGCATGGAGGCTCATGCCTGCAATTTCAGCACTTTGGGAGGCCAAGACAGGAGGATCCTTTGAGCCCAGGAGTTCGAGACCAGCCTGGGCAACATAGGGAGACCCCATCTCTACAAAAATTTAAAAATTTAGGCTGGGCACAGTGGCTCACGCCTGTAATCCCAGCACTTTGGGGGGCCGAGGTGGGCAAATCACAAGGTCGGGAGTTTGAGACCAGCTTGACCAACCTGGTGAAACCCCGTCTCTACTAAAAATACAAAAAGCAGCCAGGCGTGGTGGCATGCATCTGTAATCCCAGCTCCTTGGGAGTCTGAGACAGGGGAATCGCTTGAACCCGGGAGGCAGAGGTTGCAGTGAGCCAAGATCATGCCATTGCACTCCAGCCTGGGTGACAAGAGCAAGTCTACGTCTCAAAAAAAAAAAAAAAGAAAAGAAAAGCCCGGTATAGTGGCTCACACCCATAGCCCCAATTGCTTGGGGGCTGAGCCCTGGAAGTTGAGGCTGCAGTGAGCCTGATCATGCCATTGCACTCCAGCCTGAGTGACAGAGGGAGACTCTGTCTCAAAAAAAAAAAAAAAAAAAAGAGACCCTGTTTCAAAAGAAGAAGAAGGAGAAGAAGAAAAAAGAAGAAGAAGAAGAAGAAGATTATTTTAGCTCTCATCATACTATTGGAATTTCTCTTTATAAAGGTACCAGGTACCTCCTTAGTCAGTTAATAGTAGTTTTTCTCTTAATAAATTACCAGGGCCAACTCCAGTGACCTATGGCCAGTATTCATCCTTCAGGCCCTTTCTGAAACATTTTACAAGGTGATCTATCTCCTGCACCTTAATTTCTCTCTCTTCTGGCCGTGAGAATGTTTGTCTGCTGGACATTTCTCTTTGTCTTCTCCACACATTCTCAGTCTTCTTTGCTGACTGTTCCTCATATTCTCTTGGCTAGGATTGCTTTCACCTATGTTTCATTCTCTTCTTATTATACGTGTTATCTCCAAACAATCTCCTCCATTCTCATGGTTCCCACTCTTTATGGACTAATGACATGGTGTTACTTCTTTACTTTTATGATTTCTTTACTCTGCTCTGTGGTGCTGTGCTGGGACTCTGAAAACAGCATTTGTTATACTGCTTGGCCAGTTAGCTTCTTGTTAGCACCTTTAATGAAAGGTATTAGCAGGAGAGTGGAAAACAAGACCAAGAGTGAAGGCATCTGTTCTATGCCGTTTTTGTCAGCCCCATTCCAATAGCAGCAGATGGTTGGCTCCAGGCTTCAGGCTTTATATTCTTTCCACTTTCTCAGCAGCCCCACAAATATGCCAGAAAAGGACCAGCAGCATCCTAGCTCTACCTCCTTGGTTCTAAGAGGACCGGCTGAGCTACAATCTGCTTTTCTATGCACCTTGTCTATCCAAGCACCTGTTGGACCATGTCTCCTCCTCAGAAGTCTGAACACTGGCTATCAAGTGCCTCTGCCTCATTTGCCTGCACATCAGTCATTGAGCATTGCTCCCTTCAAATTTTAAGCGTGACTGATGTGGTGTAACCCACTAGGAGACATGGGCACCTGGTACTGTGTCTCCTCCTCATAGGTTCAAGCTCTAGCTGCGTACAAGTAAGATAATTTTGGGCGCTAGCCCATGAGAGTAACTTTACTCCTTTGTTCCTATATGTTAAAAGGCGATATCCCTTTTGTATGGTTATCTCTGTGCCTTTTCAACCTTCCATTACTTGTGTATCCAATTTAAGTTTACTGAGCTACTCTAAGTGGATTTCTGATAGGCACTTCAAAGGTAATGTCTTTATTGCAATTTATTGGTTTGCTTCCAAATCTGGCCTTCATTTAATATTCTAAATCTTAGAAAATATTACTATCGTTTACTTGACATTCAGGTTAAAAGTAGAGGTTTACTCAGGAATGCTTACTTTTCTGAATAAGTCACACAATTTACTCATGACATTAATCTGCATAAATTGCTTATTAATCCCTGTAAATCTTAATGCAATTATCTCCTTCCCTCTTTCTCCTCACTGATGTTGTTCTAGATCAGTGTCTTATTATCTTCAGCCTCTGCTCTTACTCTGTCAAACTTGGTGTTAACAAATTCATCCTCACTGCCAATTATCTAAAATTTACTTATAATTTGTGGATTGAACTTTGCATGAAGTAAAGGAATAGTTCTACTTTTTCATGATGTATGAGCACACACACGAGCATACACACACCCATGTGAATTGAAAAACCATAAAAATTAGTCTAAGATTTATATTCAGATGTCTACGAATCCTTAGAACACTCAAATATTAGAACTAGAAGTAGCCTTAGAGATCACTTAAGTCCCTGCTTCCAGAACTATATTGGTTAATTATAGTCAGTGTAACTAGCCTAGAATACTTATAATTAGAGCTCTATGCCCCACTCTAACACTTTCAAATGGGGATCTCTTCAGAATCTAAATTTGTAAAATGACTTTTCCAATTAAGTCTCCTGCACAGTGACATTTGAGACCTGTTGATCACTGAACACAGAAGCATCTGAGATCCATTGATCTCTGTCACACACCTCCAGTTAGTTGCAGAAATAGATTCAGGCTCAAATCCAGGATTGCTGCCTTCATGTCCAGTGGCATATCACTGTGTTGCACTTTTCCATTTGTAAAGGAGGTATGGAGAGGGCATGACCAAGTGGTTCACCTTGCTCAACCCCAGGAACAGAAGCTCAAACTTTATTGGGTAGACAGACACATGTACAGCAAATGAACATTCCATGTGTTAAGTTCTACATCCTGATCCGAGACCTGTGGGAGTTTAGAACATGTGCATTTAGACTAATTACGACTGGAGTCACTGGGGTCCAGAGAGGTTTCACAGACAAAATGTCCTGTGACCATTTAAACCAACTGGTTTATCAACTTAGCGTAAATCACTTTAACTGAAACTGAAGGAGTATTGCTGCTAAACTTCCTTTGTTGCCAATATATTTGTAGTTTATGTTCCCATTTGACAATTATTTCCATTCAAAACTGCTCACTTTCATTCTTCTGGGGAACTGAACCGAAAATGTTAAGGACTCTCTGTTCTCTTATGAAAGCCATTCTGCTCATATGGTGCACTTCTGTCCCTGATTGTCTATGTCGAGGTATAGAAAGGTCCTTTTCATCCAAACAAAGACATTCCACTGGCCCAGGTGAGCTGCTGACCAAAATGAAGCCACCTATCTTCTGTCTCTGTGGACACCTTCACCTGTGAGGACTATTATCATTCTCATTTGCCACTTAATTTTTTTCCCATTTCACTTTTTTTTTTTTTTTTTTCGAAACAAGTCTCACTAGGTGGCAAAACAATCTGTGGAAGCCTTGACAAGTTTAATGAAACTGAGACCTTGAGGGAATCCCCTGGGCAAAATCTCCACTATCTATATGTGGAGAAGGGGCTGTATGAGAAACCAGGAAAACTGATGACAGAGAGAACTGTAGTCTTCTAACCCGTGCACAAGCCCTTCCGGCTGTGTGAACAGCAGAGCGGGCCAGGTAAAGGCTGACTTAGATGAACTGCAGTAAGAGGTGCTCCAGGTGTCTGGATCCACCTCTCCTTCATCACTGAAACTCAACAGGATCTGAGTAGTAGAAAATGGGGCACTTTCCTGATTTTTTTTTTTTTTTTTTTTTTTGAGACAGGGTCTCATTCTGTTTCCCAGTCTGGAGTGCAGTGGCACCATCATAGCTGGGATTACAGGCACATGCCCCCATGTCTGGCTAAATTTTTTTATTTTAGTAGAGATGAGGTGTTACTATACTGCTCAGGCTGATCTCAGACACCTGAGTTCAAGCAAGCCTCTTTAGTGATTTTAAGAAACTTACAAGAGAGAGCTATGACAAAGCTCTGTTGACCCAAGGCAAACAGTGTAACAGGCTGACTTATAAGGATCACCATCAATCTTAGCAACCTAACCCATTGTCCTTCAATACTGCTGCTCTTCTGGGCTTGACTCTGTTCCTATGACTTTATTCCAATCCTTGGCTGTACCTCTTTTTTTTTTTCTTTTTTTTTTTTGGTCAACCGCTGGTCTTTTCAAATAGAACTTACAGAGATCAAAACTCTCACTCTGAAACTGAGTGTACTCCTTCACATTCAAGGTAGGAACAAGAACTACAGGTATAAAGTCTTCTGCATGGACAGGCTTTGGAGCAGCTCTGAATCAGACTCCCTACCTTTGTCCAAGGAAATGCATGTGCATTAGGATCAGATCCCCTCTGAGGAGGTAGGGCTGGTTATGCCCAGGAAGTGATGTGGACACATGTTGCCTTATATACACTGCATTGCATTTTAGATGGACCATCTTCTCATCAGGACTTCTTAGTGACCCAATCAAACAGCCTTCCTACAACCATTGTGCTTTGGTAGAGTTGTAGTTTCTTCTGGAAAAGCTAAGGAAATTTTCTAAGGTAGGACAGGAAAATCTTGTTTTAGATAGTAATCATAAATCATAATTTTAAAAATTATGCTTCAATGTATTGTCATTTTTTTCACTTCACTTCTCAGCTTTTTTTTTTTTTTTTTTTTTTTTTTTTTCTTGAGACGGAGTCTTGCTCTGTCACCCAGGCTGGAGTGCAGTGGCACAATCTTGGCTCATGCAAGCTCCGCCTTCTGGCTCACGCCATTCTCCTGCCTCAGCCTCCTGAGTAGCTGGGACTACAGGCACCCGCCACTACGCCCGGCTAATTTTTTTGTACTTTTAGTACAGACGGGGTTTCACCGCGTTAGCCAGGATGATCTCGATCTCCTGACCTCGTGATCCACCCGCCTCGGCCTCCCAAAGTGCTGGGATTACAGGACTGAGCCAACGCGCCCAGCCCACTCCTCGTCTTTTATCAGATCCATTTTCTAGGCATGGAATCAGAGACTCAGAGACACAGTGAGCAGACCTTAATTTACCCAGACATTCATTTAGTGGGTTAGTTTCTCGTAAGGGGCTTCCAAATGTAGACAATGTGTGTCCCGTGCAGACTCAAGAGGAATCAATTCAGTCTATTTGAAGACTCCCCAAACTCATATTTTGTAGAAACCAAAAAACAAAATATTTGGTAGAGAAGGTCGAAGTGTCTGAACGGTACATACAGGCAGAGCTACATTACTTGGCTCCTATGTGAAGAGAGAGGGAGCTGCAGAAAAACTAAATGGGAAGGCTCAGATGTATGAATTTCTTCAACTGAAATTGCATACAATCCTGGCTCCTTAATCTGTGTCCACTTCCCAGCAGTTATGGGAGGTATGAGCTCAGCTCAGGGGAAACAAACTTAACAAACTTAGCTCTGGAAATCTGGAGAAGCAGTGAGCAGGGCTGATCCCCCAAGTACCCTGATGAATCCCAGTGTTCTTTCTGTTCAATTACCTAAGGGAAGCTATTCAAGTTTTAAGTCCGTTTTGAATCAAAATATTGATTTTTTTTAAAAAAAAACTTAAAATTTAAAGAAACTGGTATTAGTTATGGGAAAACCAGAAGGGTACCCTCATTTGGAAATAATCTTTGAGAAATCTTTGCAGTGTGAACAGTTGGGATTTGGTCTTTCCAAAATCCAGCTAGCATGCACTTAAGAAAAAGGAAAATCAGGAAATGTAGAAAATGAAATGCTAACTTACATATTTCACTTTAACATTTATTAAGGATATTAATGGGCCTATTGAAAATTGAAAATGCAGTTTTGCTATTTTAAAAAATGTTCTTGTGTGAGAGTAGACATCCCTTGGTAAATGTCCATGGAAATATTGAACATTTAATTTTTCATTAGTTCTAAACAAAATCATGTATTTCCTAAAAGGTACGCATTTTACATGCCTCAATACCCATAGTTGACACAAAATACTCTGAAACAGAAAACAAAACATTAAACTATCCCATATTTTAAATTAAAAATATTTTTTCAAACAGCGCTGAGAACACTGAAATATGTGAAATTACAATATATTCTAAAACGATTACCTAAGAAAATTAGGGGATGTCATCCACGTTTGTCTCAAAGGAATTCAGATTTATGATTCATCTTAAGAAATGTGAAAAGAACACATTAAATATAAAGATGGATAAAGGAATTTATTAATATACACAGTAACTTTTGTTCTTTTAAAGCAATGATTCGGGCCTCCTGGGCCCAGCTCAGGTCCTGGCCCAAAAAGTCCCTGGAACAGAGCCCTTGCTTTTGTCCCTGCCTCCCGGGTGATTGAGGAGTAGAAAAGGAACCTACATTCCTCATCCTTGGTGTGAATTTCCACGCTCCCCACCGGCCAACTGTGGCAATTCACATTGTAGTTCTGACAATAAATGGCCCGTTCTGACTGGGCTGGTGGGGGTCCTGGTCCAGCCACCTCCAGCCAGGGGTCCCTGGGTCGTGAAGGCGCCACGACCTGCTCCACTCAAGATGTGCAGCTCCACCCACTCACGCTAGAGAGGAAGAAGAACTTCTGCCATAAACTTTTGTTGTTATTGTTTTGTTTGGTTTGGTTTGAGACGGGGTCTCGTTCTGTTGCTCCGCCTGGAGTGCAGTGGCCCCATCACGGCTCACTGCAGCCTCGACCTCCTGGGCTCGAGTGATTCTCATGCTTCAGCCTCTGGAGGAGCTGGGGCCACAGGCACCCACCACCACACCTGGCTAAGTTTTTGTATTTTTGTAGAAACAAGGTCTCGCTCTGTTGCCCAGGCTCGTCTCAAACTCCGCCCACCTCAGCCTCCCAAAGTGCTGGGATTCCAGGTGCGAGCCACCGCACCCAGCCTCCTAAACTGTTTTTAATTTGTGCAGAATGAACCGGGTCATCAACCACTGTAAGTGGTCTGACTACCCTGACCATAAAATGTCGGAAACACTCAACTTGCAACTGGTGGAAGCAGCCTAGCCCCACTGCACGTAAAACACTCGCGTTGTGGCAAACGCGGAGACCAAGGCTGCACTGGCCGGAAGTGGGGACAGATCCCGATACGCCCTGGGGACAGAGCAGGGATGCTGAGGCCTGGTCCACACTGGCTCTGCCCTCTTTCTGGCCCACTACCCCATCCTGAGACCGCAGGTTCCGGCGGACCCGGATGCAGGTTTTCCGGATGAAAGGCCCCTTTCCTGGAGTGGACTTTGATATTTTCTGTTCACAACTCCGTGTCACCATCCTCCACACCTAGGATCTGGCGTCTGGTGTCACTGCCGACGTCACAATCCCCGCACCTACGTGTCTCAGCCGCAGTAGCCCTACGTCGCTGTCAGACACTGGGAGGTTGGTGCCCCGCCATGCTTTTGTGTCTTTTGTCTTTTCACCCTCTCCCCTCCCCACCCAGTGCCCCGTCTAAGTCCCCACTCGGAAGTGGATTCTCACCCCTCGCGGCCCTTTGTGGGCAAAGCCAGGAGGAGGAAGGCCACAACCTCCCGCTGGCTTTGGGATTTCTTAGACATCAGTAGTCTTCTAAGGCCCTCCACCCTGCCCGCACCCCTCCTTCATCCTCGCGTCTCTTGGGACACTGCCCTGCTGCCCTCAGGCCTTTCCTTAGTCACAGACTCGGGGAGGCCCCTGAACCCCCTCGGCTTGGACATCACCGGCCACAGTCCTGTGACGCCCTGTGATCTTCTGTCCCAGATCTCATTCCACTGGCTGTGCCTGTCAGGGTGTGCTTAGATTTTGGAGTCCCAGTGTAAGGCGTGCTCTTATTGGGAAGGGGGCTTCTTCATTCTCTTCTTGTGAATGTAGATGTGAAGCCAGGGCATAAGGAGAAAAAGAGAGGCCAAAAGAGAACCAGAGAGCCAGGGAGCTAGGGAGAGTGAGGTTGAAAAAGAAGGTAACGTTGAGTATTGGGAAGCTGTCTCTGATGGATTTTGAAAAGCAGTGATAGTGAAAGAGTTCTAGAAGCTTTGTAGAAGGTGTTGAAAAAAATAGTGAAAGTTACGTGGGCAAGAAATAGTGGGATAGATGACACAGACAAAGAGAATCAGGAGAGAGGTGGAGGACAGAATAGAAAGGGGATTCTGACCAACCACAGCAGAGGAGTAAAGGAAAGAGATCCCCAATTCATTAGGGTTTTTTTTAAAAAGTCTTAATAATATTCTCTTTTGTTTCAGATTCAGATGATGAGGCCTCTTTAGATTTTTAGTCTTTATTATATTTTGGAAATATCTTTTAGTACTTAGTATTTTACACTATTTCAATGTGCTCTTGGAAAGGGTATTGGTTTTTTTATATTAACAGTCAAAACCTAGTTTAATCAGTAAGTCTATTCTTCTACTGTCTCCATTATTTCCTTACATGGCCTTTTAACTGGGTCTGTAAAATACAATTTTCAGGGAAGTGTATGTTCCCTTGACCTCTCTCTGCAAATTTTCAAGGATGGGCTGAAGTGATCAGGAATTTTGTTCTAGCAGAGCCATTCTGTTCATGATTACTAAATTGCTCAGAGCTAGTTCAAGCCAATAAGTAGGTATCCTTAATTTCATATTTTTGATAATTCAATGAGTTGTTCTGGAAAAAAAGGAATTAAATGCTTGAAATCAGATTATTGTGATTAAAACCATGAGAAAGAAGTTGCTCTTGCTCCAGAGCATGAAATATGGTATAGAATCTTTAGGGCAAAGAGAAGGAAAAACCCTATCACAATTCGTCACAGCACATCATTCTTGTGAAGCTAGTGGTGGTTACTCTCTACTGGCATCTCCTACTGACCTTGCCTGCCCCAAGACCCAAGTACAGAATGACAAGGCAGCTTGATGAGGGGAGAGTCAAGACTTTTTAAACTAACTACAGAACAAAATTATCTCTCCAAGTAGGAGGGGACACTTGGTGCTATAAATGAATATAAATGACATGAGAATGACATGAGAATGAAAACTGTCAATATAATAAATAGTTTGCAAAAGCTCTAACTTAAAACACACAGGACTTTCAGAGTAGAGAATTCCTAGCTCTGTAAAGAATTTGGGACTCCATTTGAGAGAAGCCTTGGTCTCTACTCACTGTGAACCAACATTCAGCCAGGTACCACCGTTGGTATGTTACCAAAAAAACTCAGTAAAAAATGCTTTCTTAAGAAGGAAATAGGAAAGGAAAGTCTTTACAAGGGCAACTGATCATCTTGTGGATTACCAAATACTGCAGATTTCAGGTCAGAAAACGGAGTCATGGAGAATAAAAAGAAAAAACTAACACACAATTGAGCAAATAATTCATAATTTAGAGAATGTATCTACTCATTAAAAATGTGAAGTGTAAATGTATAACAGTTATGTGACCTGGGAATTTTGAATACAAAATTATGTAAGCAACTTTATTATTTTTTAATAGAAAAATACTTGCAAATATTGAAACAATAAAACCTGTTGCTGAAAAATCTAATATGTTGTTAAAGTTCTAGTTTTATTTATGCAGGTCTGACACATAGATTTGCATAAGCTATCCTTAGCATGTGAGTAGAGATTTCATCCTTCTCTTCCCGTTTCCCCATCATCAACAGCTTTTTTTTCTTCCCACAGCCAAACTCCCTTCATTCCAACTTCCACCAAAACCACTTCTCTGGATCCATCCCTGGAGTTGACACAACAGGGATCTTCAGCCCCAGGTGCCAGGTTTCTCAGTGATCCATTACACAGATTTAACAGGGAAATGGGGGCAGTATCAAAAACACCCAGTATAAACCATTGAATTACCCCAGCCCTTGTCTCTGCCCATGAACAACTGCCTGGGGCCAGAGAATTAGGCATCCCTGCTCTTCTTTCCCTCAGAAAGCCCTTGAGACGTTCTCCTTGAAGCTCCCCTAGGTGGGAGTAGAAGTTCATCTCCTGACACTCCACGTTTTATTCATGAGTCCTGAGTTATGACACAGAGGACACAGTTGTGCTCCCCTTACTATGGACTAGCAGATAAAGCACCTTAACCACTCAGCCACCATGCAAACCCTTCTTATATTTGATTCAATATACTTTTCCGCAAGCAAAATAAAAGTTCTGACCAAGGAGGCGTCGTCTGATTTGACTCTAGAACTTGGAAATGCATTGGCTTTTAGCAAATCTCAGTACTGAATGTAAACTTCAAGGAGAAATGGTTCCAGGAAATAAATTGGGATGACATTGAACTTTTAGCAAACTGCAAAATCCTGAAACCATGGACTTACTGAGGCCAATTAAATGGGCTAATTCATGGGTGGAAGTGGTACATCCTAAAAATTCTCCACAAGTGATTCTACACTGAAGCCAGGGTTTTTGTCAAGTACTGTGTGAGGATGAGGATGGCCATCTGCTTGGCAAGCCATCTGGTCCAGGCAGGGCTCACATTATTGTTCACAGTTTAACCTATTTAATTAAATAGTAATTTTCCCCCAAATCTTATATGACATAAGCTGTAGTCCTGAGCCACATTAAGATGTACTATTTATGCAGTAAAATTGTATGGGATTTGACAAATGCATAGCAGCAGTTTTCCAGCATTAAAGTATCACAGAACCCTTCTCTTATTCAAGCTCCTCTTCCGTCCACATACAGGGAATCAATCGCCTTTTGTATATGGTCCTTGGACGTTGCTTCTTTATTTCAGTTATCTTCCATCAAAGCAAATGATACCGTGCTCTATTTTCATTTGATCCTCCAAAAGAAAGGTACTGAATAATCTAAACCAGAATTTCAGCCATTCAGAGACTTAGGTCCATCGCTAAGCGGTAGAAGCCAAGCCTCTTGCGCTGCAACCCCATGGCCGGCAGAGGGCGAGGGAACACGCCGTCCCGCCCTCCGGGGCGCATGCGCTTTCTGCCTGCGGAGGCGGGGCTGGGTCTCCAGGAAGTACGTGAGTTTCCTTTCCTCTGGTCAGGGAGGAGGCGCCGCCCTGGCTTTGGGGCAACTAAGGCGATGTCCATCAGGAGGAAAACTTCCTGTCCGCAGCCCTAACTGCTGAGAAGGGAGATTCGCTGCAGAGTATCCCGGATATTTTTCTGAAACAGCCATAAAGACTTCATTTTCAGGGCTGTTGCCACGTGTTTTATTCTGTATTTTCTGTTGGGATACTTTAGCATTATTTTACAAATGTATAAATTTGGGGTTAGGGAGGGCTTTCTGATAGATAATAGAAGCAGGCTGTAACATGTCCTCCCTGTGACCTCATTGAGGATTGATTGTGAGGAGAAACAAGAAGAATTGTGAGGAAAATCTACAGAATACGGGGACCCTGCAGAGGAAGGGGTCGGGTCAGGGCAGGGCCACACAATTTCAGTGCAGCCCGTGGGAAAGGGGCCCTTGCAGGGAAACCCGCGCTCTGCCTCCGTGCATTTCCACATTGTGAGGGGCTCATCTTTCCTACAGTGCTAAAGTCACTGAAAAATAGACAATGAAAGAGAGGGACATTAATTCAACATTCAGTTGTTGACGATAAAGCATTCAGAACCACATCTTTCTCTTCATCACAGCACTGCAGATGTAAAAAATGGTTTTAATTTCAAAGGCAAGGGGAAGAGGTACACTTGTGAACAAGTTTGGACCCCAAATGAAAATATATTGCTTAAATATTTCTTCAAAAATAAGTCATTATTCTGTGTTGCAGGATATATCCTGAGATTTTTAAGCTATAACTTTATTAATTTATTGGTTAAAACACATTTTGTTTATAGCCAAAGCGATTATAAAGGTAGAATATTTGGCAAGTCCCTCATATTTTTCTTCTTCTACTAGGTTTTCAGCTAGAATTGACACACACAAACTCACAATGAGGGGCCTCTTTCTTGACCATAAAATATGCATACTCCAGAACCCTCAGTGTAAGCTGTTTCTTGAATATCTTAACCTGATCCCCACAACCAGAGAGAATGTAGAGAAGTAACCCGTTTTTTTTTTTTTAAACACAGTCTCGCACTGTCACCAGGCTGGAGTGCAATGTCGTGATCTTCGCTCACTGCAACCTCCGCCTCCCGGGTTCAAGCTATTCTCCTGTCTCAGCCTCCCGAGTAGCTGGGATTACAGGTGCCCGCCACCACACCCAGCTAATTTTTTGTATTTTTAGTTGAGATGGGGTTTCACTATGTTGGCCAGGCTGGTCTCAAATTTCTGACCTCCTGATCCGCCTGCCTCGGCCTCCCAAAGTGCTGGGATTATAGGCATGAGCCACCGTGCCCGGCCAAGTAACCCAACTTTAAAACTACATCTGGTTGGGCACCATGACTCATGCCGGTAATCCCAACATTTTGTGAGGCGGACATGGGCAGATCACTTGAGGTCAGGAGTTTGAGACCAGCCTGGCCAACATGGTGGAACCCCGTCTCTAACCAAAATACAAAAAGTAGCCGGGCATGGTGGTGCACACCTCTAATCCCAGCTACTCGAGAGGCTGAGACAGGAGAATCGCTTGAACCTGGGAGGCAGAGGTTGTAGTGAGCCAGACTGCACCACCTCACTCCAGCCTGGGCAACAGAACACAACTCCGTCTGAAAAACAAACAAACAAACTACATCTGATCTTCAGCAAAGTATCTGCTGTTCTGCTCAGAAAAGACCGAAATCCACAAAGCAGACAGACCTCTGAATAAAGACACTAAGGTCCGCCGTGGGCGCTTTTAAGAAGTTAGCAGGGCCTGTACTTCACCTAATAAGACTGAGGAGGATATCAGCTAAATGGAAAGAATCTACAAACAAATTTATACAATTTCTAGGGAGAGAATGACATCCTGAGCTCAAGGGCCTGTTAGTGACGGCACATTCAGTAATGGTGCAGCCTCACAGAATTTCCATTTAGTTCAATTTTGGTATTTACTGGTCATCTTTTCTCCCCATTACCATCCAACCTTTTTTATGTTGTCAAATAATTTTTAATCATAAAATGATTAACTCTGAGTTTGGGCATTTGGTGTCTGGCCTCCTGATGGAAGTTTAGGTGACTTTGTCCATGGAAATCATGGATTTTTAATTAATAAGTAATGTTGAAAGGGAAACTTGCATTATAATTCTGAAACCATTCCAGTGGGGGATACAGGCAAGAAATAAGCCAACAGACAGATTAGCACATAGTGATATATTAGAAATTAAGTAAAGGTCCTTTTGGTATTTTTCCCAGCTCATCTTATGATATGAGCCTATTATGTTTGGATAACTTTCCCCAGGAGATTCATTTTAAAAGTTCTTTCACTTAAAATACATATTATTTTATTATTTAAAAATACTGTCACCAGAAGCGGTGGCTCACGTCTGTAATCCCAGCACTTTGGGAGGCCGAGGTAGATGGATCACTTGAGGTCAGGAGTTTGAGACCAGCCTGGCCAGCACGGTGAAACCCCGTCTCTACTAAAAATACAAAAATTAGACAAGCGTGGTGGCACATGCCTGTAATCACAGCTACTCGGTACTCTGAGGCAGGAAAATCACTTGAACCCAGCGGGTGGAGCTTGCAGTGAGCCGAGATCGTACTACTGCATTCCTGCCTGGGAGACAGAGTGAGACTCCATCTCAAAAAAAAAAAAATACTGTCAGCCCTCCACATCCATGGGTTCCAGCTCCATGGATTCAACTAAACTTGAATAGAAAATATTCAGAAAATATTTACACAATTTCCACCCCCCGACAAAAAAAAATTTGAATTTTCCCTTCACCAAATTCTTTGTTGAGAACACGTAAGTAATGTAAGGTCTGGGCATTGTATTAGGTATTATAAGTAATCTAGAGATAATTTAAGCTATATGAATTAATATGAGTAAGTTACATCTAAATTCTCTACCACTTTATACAAGGAAGTGGAGCATCCACAAATATTGTTACCTTCAAAGTTTCCTAGAACCAATCCTTTATGTTTACCCAGAAATGATTATGCACATGAAACTTACAGAAAATAATTGTCTTTCCTAATTAATGAATAGTATACAATAGAATGTAAATAGCACTATTTTAAAATGCTGATATTTTATATCACATTTCTATGGTGAATCAGAGTAGAGGTTACATTAGACTGATTTTGATTAGATTAGGCTAATTCTAACAGGGGCACACCCATATCACTTGAGTTTTGATAAAAGCACTCCCATGCAGGTCCTACTACTTAATCAGCAGCACTAGCCAATCGTGTTCATCCATTTTGATAAATCCCACAGCTCTCTCTATTATAAAACTTTTGGGATTTGCCCAAGATTTCATTCTACCATAGCGTCATTCAACCTGTCCCAGGCCAGGGCACACTATTCCATGTTCTGGATGTGCCGAGCTGATCATCTTCTTCAGGAAAAGTAAAAGATCAAGTCATAGACTGTATAGATTTATAAGAAAATAAGATGAAGATTGAAATTTTCTGATACAAGTGAGTCTAGAGAACCTTTACCATGTATGGTTACTGGCGCCAAAGAAGCCTTAGTGATTCCTGGACAGAATCGCAGAATGACAATGAAGGAGAGAGCAGGTATGTTAGTGTGTGTTTACCTTGGGTTGCCAGGAGGTTGCCATGTGACTATGTGTGACTGTGTGCATTTGTGTGTGTGTGTGGTGTGAATGTGTGATAAAGGGTCAAACTAGGGCAGAGAAAGCACCCTGGCCTGCCATGACATTGAACGTTATAAATTTAGAACACCTGCCGGAGACATGAGACCCACAGTGGAGGCCATAGGATCCTGCCAGCATGGGGGGTTTCTGGACCTGTCAGGGGGCTCATCTCAGGTTTCCTCCCACTGTCGATCTATGTTCCCTCTCTAAATGAAAGTCACCTCTTGTGCGGAGACAGGTAAACTGTGGGCATGATCTAAATTTCTTCCCTGTGCTCATTAGAAAATGAAACATTTCCCATCATCTCTCACTCCATTCACACTGTAACTGCACAGACACGGTGCTCAGATACCTGAAATAACAACGTCTTCCCTGAAAATCCTCAGACCAAATTAGATGTCCCTTCTCAGATGGATGAGCTCCTGAGAAAGCAAACTGTTTCCTGTGGTCACCATCCCTTATCACACACATTCACCGATAGGAAAAGCCATTAGAAAAGTTGAGGAGGGGAGATGAGCATTAGGACTTACTGGATGCAGGTAGGATTTGGAGCCCAACACAAGTGCACTTGACTGAGGGACACAGAAAGAATGTGTGCTGGATGATAAATGGAGTTTTGGGCTTGTGAGAATTAGACTCTGTGTGGAAGACTAACGGATCCCTTTCTGTCCTGCAGCTTGGCTACCACGCAAATGAATCCACCCAAACGTCACCAAGTGGAGCAGGGTACCAGTATAGGTAAGGCAATTTCCCTGATATTTCTTAAGATCTCCCTGCCTGGAGGTCAGTGTCATGTCTCACAATCTTATAAAAGGAGAGGGTGCTTTCTGCAGGATGAGTGGAAAGTCATGCTTGATTGATGGGGGCTGGTGTCCTGAGGCTGGCCTGTGCTGGGTTGTGGATTTCTGAAGGTCATATTCTGAAATCCAAGAGACTCTTGCTGGAAGAGCCTTAACCTCCCTCACTGTGATCTCTCTGCAGGTGCAAAAACACCCTCAATTCCAGGAGCTCCACACTGAATTCAGGCCAGTCCCTGGAACCTCCCCAGGTAAGTTATTATGTCATTGCATGGCAAAGATTGCAAAACACCCTCAATTCCAGGAGCTCCACACCAGAATTCATGCCCGTCCCAGAAACCTCCCCAGGTAAGTTCGTATGTCCTTGTATGGCAAAGATTGGACAGTGCTGCACACTCTTCAGGCTCAAGAGACATCCAGTGGATGTACATTTAGGTGGGTCAGCACGAGAGTCAATTCTGGGAGGGAGTGTATTTTAAACTTGTAGAGGGTGAAGCTCCTGGCAACTCCCTCCGCATCAGCATCATTTGCAGCCTTTTTGGAGAATACTGACGGCCATCTTTTCACGGGAGCAGCAGGATTCCAGCAATGAGGAGCTCATCATAGTCCTAGAACAAGGGACAGAAGTGAGGTTGAGCCTGGAAGAGGTCATCCTCATCTTGGCCCCAGAGACAGCGCTGCAGCTGACCGTGGAGAACACAGTCCTTGTGATTGTTCCTGGCATATCCTGAGGTCACAAGATGGCCTGCAGTCCCCTGTGCAGATCCAGTACATCATGCCTTCCATTGATGACTTCAGCTTGGAGTGCCATGCTCAAGATGGAGACATCTCAGACATGAAAGGAGAGAATGTGCCTCTTTCACCTGCAGAAGAAGGGGAGGCAGCACCCCTATATCACCAGCCCTTGATGATATCCCCAGCAAACCACAAAGCTGGGATCAGCCCTTTTCTTCTAGTAACCCCATTGTGCATTCCATGCTGTCTGGCAGCCTTCCCCCAACGCTACCCTCTACCACCCACATCTAGTCCCATGGGACGCCCTAGACCAGCCAACTCCAGTTTCAGCCTGCATGGTATGGAGCTACTGTGCACCTCCTCCCTCAGCCGTATGCCCCCTTCACCAACTCCTGGTCCCCAGATCTATCACAGGGTTCACCATAGGCCTCCCAGCAGGGCACAGAGATGTCTCTTTAGGAAGTGATTTAACCAAGAGTCACCCCCTGCATTGATAGGTCAGAGATTGTCCAAGTCCTTAGTCAGTGCATTCCCTGAAATGTGGAGAGAAAGTAATTCCAAGGACCGCTTGCTTCCCCTTTGCTGTTTCCCATCAACACCCACTGTCTTCAACAGCAGAGGGCTCCAGATGCTGCAGGGAGGGGGAGAACCGCAGGGAGTTCAAATAAAACATTCACATTTCACTTCACACACAATGTCCCTTAGACTTTCTCTTCCTATTTAACCACATACATCCAACCACACTCAATCGAATCCCTGACTGCTCCATGTGAGAGTTCTGCTTCCAGCATGATGTGGCCTGAAAATTCATCTGAAGACAGCTGCTCACTCCCAGGGCTAACACCGCCCCTTGCATGCTGATGTCCTTGTAGTCATTGGTCTGATGCCACAATAAATAATTCCTAAGGCTGGTGCTCTATTTCTGCCCTGAGACTCTCCCCTTTTTCTCCAAGCTGTGCCCCATTCCTTGTTTTAGTCCAGGTTCCCTACACTCCCCAGGCCAATGCTTTTGAATAAATCTTGACGTCATTGAATGAAGTAGTGGTGACTGCTGTGCTTGCTTCCAACTGAGACAGTCTCCTGCTCTCACTCATCACGTTTCCATTCACACTTGCCTTTGTTTAGTTTTGTTTTCCATTGTTTGGGTTTATTATTCACGTGCTTATGAAATAACTGCCACATTTCTGACAGTTTTTTTGGCCAATTTGGGGCTTTTCCTGTGCTCCTCCTTCCAAGTCCTGAGTGGGGTCACTGTTTGCACCTCTGGGCCCTGGGATGGGTCTGGCTTAGCAAGTGATTGAACAGAGCTTGGCTCTGTGTGTTCGGATGGGCACCTGCGCTTGTTCACAGCTGCTCCCAGGCTCTCCCTGTCCTGCCTGGGTGTCCCTGTGTCTCTGGAGTGTCTAGGAAATCTAGCAGTCCCCTTGAGGGCCCAGCACCTCTTTGTTGGCCTGCATGTCCCAGCCTGTGCATCCATGGCCAGCTAGAGCCACCACCACCTTTTCCTAGTCAACCTGGGTCCTGGAGGCAGGGGAGATGCGGGGATAATGTCCTGGCCTCCCTGAGCCCAACCCCAGTAGGTGGGGAGTGCTCATGACCCCGGGGGGAGTACAGGGCGTTTGCCCTTGACTTGCCTGACCCTCTAAAACCTCACATGTTCCCTGGAGGTGGGTGCAGCTTTCTCCTACTCTGGCCTTGCTGGCCTGGGAAGAGTGTCCTTGGTCCCCCGAGCCCTCACAGCGTTTTCTCTTCTACTGAGGTTTCAGGAACTGCCTTTCCCCTCTGGGAAGGAGGACAGGCACCTTTTCAGGTTTGATTCTCCTCAGAGTTTTGTATCTCGGCTGGGGCGGAAGCAGCCTTCGTCCACATGAGAGGCCCAGCCAGGGCGTCCTCACCAGCCCGGGCCTCCGGGGAGGTTTTGAGTCTGGGCGCTGGAGAGGCCCCTTCCTCTGCGAGAGCGAAGATGGCCGCCCCAGTGCAGGGGGCGCCTTTCTGCGCCCTTAGGGCGTCAGGATCCCCCTACGGACGGGAAGTCCCATTGGGCGTCTTTGGCCCCGCCCTCCCAGAGCCCTGCTGATGCGGAGGTGGCGCGGGGGCCCTGGACTCTGTCATGAGAGGTGGCAGCAGAGGCCAGGCAGGGCCCGGGCTCCGGGTCAAGGGAGTGTCTGGCCTGGGTGGGACTGGGTCCCATCCAGAAACTGGGATTCTAGGGTTCTGGTGCGGGTGGATCCGGGGCAGGCTCAGGACCAAGTCCCTCTTCTTCCACCTCAAGGACTCACCCAGGGGCTGGCGGGAGCTCCAGGCTCAGCAGCTGCTCCTCCTCCTCCTCCTCCTCCTCCTCCTTCTCCTCCTCCTCCTCCTCCACTCCTCCCCTCCCCTTCCCTTCCCCCTCCTCTCGCCTTTCCCCTCCCCCTTCTCCTCCTCCTTCTCCAGGTGTTTTCTCTTCTTTTATTTCTGTGAGTTGAGAAATGGCGCCGTCCTTCACATCGGTGTATTTCTACCCTAATCCCCAGTACCTTGTTGAGTAAAGCAGTCAAACTCTGCAATATATTGAAGAGCCCTCAGGAGGTCCTCAGAACATGTGCCCAAGGTAGTAAGGGTGCAGCTTCGTTTACTTCGGGCCAATTGGTCTCCATAGGTATAACATCCTGACGAGGGTATAAATCAAGTGCAACAAATGCCTGGTGTTCTATATCTAAATTGTTACAGGATTTGTTAACAGTAGACACACCTATTTTTCACACCACTTGTATTGCACTATATACTGGTATGTGTTTGGGAGAGAAAACAATGTTCTTTAAAGGAGAAGTCATATGATTCTATACTTTCATTTTGTTGTCCTTTCCCACAGAAATGGCCCTTTCCCATATAACAAATGTTATGTGCTATGGGAGTGGATATTAGGGGCTAAGTTGGGGAAAATTAGGGTTCTAAGTGGACTGAGGGCATAACCATTCCCCTTTTCTGTTTTCACAATCTGAAAAGGAGATGGGACGCCATGTGTTATCATGAGCTGAAATAGTCCACCTATTTCCCCAGGGGAGTATTTCTGTATTGTTTACAATGCCTGCCAGTTGAACCACAGAATACCTTTGAGCCTCATTTAACTTTGGTGCCTATGCTCTGAGAATACCATGTTTGAGGTCACATTTACCATCCGAAATTTTCCATATGTTTGGGGGGCCGTGTATTTTCCACAGGTGTTTGGATTGTGCCTCGGCACAGATGAGTATAGGCCATTGCTTCATAGCCACCTTAGATTGTGTTTGTAATGAAATAGACATGAGCCCCTGTTGGGTTACAGAACATGCTCATTGCCACCTTCGGGTTTGAGAGTATGTTTTTATGTTTTGTTTGGTTTCTCCTATCCATTTGATGAGTGTTGCATTATTTTTTAAAGGAGCTTCCCATCCTTTTCCATCTTCCTGGAATAACATTCCTTCTATGTGGGCTATTTTTGACAGAAAACTTTTCTCTAAGAGATGCCTCTCCTCGTTAGCTATGAACTCAGCTTACACCAATATACCTAGGCCAGCTCCAACTTTTCCAGTGAGGTCAAGTTTTAATTTCTGGGTGGCGAATTTTGCTGGATTCATCAGGATTGCTGTTGCCATTGTATACTAATGGCATTAGCACAATTTGAAACTATATGTGCAATTTATACTTGGGAGTATTGTACCAAGAGGCTTTGTCATAAGGCATCTTTATCCTATCAGTAAATATTTTCTTTTAAATCTATGAGAAGCAGAAAATTGTTTATGGTTGGGGTGGATGCAAAAGTGACACACTATAGTCTAGAAGGAAATGTCCCTTGTTTTGCCGGCTGTACCATCTTTGTACCCCTCCTTGATTTGGAGAGTTTGACATGGACCTAAGTTCATGCCTCAAAACTAGCTCTTACAATCTCATGTGCCTGCCTCTTCCAAGACAGTCCCTGAGCCTAGAGAGAGGGTGCTTGTATAGTTTTAGCAGCAGAAGATTCGCGGTGAAATACAGATCTGAACCCAGTGGGATGTCAGCTGAGGGGGATTCATATCTCTAGTCTTCAGAATACCGTAATTTTGGTTTCCTTGGAAGTAAAACAAGGAGAGGTAAATAACATTTATAGTTTCACAATCAAAAGATTATTTGTGTGTCAGAATGGAAAAAGGAACCTACTTCATTAGGGAACCAGCTAAAAATATGGAGATAAATTATGATCTGGTACTCTCTAGAGGATTATTATAGCAAAGAAATAATGATTTAATCTGCACTTAAAAAGAGTTAGGACTGAAATCTAGTACTAATCCTTAAGCTTTTCCTTTTAAACAATTGTTCTATCTGCATTTTTTTTAGAGATTATAGTAAGACCAGTTTGTGTGCCAAGTAAGTTTTAGTCTTATCATGGTTGGCCGGATTATTTGCTTAAAATGCAGCAAGAATTGATTGGCCACATAGACTCATTTTAAGTTGGCTTTGCTGGCACCTTACCTAAAAATATACCACTTTAGTTCAAGTCTCTAATTGTTTTAAAGACTCTTATTGAAACTTATGCAAACAACCATATTGTCATAAAATTAGGATCTGAATTTTGGAGAACTCAGAAAGATAATTTGCTTACAAAAACAAACTTCATCAAAATGAATTAAAGAAAAAGATTGTCTGGACCCTCCTTTAACAAGAGCAGTGGCTTTCACACAAGATGTTTGTTTATCATCTTGGAAATGTCATGCACAAGCCAAACCGCTCCTGAGAGCTGTCTATCAGGCACTATGCAATCTAGCAGCTCCTCACAGAGTTAGAATTAGTCCTAGGAATGAGGCTGCCTGCTTATTAGTATCTCCTCCTTATATCCCCATGTAGCAAGATTCTATGTAAACCATTTTTATTTTATCACGAAACTCTTTTGGGGCAACATTATTTCCACTATCATAGAAGTTGGTTCAGTTAGCATTCCATAGTAAGGTACTAAATGTCCCTGAGCTAGAAATTCCCTTGTTCTATCTTTGTCATCAGGAAGAACTCACAGTTTTTTTTTTTTTTTGCCATCAGCCCCAATAAATGTTACACAAAGGGCTATGAAGTGCAGGATTTGTCCCGACTAGCACTCCAGCTTCTACCCTATACTTTGTGGGCTTAGGCAGTCTTACTAGTTCCCATTTGGCATGTCCAATTAACATTTCTCAAAAGAGCAGATTTATATGCCTTCAGTTTTATACTACTAGAAAGGGGAAACCTCTCCCAGGTAGTAAAGGAGGTTACAACTACCTTACATAAAACCTGTTTAAACATTTTAAATTTCATAACTCTATTAACCTGTATGTTTATATGTTCTGGTCCCAGAATTTTTTTTTAATACCCCCAAATCATTTTACCTTTTCTATTGAAAAAGGGTTTGGTTTCTCAGCAGGGAGTTGCATCTATAAGACCTCTAAGGGGCAGCAAATTTGATACGACTCCTCAAACACTCTCATGATTTTGTGGGAGGAGCATCCATGTAAAAGGGGCCCTCTTAGCACCCAAATTTAACATAACCTGGGTAACAGACAGTTTGGTGGGAGCATATCCCAGTCATTATTAAGCCAGTCCAACATGGTTCACATAAGAAGCATATTAACTGCTCCATCTGGGGTGTTTCACTTGGTATTTTATTGGGAGAGTTAGGTAGTCCCCTACTCAGAGAAAACAGACTTTATGGTGGCATTTTCTGGGTATATTATGCTGATTATTCTCTTAGGAATAACCTCCTGGGTATTTGGATCACATGTTAGTGGTTGTTCAATAGTGAACTGTGGGTCCTGCATTAACCCAAACAAGCTCTTAAATCGTGTAACATTTAAAATTAAGAATCTTGTCCTTAAAGTGTTTTTTCTCAATCCATCATAGTAAGGATTTTTTAAAGAAGCTGATGATACTAAACTACAAAATGGAACAATTCTTTACAGTATACCCTCTGGTTCTAAATAGTTAGTTTTGCTCTTCCCCCACATTGATTGACTATCATTTTGGTAGCCACGGGTCTCAGAGTTAACTTTTGTTGCCCTAGCTTAATTACTCTTTTTATTTAGTTATATCCGTATAATTTTTCCTTTCATTTTAAAGCAACTCTTAAATAGTTTTCTAGCTAGAGGAAAAATATATTTTCTTTTTTAAGCAAAGTCAACATTTTTATGCTTTATAAAATTCACCAAAAACAAATTTTATGCTCTTGCTATTTTAACTTTCAGCAATCCAAATTTCCAGTGAAAAATAACCTAACCTGAGATTTTAACATGACTTGAAGCTTTTAAATTACTGGAGAGTTTTGAGATGGAATTTACCACATTAATTTTACCAAAGATTCTTAAGGTTATGAAAATTAAAAGGGCATTTGAGATAGCTTGTACCAGTCTAACAAGCAGCTACATTTCTTTAAGAAAAGTTACTTGTCTAGAGCTCTTTCATGTAGTTTGGGAGTTAAATACCACTTCCACATGACACATATAAAGATAGAGATATAACACTCATGCGGAATAAAAAGGCAGGTCCAAAGGATATTTCATTTGACTGTTTTTTTAAAAAAATTCCCTTTCTTACTTTAGATAATTAATAAAAGTTACAGGAGCCAACAAAAGGTGAAGGAGAGAGCTATCATCCATGGCCCTTTCAAAGAGGAAGAGCTGAAGTTTTGACCTATTTTATCTGAAGAATTTCAAAGAGACAGATTCTAGAATTTAAAATTTAATAACTTTTTGCATTAGTAATAAGTTAATATTTTTAATAAAAATCTTGTTTTAACCAATTATTTCAGTTTTACATTAGTGTATATTTTTAAATATCGAAGATCCATCCCTAGAAAGACTATTATAATTCCTTTTTAATGGTAGCCAACTGAATTATACAACCCCTTTAAAAAAATATATTTT
This sequence comes from Homo sapiens, assembly GCF_000001405.40. Classification (NCBI taxonomy): domain Eukaryota; kingdom Metazoa; phylum Chordata; class Mammalia; order Primates; family Hominidae; genus Homo; species Homo sapiens. Next base: position 216,819 of record NT_187570.1, read on the forward strand.
TACTAATCCTGTTATGACTTACATAGACCACTCAAAACATGTTTAGACTTTCTGTTTTTTCCTAAATATTCCTCTTTCTTGAATGACCCAGTCATTTTATTCTAGGGCAAAAATTTACTACACAAGATTCTTTCTGATATAAAATTATTTTCCTTTATCCCTTCTCTATAAAAAGGTACCACTTTAAATTTTTTTACATTTCTTTTTTTCTGGTTCTTTTTATACATAACATTTAAGTAGGCTGTCAGTTACACAAAGATATTTACATTTTAATAAGAACACTTAAAAATTTTTTATAATTTTTAAGTTTTGAATTACCTGTATACTCAATATTTATGAATAACCTTAGATCCTAAATTATATGACAAGTTTGTTTACGAGCATTTATTCCATCACATTTTCCTGATTACATTATTCAATAGTTTACCTAGATTATTGACCAAAACTGTAACAGTCCTTCTGTAAGTTATTTCCCTGTTACCCTTTTTTATAGCTGTGCATTTTAGGTGTTTACTTACATAGGAAACCTAAAGTTAAATATAAGAGTATTTTTACAAATAATTTAGGATTTCATTAAAAGAATATTCCATGTCTTTCTTGTCTAAAATTACACAAGCAAAGATCATTTTGTCTTGGTCTGGCTTTCATAATTTTATAACCCTTATGGTTAATCTTATATTATTCTGCAGGATTAAGCATGGAATTACTTGATCAATAAACACAAAACAAAAATGCTAACAATTTTTACGACATTTCTAATTTTACTTTACCCATAATTTTAAAGCCAGCTCATTTATTAAATATTTTAAGTCAAGTGACCTTAAAAAGCATTTGTGTAGTCTTTTATTTGATTAAGTATCTGATTTATGTGCTTTTATTTTTAAAGCCAATTAGAGCTCTTGTATATATTTTTAATAGTGAAACATTGTGTACACAACACATAAATACATAGATGTATTAGGCATGCCAATAGATGTACATCTTATAGATTCATAAGATCCTATTTTTTCCTGTCTTAGGTTTTCAAATTCTTGATAACCTGTTTGACTACCTTAGGTAGCTGTCAGCTAAATAGCCTTACTCTGCATATCAAAGGAAACAATTCATAGGTGAAAATCAGATAGGAAACTTACATCTGAGGAACACAGCGAAATAGTCTGTTGTGCTAGACAGAAATTAAAATGGATGTAACTGCTACATAACATAAAATTATAGAAATCATAAAAGCCTTTTAAATATATACATGCACATATTTGCACAGAAAAGAAAATCCTGTAGCTTTTGGTTGAGAACTTTAGGAATGATATGAAACTGGCTTGAAAAACGAACAAACAGACAAACAAAACCCTGTTATATCCAAACAGTGGCTTTTATCTCAGTCATAATGTAACAGCTGATATAAAGCAGGCAGAAAAGAAAAGAGAGAAAAAGAGACCTTAGGAAATCTATAACTTGCAGGTCGACCTTAGGGCTTTTTTTTTTTTTTTTTTTTTTTTTAAATGTGCACAAAGACCACGTTACTTCCATTTTACATAAAGTCTGGCTAGTAGAGTTGTCGTAAAATCTAAGAAGTGCTTGAAAGTGGGTCATTCTCCTTGTTTTCTCCTAAGTTTTAGATTTTTTTCTCACCTTTTTTTTAAGGAGGAATTGAGCTGTGGAATAGAGCTTTTGTGGAGTGGGTCAAAGGGTGCTGCTTGTAGGCAGGACTCCAGAGTGTGTCACCACTGTGTCACTCCTGCCCTCTTACATGTCTCAATTTTTCTCTCCAGAGGTCTAAGCAGCTCCTCAAGTTTTTTAAGAGAACAATACTTGCAAATATTGAAACAATATAGCCTGTTCCTGAAAAATGTAATATGTTGTACAAGATCTAGTTTTACTGATGCTGCTCTAACACTTAGAATTCCTTCTGCACTCTTTGGCATGTGGGCAGAAATTCCACCCCTTTCTTCGAGTCCCTGCCTTCTTCAAGAGTTTTTTATTTTTGCCGCACAGCCCATGTCCCCTAATTCTAACTTCCAACAAAAATATTTGTCTCCATCCATCCCTGGAGTTGTCAAAACAGGGATCTTCATGCCGGGTTTCTCAATGAGCCATTACACAGATTTAGCAGGGAAATGGGAGTAATATCAAAGACACCTTGTATAAACCATTGGATGACCCCAGCCCTCGTCTCTGCCCATGAACAGCTCCCGGGGCAGAGAGTCAGGCAGCCCTGCTCTTGTATCCCTCAGAAAACTCTTGAGATTTTGTTCCTAAAGCCTCCCAAAGAGGGAAAAGGAATTCATCTCATGACATCCCACTTTTCATTCAAGTGAGTAATTGCGTTATGACACAGAGAAGGACACAGCATTGCTCCCCTTACTATAGCCTAGCAGATAAAGCACCAGCAAACTAAAACACCCTAACTTCTCAGTCACCATGCAAGCCCTTTTATATCAAATGCAATGGACTTTTCCACAAGCAAAATGAATCTTCTGACCAGCAGGCATCCTCTGCTTTGACTCGGGCTTGGATACATATTGTGCTTCAACAAATCTCAGTACTGAATCTAAATATCAAGGAGAAGTGGTCCCAGGAAATATACTGAGAGGACTTTGAGCTTTTACCAAACTGCACAATCCCAAAATCATAGACTTTACTGAGGCCAATTAAATTGGCTAATTCATGGGTGAAAGTGAAACATCATAATGTTTACAAATCTGCCCAACTGTTTTTACGTTAAAGCCAGGGTTTATGTCAATTCCTGTGTGAGGATGAGGAGACATCAATTCAAGCCCATGACAATCTGGAAGGACAGGCAGAGACTGTGTCCAGGCAGGCCTCACATTGTTTATACTTTGACCTATTTAATTAAATATGTAATGTTCTCCAAATTTTAGATGTCATTTGCTGTAATCCTGACCCACTAAGATGTACTATTTGTGCTGTAAAATTGTATTGTATTTGACAAATGCATAGTGGCAGATCTCTGGCATTAAAGCATCACACAGAATGTTTCTCTTATTCGAGCTCCTCTTTCCTCCACATACAGGGAATCAACAGACTATTTTATACGGTCTTTGGACTTTGCTTCTTTATTTCCACCCTCTTTCATAAAAAAAAAAGAAAAAGAAAAAAGATACCGTGCTCCATTTGCATTTGATCTTCCAAAAGGAAGGTACTGATAAAACCGGAATTTCAGCGATACAGACGCAGGTCAACCGCTAAACAGTGAAGGCCAAGAGTCCCGCGCTGCAAGCCCATAGCCGGCAGAGGGCAATGGAACTCGCTTTCTGGTCGTGCGGGGCGCATGCGCATTCTGCTTGCGGAAGCGGGGCCAGATCGCCAAGGAAGAAGGGAACTTCCCTTCCTCAGGCCAGGGAGGAGGAGGCGCCGCCCTGGCTTTGGGGCAAATGGGGCTGCATCCATCTTAAGGAAAACGCTGCTGTTCACAGCCCTACCTGATGAGGAGTGAGATTCCCTGCGCGTCTCCCGGATATTTTTCTGAAACAGCACTAAAGACTTAATGTTCTGGGCTGTTCCTACGTGTTTTCTTCTGCACTGTCTGTTGGGATATATTAGCAAGAATTATTTTACAAATCTACGTATTCCTTAGGGATTTTCATTGATAACCATAGCAGGCCGTAATGTGCCTTCCTCGCAACCTCTGTCAGGATTCATTATGAGGAGAAACACAAGAAGAATTGTGAGGAAAATCTACAGAATACGGGGACCCTGCAGAGGAAGGAGTATGTGGCCGGGGCACGGCGGCGCACTGTCGCGCAGCTCGCGAGAAAGGGGCCCCTGCAGGGAAACCCCGCACTCTGCATCCCTGCATTTCCACATTGTGAGGGGCTCATCTTTCCTACAGTGCCAAATTCACTGAAAAATAGTGAGACAATGAAAGGGAGGGGCACTAATGCATCCTTTAATTGTTGCTATTAAAACGGCAAGAGCCACGTCTTTAATTTTACCCTAGCACTGCAGATTTAAAAGTGATTTTCATTACACATGCAAGGGGAAAGCTACACTTTTGTGAAAAATAGTTTCTACCCCAAATGAAAACATATTGCTTAAATATTTCTTCAAAAATAAGTTATTATTCTGTGCTGCAGGATATATCCTGAGACATTTATGCTGCAAATTTATTAATTTATCTATTAAAACATTTGGTTTATAATCAAAGCGATTATAAAGGTAGAATATGTATTTGGCACGTCCCTCATATTTTTATTCTTGTACTGGTTTGCAGTCCATAGGTTTTCAGCTAGACGTGACACACAGAAACTCACCATGAGGAGCCTTTCTCTTTCTTGACTGTAAAATATACATACTCCAGAATCATCAATAGAGGCTATTTCTTGAATATCTCAACCTGAACCCCGCAGCCAGAAAGAATGTAGGCAATTAATCCAATTTTATAACTGCAGCTGATATTCAGCTAATTACCTGCTGTTCTCCTCAGAAATTATCAAAATCCCCAAAGCAGAGAGTTCTCTGGATAAAGGCACTAATGTTCCCCTTGGAGGCTTTTAAGACATTGGCAAAATTAAAGGAATCTTCCTGTTTTCCTTTTATTCATCTAAATGATTTATCTAACTGGAGAAGAAAGCTTCAGTGCAAAAGGCATCTGCTAATTAGATTCAATTTTTTTTTAACATTTAAGGGAAACAGGGTCTATACTTCACCTAATAAAACTGATGAAATTATCAGCTAAATGCAAAGAGAATCCACAAACAAATTTATACAAGTTCTAGAGAGAGGATGAAGCCCTGAGCTCAGGGGCCTGTTAGAGATGGCACGCTCAGTAATGGTGCACCCTCACAGATTTTCCTTCTAGTTCAGTTCTAGTGATTACTGGATTACTGTTTTCCCCCAATACCATCTATTATTCTTTATACTGTCAAATAATTTTTAATCTTAAAATGACTAATTCTGAGTTCAGGCATATGGTGTCTGGCCACCTGCAAGAAGTTTAGGTGACTTTGCCAATAAGAATGATGGATTTGTAATTAATAAGTAATGTTGAAAGCAAAACTTGCATTACAATTCTGAAATTAGTCCAGCGGGGATACAGGCAAGAAATAAATTAACAGACAGATTAATACACAATGATATATTAGAAATTAAGTAAAGGTTCTTTTTGTATTTTCCCCAGCTTGTCTTATAGTATTCGCTTCTTCTGTTTGGATAACTTTCCCCAGGAGATTCATTTTAAAACTTAATTCACTTAAAATAACGTATTTTTTTTTATTTAAAAATACTGTCAGCCCTCCACATCCATAGGTTCCATATTCATGGATCCAACTAATCTTGAATAGAAAATATTCACAAAAGATTTGCACAAGTTTCTTCAAAGAAACTTTAAATTTTCCATGCATCACATTCTTTTTGAGTTCACATAAATGACGTGACGTCTGGGCATTGCATTAAGTATTGTAAGTAATCTAGAGATCATTTAAATTATATAAATTAATGTGATTATGTTATATTCAAATTCTACGCCGTTTTATACAAGGGACTTGAGTATATACAAATTGTGGCATATTTAAAGTTTCCTAGACCCAATCCTTTATGTTTACTAAGAAACGACGTACACATGAACTTTACAGAAAATAACTGTCCTACCAAATTAATGAACAGACTACAATAGAAAGTAAATATTGCTAGTTTAAAATACTGTTATTTTATGTCACAATTATATGGTGAATCAGAGTAGAGATCTTGAATTAATTTTGATTGAATTAGGCTAATTCTGACTGGGTCACACTCATATTGACTGAGTTTTGATAAAACCACTCCCATGCTGGCCCTTCATGTTGTTTAATCAGCACCACTAGCCAATCACATTCATCCATTTTGACAAATCCCATGGCTCCACCTCTTATAAGACCCTTGGAGGATTTCCCCAAGAGCTCACTCTACCAAAGCACCATTTGACCGGTCCCAGGCCAGGACACACTCTTCCATGCTCTGGCTGTGCTGTGCTAGAGGCTGATAATTTTTCTCCAGGTAGAGTAAAAGATCAAGGCACGAACTATATAGATTTACAGAAAATAGGCCAAAGATTGAGATTTTTTTGACACAAGCAAGTCCAGAGAACTTTTACCATGTATGGTTACCGGCGCTTAAGAAGCCCCAGAGATTCCCAGACAGAACCGCAGAATGACAATGAAGGAGAGACCAGGTATGTTGGAGTATGTGGCTACTTTGGGTTGCCAGGAGGTTGACATGTGACTGTGTGTGACTGTATGTGTGTGTGTGTGTGTGAATGTATGCTAAAGGGCCAAACTAGGGCAGAGAAGACACCCTGGCCTGCCATGACATTGAATGTTATAAATTTAGAACACATTGGGGAGACATGAGACCCACAGTGGAGGCCACAGGATGCAGCCAGCATGGGGGGTTTCTGCAGCCTGTCAGGGGGCTCATCTCATGTTTCTTCCCATTGTTAATCTCTGTCCTCTGGGTAAACAGAAGTTGCCTCTTGTGTGGAGACAGGTAAACTGTGGGCATGATCTAAATTTTTTCCTTGTGCTCACTAGAAAATGGAACATTTCATGTCATTTATCACTCCATTCACACTGTAACTGCATAGACACAGGGGTTAGATACCCGGAAAATCAGCATCTTCTCCTAAAGTCCTCGGGCCAAATTTGATGTCCCTCCTTCTCATGTGGATGAGCTCCTGAAAAAGCAAACTGTTTCCTGTGATCGCCATGTCTTATCACACACATGCACCGATAGGAAAAGCCTCTAGAAAAGGAGAGGGTGGGATATGAGTGTTAGGACTTTCTGGATGCAGGTAGGATTTGGAGCTGAACACAAGTGCATGTGATTTTGGGCCACAGCAGCAATGTGTGCCGGATGACTAATGAAGTTTGGGGCTTGTGAGAATTGGACTTTGTGTCACTATGTGGAAGATTGATGGGTCCCTTTCTGTCCTGCAGTTTGGCTACCACACAAATGAATCCACCCAAACGTCGCCAAGTGGAGCAGGGTCCCAGTACAGGTAAGGCACTTTCCCTAATATTTTTTAAGATTCCCATGCCTGGAAGTCAGTGTCATGTCTCATGATACCATAAATGGAGAGGGTGCTTTCTGCAGGGTGAGTGGAAAGTCGTGCTTGACTGTTGGGGGCTGGTGTCCTGAGGCTGGCCAGTGCTGGGTGGTGGATTTCTGAAGGTCACATTCTGAAATGCAAGAGACTCTTGCTGGAAGAGAGCCTTAACCTCCCTCACTGTGGTCTCTCTGCAGGTGCAAAAAAACCCTCAATTTCAGGAGCTCCACACCTGAATTCATACCAGTCCCTGGAACTTCCCCAGGTAAGTTCCTGTGTCCTTGCATAGCAAAGATTGGATAGTGCTGCACAATCTTCAGGTTCAAGGGACATCCAGTGGATGTATATTTAGGTGGATTGGCATGAGCACCAATTCTGGGAGGGAGTTTGTATTTTAAAGTTGTAAAGGGTGAAGCTCCTGGCATCTCCCTCCCCATGAGCATCATTTGCAGCCTTTTTGGAGGGCAGAATACTGAGGACTGTCTTTCCACAGAATCAGCAGGATTCTGGCACTGAGGAGCTCATGATAGTCCTGGAACAAGGGACAGAAGTGAGGTTGAGCCTGGAAGAGGTCATCCTCATCTTGGCCCCAGAGACAGTGCTGCAGCTGACCCTGGAGAACACAGTCCTTGTGATTGTCCCTGAGCATGTCCTGAGGTCAGAAGATGGCCTGCAGTCCCCTGTGCAGATCCAGTACATCATACCTTCCGTTGATGACTTCAGCTTGGAGTTCCATGCTCAAGATGGAGACATCTCAGACATGAGAAGAGAGAATGTGCCTTTTTCACCTGCAGAAGAAGGGAAGGCAGCACCCCTGTATCAGCAGCCCTTGATGATACCCCAAGCAAACCACATGGCTGGGATCAGCCCTTCTTTCCTAGTAACCCCATTGTGCATTCCACGCTGTCGGGCAGCCTTCCCCCAATGCTACCCTCTACCACCCACACCTAGTCCTGTGGGACGCCCTAGACCAGCCGACTCCAGTTTCAGCCTGCATGGTATGGAGCTCTTGTGCACCTCCTCCCTCAGACCTATGCCCCCTTCACCAAGTCCTGGTCCCCAGGTCTATCACAGGGTTCACCATAGGCCTCCCAGCAGGGCACGGAGATGTCTCTTTAGGAAGTGATTTAACCCAAGAGCCACCCCCTGCATTGATAGGTCAGAGATTGTCCAGATCCTTAGTCAGTGCATTCTCTGAAATGTGGAGAGAAAGTAATTTGACCACTTGCTTGCCCTTTGCTGTTCCCCATCATCAACCACTGTCTTCAACAGCGGAGGGTCCCAGATGCTGCAGGGAGGGGGAGAACTGCAGGGAGTTCAAATAAAACATTCACATTTCACTTCACACACACTGTCCCTTAGACTTTCTCTTCCTATTTAAGCACATACATCCAACCACACTCAATCAAATCCCTGACTGCTCCATGTGAGAGTTCTGCTTCCAGCATGACGTGGTCTGAAAGTTCATCTGAAGACAGCTGCTCACTCCCGGGGGCTAACACCGCCCCTTGCATGCTGATGTCCTTGTAGTCATTGGTCTGATGCCACAATAAATAATTCCTAAGGCTGATGCTCTATTTCTGCCCTGAGACTCTCCCCTTTTTCTCCAAGCTGTGCCCCATTCCTTGTCTTAGTCCAGGTTCCCTACACTCCCCAGGCCAATGCTTTTGAATAAATCTTGACGTCATTGAATGAAGTAGTGGTGACTGCTGTGCTTGCTTCCAACTGAGACACTCTCCTGCTCTCACTCATCACGTTTCCATTCACATTTGCCTTTGTTTAGTTTTGTTTTCCATTGTTTGGGTTTATTATTCATGTACTTATGAAATAACTGCCACATTTCTGACAGTTTTTTTGGCCAATTTGGGGCTTTTCCTGTGCTCCTCCTTCCAAGTCCTGAGTGGGGTCACTGTTTGCACCTCTGGGCCCTGGGATGGGTCTGGCTTAGCAAATGGTTGAACAGAGCTTAGCTCTGTGTGTTGGGACGGGCACCTGCACTTGCTCACAGCTGCTTCCAGGCTCTCCCTGTCCTGCCTGGACGTCTCTGTGTCTCTGGAGTGTCTAGGAAGTCTAGAAGTTCTCTTGAGGGCCCAGCACCTCTTTGTTGGCCTGCATGTCCCAGCCTGTATGTCCATGGCCAGCTAGAGCTACCACTAGCTTTTCCTGGCCAACCTGGGAGCTCAGGCCTGAGTCCTGGAGGCAGGGGAGATGCAGGGATAATGTCCTGGCCTTCTGGAGCCCAACTCCAGTAGGTGGGGAGTGCTCATGACCCTGCGGGGAGTACAGGGCGTTTGCCCTTGACTTGCCTGAGCCTCTAAAACCTCACATGTCCCCTGGAGGTGGGTGCAGCTTCCTCCTACTCTGGCCTTGCTGGCCTGGGAAGGGCGTCCTTGGTCCCTTGAACCCTCACAGCATTTTCTCTTCTACTGAGGTTTCAGGAACTGCCTTTCCCCTCTGGGAAGGAGGACAGGGACTCTTTCAGGTTTGATTCTCCTCGGGGTTTTAGACGTTGGCTGAGGTGGGAACTGCCTTCATCCACATGAAAGGCCCAGCCAGGGCATCCTCACCAGCCTGGGCCTCTGGGTAGGTTCTGAGTCTGGTCGCTGGAGAGGCCGCTTCTGTGAGCCCCAAGACAGCAGCCCCTGTGAAGGCCATTCTCCTCTGTTCCCTCAGGGTGTCAGGACCCGCCTGTGTCCAGGAAGTCCCCTCTGAGACTAGATTGTCCTTGGTGCAGCCCTCCCAGAGCCGTGCAGAGGCAGATGTGGTGCACTGGGCCTGGGCTCTGAGGAAGCAGTGGTAGCGGGGGCCAGGGAGGACCCAGGCTCTAGGGCAAGGGAGTGTCTAACCTGGGTAGAGCTGGGCCGCATTCAGGGAGTGGCACTCCAGGGTTCTGTTTCAGGTGGAGCAGGGGCCAACTCAGGATCAAGTACCTCTCCTTCCACCTCCAGGACTCACCCAGGGGCAGGCGGGAGCTCCAGGTTCTTCTCCTCCTCCTCCTCCTCCTCCTCCATGTGTTTTCTCTTGCTTTATTTCTCTGAGTCAAGAAATTGGGGCTGTCCTTCATATCGGTGAATTTTGACCCTAATCATCATGACCTTGTTGAGGAAAAGAGTCATACTCTGCAAAATATTTGGAGATATTTATTCTGAGCCAAATATGATTGACCATGTCGTGTGACCCAGCCCTCAGGAGGTTCTGAGAACGTGTGTCCAAGGTGATCAGGGTGCAGCTTGGTTTTATGCATTTTAGGGAGACATGACTTCAACTAAGTGCATTTAAGAAATACGTTGATTTGATCCAGAAAAGTGGGACAACTTGAAGGAGGGGGGCTTCCAGCTTATAGATAGATTTAAAAATTATCTGGTTGATAATTGGATGAGTTTATCTAAGACCAGGGATCTATTGAAAGGAAATGTTTAGGTTAAGATAAAGAGGTGGGGAGGCCAAGTTTTACTGTGCAGAGGAACCTTCAGATAGTAGACTTGAGAGGGAGTAGGTTGTAAAATGTTTCTTATTGGATTTAAAAGGGAGCCTGGTCTTTGTTGATTATCTCCTGTGTCTGGAAAGAAAGAAAGAAGAAAAAAAGGTGGGGAGCCTTAACCTCCCTCACTGTGGTCTCACCACAGATGCAGAAACACCCTTACTTCAAAGAATTCCTCACATGAATTCATTCCAGGCCTGGAATCACCCCAGGTAACTCCCTATGTTCATGGATAGCAAAGATTGGACTATGTTGCATAATCTCCAGGCCACAAGACACATCCAGTGGTGGTGCATTCAGCAGGGTCAGCATGACTGCCACTTCTAGGAGGAAATTTGTATTTTAAAGTTGTAGAGGGTGAAGCTGCTCCAGCTCCCTCCCCAGGAGCATCATTTGCAGTCTTTTTTGAAGGCAGTGGACTGAGGGCTGTCGTTCCACAGCAGCAGCAGAATTCCAGCACAGAGACGTTCATCATCGTGGTCCCGGAACAAGGGACAGAACTCACACTGAGACTGGAAGAGTATGTCCTCATCCTGTCCCCACAGACAGCCCTGCCCTGACCCTGGGTAACAGCGTATTTGTGGTTGTGCCTGAGCATGTCCTGAGGTCACTGGATGGCCTGCAGTTCCCTCTGCAGATCGATTACATCTAGCACTCTGTGGATGACTTCACCTTGGAGTTCCATGTTCAAGACAGAGACACCTCAGACATGAAAGAGACAATGTGCCGCGCTCACCTACAGAAGAGGGGGAGGCAGAACCCGTATGTCACCAGCCCTTGATGAGATCCGAAGAAAACCATGTTGCTTGGCTCAGCGCTTCTCTTTCAATAATCCTACTGCGCATTGCATACTTTCTCCTCTGTGCCCTACCCTTTACCAACCACACCTAGTCCAGTGGGATTCCCTAGACCAGCCAATCTCAGCTTCAGCCTGTATAGGATGGAGACTTTGCCCAACTCCTCCCTCAGACCTATGCACCCTTCACCAAGTCCAGCACTCAGGTCTGCCACAGGGTTCACCATAGTTCTCCAACCAGAGCACGAAGATGTGTTTTCAAGAAGGGATGTAGCCAAGATCCACCACTTACATTGATAGATCAGAGATTGGCCAAATCCTTAGTCAGTGCATGCCCTAAAATGTGGAGGGAGAGTAGTTCCAGGAACCTCTTGCTTCCCCTTCTCTGTTTCCCATCATGATCCATTGTGCTCACTAGCAGAGGATCCCAGATGCTGCAGGGAGACGAAGAACTGCAAGGTGTGTAAATAAAGTGCTCCCATTTCACTTGGCACACAGTGTCCCTTAGAATTTCTCTTCCATATTCAACCTCTTAAATGCAACCACACTCAATCAAATCCCTTACTCCTCAACGTGAGGGTTCTGCTTTCAGCATGCTTTCAGTGGCGTGAAAATTCACCTGAAGAACTCTGCTCACTCCCAGGGCTAACACAGCCCCTTGATTGCTGGTGTCCATGTAGTCATTGGTCTGATGTATAGATAATAATTCCTAAGCTTGACACTGTATGTATGCCCTGAGATTTTCACCATTTTCTCCGTGCTGTGACCCAGTCCTTGTCTTTGTTCAGGTTCCCCACACTCCCCAGGCCAATGCTTTTCAATAAATACTGAAATTATAGGATGAAATAGTGGTGACTGCTGTGATTGCTTCCAAGTGAGACACGCTTCTGCTCTGGCTCATCAAGTTTACATTACCACTTGCCATTCCTAAGTTTTGTTTTCAATTTTTGGTTTGTATTTCATATACCTGTACACTAAATTTCATGATTTGGGCAGCATTTTTTTTATAAAGGCAGGGCCATAACTTTGAGGAGGACAGACAAGTTTCTATCTCCTTCGTGTAGAAAAAAAAAGGCAATCACAATGCTGATTTCAAACATTTTGGATAAAACAGTAACCAGGCATGTCCGGTGTGTAGAGTGAGATGCTACTGTGTTTTGAAACACAATGGAAAGGCTCTTGATTAATGTATCTTATGAGGAGAGGCCTAAATATAAATTTAAAAAATAGTTACAGTAGTGTATCACTGCATAAGTATCTAAAAAAAGAACGACAACTGGATAACACAAGTGAGGGTCTATGTTCCCTGAACCGGAAGAGACAGGCAGGAGTCGGAATGATGAACCAGCACACTGGGGCGTTTTCTCATGTAGCCCAAGTGACCCCATGGTCTTCTCGAGCTTTGGAACCAGTCGCGTCCCCTTTGACACTGCACCCGGCTCCCAGTCTCTCAATCTTGTTGGCCCTCCGGCGATCTCCCGTTGGATGAATTGCTCCTGCTGAAACTCGAGTCCCCTTTGATTTGCGCTTCATTAATTATTCATGATTCAGGTTCGAAGGCCTGCTGACGACCCCCTGTGGCCGTTCTCTGAGCTTTCCTGTCACATCGTTTCCTTCCACACTCTTTGGTTCCTTATGGTCCTGCTCCTTCTGCTGTCAGAGGAGCAGAGAGTTGATCTTATTCATTCTGGATACGGATACTTTCTAGGTGATCTGGATAATCAAGATAACGACCCTCAACAGCGGCGGAAAGGGAGCAGCCAGTTGGTGTGTCTCAGAAAATCCCACTGAGTTCCGAGGCCTCCTAGATGTGGAATCCTGCTGAGAGTTGTTCCCAGGTCAGAGAATGGAGAGAGCCTGTGCATGATGGGATATCCCCGCCTAGATCTTTCAGTGAGTCTCTACCTCAGCAACTCTTAGGATCAGGGGGAGAACCATGGTGTCAGACATCCGGAAAGAAGACGGGATGAATGTTTTACCTCTGAAGTACATCCCAAATGTGGGAGTTAACTTCAGCTTTGCTGGGGTCTATTTGGCCAGTGAAACGCTGCCTGGTTCCTTCGCACATCCGGAAGCCACTTCACGGGGGGCCGTCGCAACTGGAACCACACACTTGGCATCGGCGGTTGAGCCAAATGGGGACTCGTGGTGCAAGCAACGCTCCCCACGTGTTAGCGTGCGTGAGATTCGGTTGGCGGAATTTTACTAGGTGCGTGTTGGTAGAGTGGGGCTGAGGTTTTCTTGCTCCTGTGGATGTATAGGAAGTCAAAGGTCCTGCCCAGCCCTGCGGTCCCCTCAGTCAACTCTGTTTCGGAGACGTAACGATTTGGATTGCCAACAAGTCAAGATATGTTCAAGCCCTTGGATGTAGGGTAAAGAAAGAGAGATCAGACTGCCACTGTGTCTATGTAGAAGGGGAAGACACAAGAGACTCCATTTTGGAAAAGACCTGTAGTTTAAACAATTGCTTTGCTGAGATGTTGATCATTTGTAGCTTTGCCGCAGCCCCTTCCTTTGACCCAACTTGGAGCTCACCAAAACCTGTGCTGTATAAAATCGAGGTTTAAGGGATCTAGGGCTGTGCAGGACGCGCCTTGTTAACCAAATGTTTACGAGCAGTATACTTGGTAGAAGTCATTGCCATTCTCTAGTCTCAATAAACCAGGGGTGCAATGCACCGTGGAAAGCCACAGGGACCTCTGCCCTTGAAAGCAGGGTATTGTCCAAGGTTTCTCCCCATGTGTCAGTCTGAAATATGGCCTCGTGGGATGGGAAAGACCTGACTGTCCCCCAGCCTGACACCCGCAATGGGTCTGTGCTGAGGTGGATTAGTCAAAGAGGAAAGCCTCTTGCAGTTCAGATGGAGGAAGGCCACTGTCTCCTGCTTGCCCCTGGGAACTGAATGTCTCCGTGTAAAGCCCGATCGTACATTTGTTCAACTCTGAGCTCGGCGAAAAGCTGCCCTGTGGCGGGAGGCGAGACATGCTGGCAGTAATGCTGCCTTGTTATTCTTTACTCCGCTGAGATATTTGTGTGGAGAGAAACATAAATCTGGCCTACGTGCACGTCCAGGCATAGTACCTTCCCTTGAACTTAATAATGATATGGATTCTTTTGCTCACGTGGTTTTTTTTTTTTTTGTTTTTTTTTTTTTGTTGACCTTCCCCTTATTATCACCCTGCTCCCCTACTACATTCCTTTGTGCTGAAATAATGAAAATCATAATCAATAAAAACTGAGGGAACTCAGAGGCCGGTGCCGGTGCAGGTCCTTGGTGTGCTGAGTGCCGGTCCCCTGGACCCACTGTTGTCTCCCTATACTTTGTCTCTGTGTCTGATTTCTTTTCTCCGTCTCTCATCCCACCCGACTAGAAACACCCACAGGTGTGGAGGGGCAGGCCACCCCTTCACTTGGAAAATCAGTTACACACAAACACGGAATGAGAGTCAAAAGACAATATGTCATCTTTTTGAGAATTTTATTCACTTCAAAACCAATTAAACACACATATGTACAAAGGCATTCCAGAGCCCAGTTTTCGAGGCTGAGGAAAGACCCCGAGAGCGCTTTGCACAGCACGCTTCCCAGCGTCCGAAACACTGTTCTCAGGGCGGGGCACAGCGGAAGGGCTGCACCTCTCAGCGTTCCCTAACTTTTCCCTTATTCAGTCATCTAGAGAGCAAATACACAGTAATTCCCCAGTTTCTTATTGACGTCCCAGCGGAAGTCTGACTCCTGCGCGTCACGCAGTTTCTGAGGCAACGAATCTCTGGCGGAAGCTTTTCCTGGCGCGTTTCGGGAGAACCACGCCAACTACAACGTCCCTCACCAGAATTCAATGAGGCAGAGTCCCTGCATCTGCTCCCTGCCTGGCCTGGGCTCCCACATCCACAGAAGCGCCACAGCCGGGGAGCTTCGGAGTCACCGCACAGAGTGTGCTCTCTGCTCTGCGCTCCTCAGTCCCACAGTCCCCTCCAAGTCACGGGAGCTGGAGGCCAAGGAGCCCCTGCCACCTGCAGTCTCACTCCAGGTCAGAATCGCTGTCCTCTGAGGAGGAGGAAACCTGAAGGTCCTCATAGAGGACGCTCGGTGGGACACGAACACAGGGAGCCTCAGACTTCTCTGACACATGAGGGCTCTGAGCGAGGAAGGCTCCCGGCTTCTCAGGAGAGTGAAATGAGGGGGCGGCCAGGAGGCTGGAGCTCCAGCGTCCGTTTTCCAGTCTCCGGAAGAGCACTCTGAGAGGCTGGGCCCCATCATGGCCGGCCGCTGGGTGATGGGACATGGTGCAGGCCTGGGCAGTAGGCAGGCAAGGTGTGCTGTGCGGAGGCTGCCGGTCGACGCTGGGCACCTGGGCCGGTGTCCTCCTGCCCATCTGGGGCGACGTACTTGGTCCAAGTTCGGTTGCGGCTGGCGGAGGTTGGAGATTCTCCGGGGCCCGCAGCTCACCTCCCTGGATGGCGCTTTCGGGGATCTGGAAGGGACCCAGTCTCGGTTCTTGGGAAGTTCAGGCAAGCCTGAATCGGAGCCTGGGCAGGTCTCTTGGCTCCTGGCCCGAAGCTGAGATTGGAGCCTAGGCCCAAGCTGTGTGTGGCGGCTGGCGGGCAGGGCTGTGAGGTCACCGCAGGACGTTTGTCTTGTGCCTGGGGTCTGACGGCCTGGAGCAGGCCGTGGGTTTTGGAGGCAGCCTGGGGAACTTCTCGGCAGCCACCCTCAGGGGCTGCTGTGTGTCGGCTTCACCACGAGGAGAGGCTCGGGGCCCTGGTGCCTGAATGCAGGCTGAGGGATGTCGGCCGCAGCCCCTGTCTGTCTTTCCTTTGGTCCAAGACTTGAGGAGGAGCTCAGGCTGGCTTTTCTGAGGGGAGACAGTGAAGCCAAGACGGAGCCCCTGCCAGACATTTCGGTAGCTGAGCGATCAGCGAGGACAGGGTCCACGCGCGGCCTCTTACTGGTTGTGTGGACCGGCATTGGCCCGCTTGCAACCTGAAAGAGAGGAAACAACACAGGTTAGAAGTTCCACGGCATGGAGCCAACGTGAAAATCAAACATATCCAAAGACAAGGTGCACACGCCATGAAATTCTTAGTACAGTATCGACAGGCGGTCCTTGGAAGTAGGGACAGATCCCTCCACCTGAGTGCTGATCAGGACAAGACACATGAAAGGTGCGCTCTCGAGCTATGTGTAGCTGATCTAAGCACACCATTGTTCAAAAGATCGCGTCTTGGGCATTAACTGGATCAAAGCGCCTCCACTCAGCCTTCCATGAAGTGGAACGGACTAATGCCCTTCCCGAGGCAGGTTGGTGGCTCAAGGGTACTCGGGACGTCTTCTCTGAACACATGCATGTTCCTGGGTTTAGCCTTCTCCACGTTTGGGGCCTCTGAGGGACTAATTTCCTCATGCCGCTAGGAACGTGTTGTTGGCAGGCTTGCCATAATTGGACAGAAAGAAAGCCACAGGAAATACGGCATCTTCAGATGCCTTCGCCTGGAATCCAATTGACCTGGAAGGATTGTGGAGTCCCTGACCCCAAGAAGGCAAGAAAGAGGGGTTCCCCGATTTCCTCCCGCAGACGGGAAGCTGAAAGGAAATCAACCAGGGTGACCTAGAGGAGAAAAGGACCAGGGGCCCGGGGTGACACTCACCCTCAGATGCTCGGAAGATTCCGTGGATCCTTTTCCATTCGGCAGCGGCTTCTCTGGAGGTTTCCCGGAAAACATGTGGAGGAGAGCGTTCCTCTGCGGGTCTTGTTGCCTGCAGAACAGAAAAAGGTCAGGCGGTGCCCCCTGGTTTTCCCCAGGAGACAGGGAGAACCCCGTCTGGGGCCCAGCCCCATTCCGTGTTTTGTGATACAGAAATGGACATCTGGTGCCCTTTCCGCCTCTGCACCTTCCCTCACGTGCCAACCTTCCCATCCTCCAGGTGGCCCTCTAGGCTTCCCGACTAAGGACTGTGATTTGGATTCCATCGCTTTTCCCGCTGTCGTGGGGAACCTGCACGAAGCGCCCCCGCCTCTCCCCGTCCCTGAATCTCCCAGAGCCCAAGGAGCTCCTGGGTGTGGAACCCCGGAGGACACGGAGCTCCGGCCTATTTCTCTGCAGCGCTCCTTCCCTGGCCCGGAGACGGAAAGGCACACGGTGTGCAGGTGCAGAGACACCATCTCCTTAGAGGCAGCACCCTAAGAGTGGTGAAAACCCCTCCCACTGCTCACCTTGGTCTCTCTTCCTTCTCTCCCTTATCCTTGTTCAAGGGCCCCGGGTTGGCTTCAGCCCGGGGCTTCCATGGTTTCAGGTTTTCCTTCCCTTCCTTTTTCCCCAAGGTCGCTGGAACCAGGGCTGCCTTCCAGCACTTCATGGGGCACCTGGTACTTCTGGCCGTGTGGCCAAAGGCCCCGCAGTTTTTGCACTTGAGCTGTGGGTGGAAAGGAAGTGATGTCAGTGAGTGAGCTGAAGCCACAGGCAGCGATCCCACGTCAACATTGGGACGGATTGTGAATTCAGAGCTGAATAAGGATTCCGAAGAGGGGACACCGGCATGGGGGCCGTTAAGTGCTGGGAGAGTTCGGATACGATGTTCCCTCGCAAAGCCCTTGTGACGGAGTAACTCTGAAAGGAAGGACTCAAGGTTCCAAGGGGCACGATGGTGAAGCCGATGTCAACAACGCAGCCAAACGTGGCTACACAGGACTCGAAGTAGAAAGGGAGGTTGCCCCCAAGAGTCTCTCAAGGGACCTATCGGGCCGGGGAGAAGGTCCCAAGCCACGCCCACCTTGGATGGGAAAAGCAACCTGGCTGGTGGTGACAGAACTCTTTGGAATCCAACCCAGTCTCTGAGGACCGTGGGACACCGCCTCCCCCCGTCCCCACCCCCACCCCGATACCCAAGAGATCCAGGGCTAGACTTACCCTGGGATCTTCTTCATCGGGCGGGGGAGACCTTGGCCCAACTGGGGCCCTCCGCTGCTTCTGGAGGGTCTGGGCTCTCACCAGTCTCTTGGCCCAAGATTTGGGGTCCCGACGTGCCATCATCTTCGTCTCCTGGGGGTTTTATGACCGCCTTTTTCAGGGGTGGACTGTTGGGCCACCTGAAACACACACAAACACACACATGTCGATGGTTAAGCACGTTGGATATTCACACACCCACAGGAAGCCACCTGCTAACTCCCTGCCTGTGTGGTCATGAGGAGACCTCACCACCAGTCGGTCAAATCTGTAGAACACAATGTGCTGTGCGCATCCTCGGATATTGTGTGTTCCTCTGCCATGACTACCTAGTCCAAGAGTAAACCCCACCTGCCACAGGGCCCGTGGCCTAGGTATGGGGGGTTGAGCTTTCAACCCCAAACAAACAACTGATTCTGGAGACTGGACTTAGGTCTCTCACGATTCACTCCGGTAGAAGACACGGTGATTCTATCTCCCTTGACGGACAGAATGATCGAAGACACAGGGCATGGCGTGTGCCACCCTTTGGCAGGTCTGCTTGAAGTCACGGATAAGGGATGCTTCCTGTGATAACTTGAATCGCTACTCTTGCCATTTCATTAGGCAACTTCCAAACACAAATTCATACAGAGAAGTTACCTTCCTCTCTACCGCACTAGCAGGTGATGGTCTTTCCTGTTCTATCTTTTGGCTTTAGCTCCAGCCCCTCTTTATTTATTTTCCTGGTATTTTACGCACACCACACGAATTCATCTGAACAAACGGGGAAGAAGTGCCGTATCGTATCGACGTCTTACACGGCTGAAGGGCAAACCCCCCTTTTTTCCAAAGTCCTTTTTCCATTTACCCACCAATTCAGCATGCTGCAGTACATTTCTTTTCGCATTCCCATCTTGGTCTTCTCCCACACGTGGAGACGGATATGTTGTCTCGTTTTCTGTTCCAAGAATTACTAGTAACGAGAACACATCCTACCCCACCAGCAAGCCCCAGTGTGATCGGTTTCTTTCGGCCTCCTTTGTCTCTTCCTCCCCCCGCCCCCCCCCCGCCAAAACCACTCAGGGATTGCGTGAAACAAACAATTGTTCAGCGAAACTAACCTGAAATTACACGTCTACTTTCTTTCCCAGGCTGGCGCTGAGATGGGCAGGTGCTGCAGCAGCCCGGCTGGAAGCGATGCAGCATCCAGGACGACGGAGGAAGGGGCAGAGAGGGACCTCCGCTTTCCAGGCTGCCTTTTATACTGCCTCTGGTCACCTGACATGGAACGTACCCTAACCTAATCAGTTACCTGTACCTTAATTGCAATTAACTTAATCCAATTACATGACCTGGAAAGGTCTATCTGCACAGCCCACTCTAAGATCCTGTCCACTGCTGACAGACATTCTAAAACCTACTTGTACAGCTGCAAGCTTTGAACAATAGATGTTCCCCGTCAGACATGTAACACTGGTGCCTGTACCCGTCTTCTTTTCCATCTTTTTTGTCGTTTAGTTTTGTTTTGTTTTAAAAAATGTGGTAAAATAGACACCTTTTAATTGGACCACATTTTGTCTATCTCGACGTAGGCCTCAGTGTCATCAAGGAGACTCTCCTTGACGTGCAGTCACGGCCATGATCCATCTTCAGAGCTTCTCTTTCTTCCCCAAGGTAAGTCTGTCAGCAGAGAACCCTGACCGCACCCTCATGTGTTTTCTCCCCCAGGAGGCGCTTGGAAACCACCGTGAATTGGACCGCACTGGGAAACACAGATGAGGAAAGTCAACAACGCTTTGTCCTTCAGTGCCTGGCTCCTTTTTCAGCTCCTCTTGCGACTCCAGGCATTATGCCTGAAAAGTCTCCCGGACGCCTGTGAGGCTCTAATTCCCTGGGTCCCATTGCCATGTCTCTGGATTTGCGAAGATCCACCGCACCTTCTGTGGAACTCCCGTGTCGGTGAACTTTAGTGCCACGGCCCCTAATTCTGCCCATGGTCATCCGCACCTGCACGACTTAGGGTCCATGTTCCTTGGACGGGAAGAGACAGGCAGGAGTCGGAATGATGAACCAGCACACTGGGGCATTTTCTCATGTAGCCCAAGTGACCCCATGGTCTTCTCGAGCTTTGGAACCAGTCGCGTCCCCTTTGACACTGCACCCGGCTCCCAGTCTCTCAATCTTGTTGGCCCTCCGGCGATCTCCCGTTGGATGAATTGCTCCTGCTGAAACTCGAGTCCCCTTTGATTTGCGCTTCATTAATTATTCATGATTCAGGTTGGAAGGCCTGCTGACGACCCCCTGTGGCCGTTCTCTGAGCTTTCCTGTCACATCGTTTCCTTCCACGCTCTTTGGTTCCTTATGGTCCTGCTCCTTCTGCTGTCAGAGGAGCAGAGAGTTGATCTTATTCATTCTGGATACGGATACTTTCTAGTTGATCTGGATAATCAAGATAACGACCCACAACAGCGGCGGAGAGGGAGCAGCCAGTTGGTGTGTCTCAGAAAATCCCACTGAGTTCCGAGGCCTCCTAGATGTGGAATCCTGCTGAGAGTTGTTCCCAGGTCAGAGAATGGAGAGAGCCTGTGCATGATGGGATATCCCCGCCTAGATCTTTCAGTGAGTCTCTGCCTCAGCTACTCTTAGGATCAGGGGGAGAACCATGGTGTCAGACATCCAGAAAGAAGACGGGATGAATGTTTTACCTCTGAGGTACATCCCAAATGTGGGAGTTAACTTCAGCTTTGCTGGGGTCTATTTGGCCAGTGAAACGCTGCCTGGTTCATTCGCACATCCGGAAGCCACTTCACGGGGGGCCGTCGCAACTGGAACCACACACTTGGCATCGGCGGTTGAGCCAAATGGGGACTCGTGGTGCAAGCAACGCTCCCCACGTGTTAGCGTGCGTGAGATGCGGTTGGCGGAATTTTACTAGGTGCGTGTTGGTAGAGTGGGGCTGAGGTTTTCTTGCTCCTGTGGATGTATAGGAAGTCAAAGGTCCTGCCCAGCCCTGCGGTCCCCTCAGTCAACTCTGTTTCGGAGACGTAACGATTTGGATTGCCAACAAGTCAAGAAATGTTCAAGCCCTTGGATGTAGGGTAAAGAAAGAGAGATCAGACTGTCACTGTGTCTATGTAGAAGGGGAAGACATAAGAGACTCCATTTTGAAAAAGACCTGTAGTTTAAACAATTGCTTTGCTGAGATGTTGATCATTTGTAGCTTTGCCGCAGCCCCTTCCTTTGACCCAACTTGGAGCTCACAAAAACCTGTGTTGTATAAAATCGAGGTTTAAGGGATCTAGGGCTGTGCAGGACGCGCCTTGTTAACCAAATGTTTACGAGCAGTATCCTTGGTAGGAGTCATTGCCATTCCCTAGTCTCAATAAACCAGGGGCGCAATGCACCGTGGAAAGCCACAGGGACCTCTGCCCTTGAAAGCAGGGTATTGTCCAAGGTTTCTCCCCATGTGACAGTCTGAAATATGGCCTCGTGGGATGGGAAAGTCCTGAATGTCCCCCAGCCTGACACCCGCAATGGGTCTGTGCTGAGGTGGATTAGTCAAAGAGGAACGCCTCTTGCAATTCAGATGGAGGAAGGCCACTGTCTCCTGCTTGCCCCTGGGAACTGAATGTCTCGGTGTAAAGCCCGATCGTACATTTGTTCAACTCTGAGCTCGGCGAAAAGCTGCCCTGTGGCGGGAGGCGAGACATGCTGGCAGTAATGCTGCCTTGTTATTCTTTACTCCGCTGAGATATTTGTGTGGAGAGAAACATAAATCTGGCCTACGTGCACGTCCAGGCATAGTACCTTCCCTTGAACTTAATAATGATATGGATTCTTTTGCTCACGTGTTTGTTTTTTGTTGTTGTTGTTGACCTTCCCCTTATTATCACCCTGCTCCCCTACTGCATTCCTTTGTGCTGAAATAATGAAAATCATAATCAATAAAAACTGAGGGAACTCAGAGGCCGGTGCCGGTGCAGGTCCTAGGTGTGCTGAGTGCCTGTCCCCTGGACCCACTGTTGTCTCCCTATACTTTGTCTCTGTGTCTGATTTCTTTTCTCCGTCTCTCATCCCACCCGACTAGAAACACCCACAGGTGTGGAGGGGCGGGCCACCCCTTCACTTGGAAAATCAGTTACACACAAACACGGAATGAGAGTCAAAAGACAATATGTCATCTTTTTGAGAATTTTATTCACTTCAAAACACATTAAACACACATATGTACAAAGGCATTCCAGAGCCCAGTTTTCGAGGCTGAGGAAAGACCCCGAGAGCGCTTCGCACAGCACGCTTCCCAGCGTCCGAAACACTGCTCTCAGGGCGGGGCACAGCGGAAGGGCTGCACCTCTCAGGGTTCCCTAACTTTTCCCTTATTCAGTCATCTAGACAGCAAATACACAGTAATTCCCCAGTTTCCTATTGACGTCCCAGCGGAAGTCTGACTCCTGCGCGTCACGCAGTTTCTGAGGCAACGAATCTCTGGCACGGAAGCTTTTCCTGGCGCGTTTCGGGAGAACCACGCCAACTACAACGTCCCTCACCAGAATTCAATGAGGCAGAGTCCCTGCATCTGCTCCCTGCCTGGCCTGGGCTCCCACATCCACAGAAGCGCCACAGCCGGGGAGCTTCGGAGTCACCGCACAGAGTGTGCTCTCTGCTCTGCGCTCCTCAGTCCCACAGTCCCCTCCAAGTCACGGGAGCTGGAGGCCAAGGAGCCCCTGCCACCTGCAGTCTCACTCCAGGTCAGAATCGCTGTCCTCTGAGGAGGAGGAAACCTGAAGGTCCTCATAGAGGACGCTCGGTGGGACACGAACACAGGGAGCCTCAGACTTCTCTGACACATGAGGGCTCTGAGCGAGGAAGGCTCCCGGCTTCTCAGGAGAGTGAAATGAGGGGGCGGCCAGGAGGCTGGAGCTCCAGCGTCCGTTTTCCAGTCTCCGGAAGAGCACTCTGAGAGGCTGGGCCCCATCATGGCCGGCCGCTGGGTGATGGGACATGGTGCAGGCCTGGGCAGTAGGCAGGCAAGGTGTGCTGTGCGGAGGCTGCCGGTCGACGCTGGGCACCTGGGCCGGTGTCCTCCTGCCCATCTGGGGCGACGTACTTGGTCCAAGTTCGGTTGCGGCTGGCGGAGGTTGGAGATTCTCCGGGGCCCGCAGCTCACCTCCCTGGATGGCGCTTTCGGGGATCTGGAAGGGACCCAGTCTCGGTTTCTTGGGGAAGTTCAGGCAAGCCTGAATCGGAGCCTGGGCAGGTCTCTTGGCTCCTGGCCCGAAGCTGAGATTGGAGCCTAGGCCCAAGCTGTGTGTGGCGGCTGGCGGGCAGGGCTGTGAGGTCACCGCAGGACGTTTGTCTTGTGCCTGGGGTCTGACGGCCTGGAGCAGGCCGTGGGTTTTGGAGGCAGCCTGGGGAACTTCTCGGCAGCCACCCTCAGGGCTGCTGTGTGTCGGCTTCACCACGAGGAGAGGCTCGGGGCCCTGGTGCCTGAATGCAGGCTGAGGGATGTCGGCCGCAGCCCCTGTCTGTCTTTCCTTTGGTCCAAGACTTGAGGAGGAGCTCAGGCTGGCTTTTCTGAGGGGAGACAGTGAAGCCAAGACGGAGCCCCTGCCAGACATTTCGGTAGCTGAGCGATCAGCGAGGACAGGGTCCACGCGCGGCCTCTTACTGGTTGTGTGGACCGGCATTGGCCCGCTTGCAACCTGAAAGAGAGGAAACAACACAGGTTAGAAGTTCCACGGCATGGAGCCAACGTGAAAATCAAACATATCCAAAGACAAGGTGCACACGCCATGAAATTCTTAGTACAGTATCGACAGGCGGTCCTTGGAAGTAGGGACAGATCCCTCCACCTGAGTGCTGATCAGGACAAGACACATGAAAGGTGCGCTCTCGAGCTATGTGTAGCTGATCTAAGCACACCATTGTTCAAAAGATCGCGTCTTGGGCATTAACTGGATCAAAGCGCCTCCACTCAGCCTTCCATGAAGTGGAACGGACTAATGCCCTTCCCGAGGCAGGTTGGTGGCTCAAGGGTACTCGGGACGTCTTCTCTGAACACATGC
Organism: Homo sapiens; assembly: GCF_000001405.40. Lineage (NCBI taxonomy): Eukaryota > Metazoa > Chordata > Mammalia > Primates > Hominidae > Homo > Homo sapiens. Next base: position 241,129 of record NT_187570.1, read on the forward strand.
ATGTTCCTGGGTTTAGCCTTCTCCACGTTTGGGGCCTCTGAGGGACTAATTTCCTCATGCCGCTAGGAACGTGTTGTTGGCAGGCTTGCCATAATTGGACAGAAAGAAAGCCACAGGAAATACGGCATCTTCAGATGCCTTCGCCTGGAATCCAATTGACCTGGAAGGATTGTGGAGTCCCTGACCCCAAGAAGGCAAGAAAGAGGGGTTCCCCGATTTCCTCCCGCAGACGGGAAGCTGAAAGGAAATCAACCAGGGTGACCTAGAGGAGAAAAGGACCAGGGGCCCGGGGTGACACTCACCCTCAGATGCTCGGAAGATTCCGTGGATCCTTTTCCATTCGGCAGCGGCTTCTCTGGAGGTTTCCCGGAAAACATGTGGAGGAGAGCGTTCCTCTGCGGGTCTTGTTGCCTGCAGAACAGAAAAAGGTCAGGCGGTGCCCCCTGGTTTTCCCCAGGAGACAGGGAGAACCCCGTCTGGGGCCCAGCCCCATTCCGTGTTTTGTGATACAGAAATGGACATCTGGTGCCCTTTCCGCCTCTGCACCTTCCCTCACGTGCCAACCTTCCCATCCTCCAGGTGGCCCTCTAGGCTTCCCGACTAAGGACTGTGATTTGGATTCCATCGCTTTTCCCGCTGTCGTGGGGAACCTGCACGAAGCGCCCCCGCCTCTCCCCGTCCCTGAATCTCCCAGAGCCCAAGGAGCTCCTGGGTGTGGAACCCCGGAGGACACGGAGCTCCGGCCTATTTCTCTGCAGCGCTCCTTCCCTGGCCCGGAGACGGAAAGGCACACGGTGTGCAGGTGCAGAGACACCATCTCCTTAGGAGGCAGCACCCTAAGAGTGGTGAAAACCCCTCCCACTGCTCACCTTGGTCTCTCTTCCTTCTCTCCCTTATCCTTGTTCAAGGGCCCCGGGTTGGCTTCAGCCCGGGGCTTCCATGGTTTCAGGTTTTCCTTCCCTTCCTTTTTCCCCAAGGTCGCTGGAACCAGGGCTGCCTTCCAGCACTTCATGGGGCACCTGGTACTTCTGGCCGTGTGGCCAAAGGCCCCGCAGTTTTTGCACTTGAGCTGTGGGTGGAAAGGAAGTGATGTCAGTGAGTGAGCTGAAGCCACAGGCAGCGATCCCACGTCAACATTGGGACGGATTGTGAATTCAGAGCTGAATAAGGATTCCGAAGAGGGGACACCGGCATGGGGGCCGTTAAGTGCTGGGAGAGTTCGGATACGATGTTCCCTCGCAAAGCCCTTGTGACGGAGTAACTCTGAAAGGAAGGACTCAAGGTTCCAAGGGGCACGATGGTGAAGCCGATGTCAACAACGCAGCCAAACGTGGCTACACAGGACTCGAAGTAGAAAGGGAGGTTGCCCCCAAGAGTCTCTCAAGGGACCTATCGGGCCGGGGAGAAGGTCCCAAGCCACGCCCACCTTGGATGGGAAAAGCAACCTGGCTGGTGGTGACAGAACTCTTTGGAATCCAACCCAGTCTCTGAGGACCGTGGGACACCGCCTCCCCCCGTTCCCCACCCCCACCCCGATACCCAAGAGATCCAGGGCTAGACTTACCCTGGGATCTTCTTCATCGGGCGGGGGAGACCTTGGCCCAACTGGGGCCCTCCGCTGCTTCTGGAGGGTCTGGGCTCTCACCAGTCTCTTGGCCCAAGATTTGGGGTCCCGACGTGCCATCATCTTCGTCTCCTGGGGGTTTTATGACCGCCTTTTTCAGGGGTGGACTGTTGGGCCACCTGAAACACACACAAACACACACATGTCGATGGTTAAGCACGTTGGATATTCACACACCCACAGGAAGCCACCTGCTAACTCCCTGCCTGTGTGGTCATGAGGAGACCTCACCACCAGTCGGTCAAATCTGTAGAACACAATGTGCTGTGCGCATCCTCGGATATTGTGTGTTCCTCTGCCATGACTACCTAGTCCAAGAGTAAACCCCACCTGCCACAGGGCCCGTGGCCTAGGTATGGGGGGTTGAGCTTTCAACCCCAAACAAACAACTGATTCTGGAGACTGGACTTAGGTCTCTCACGATTCACTCCGGTAGAAGACACGGTGATTCTATCTCCCTTGACGGACAGAATGATCGAAGACACAGGGCATGGCGTGTGCCACCCTTTGGCAGGTCTGCTTGAAGTCACGGATAAGGGATGCTTCCTGTGATAACTTGAATCGCTACTCTTGCCATTTCATTAGGCAACTTCCAAACACAAATTCATACAGAGAAGTTACCTTCCTCTCTACCGCACTAGCAGGTGATGGTCTTTCCTGTTCTATCTTTTGGCTTTAGCTCCAGCCCCTCTTTATTTATTTTCCTGGTATTTTACGCACACCACACGAATTCATCTGAACAAACGGGGAAGAAGTGCCGTATCGTATCGACGTCTTACACGGCTGAAGGGCAAACCCCCCTTTTTTCCAAAGTCCTTTTTCCATTTACCCACCAATTCAGCATGCTGCAGTACATTTCTTTTCGCATTCCCATCTTGGTCTTCTCCCACACGTGGAGACGGATATGTTGTCTCGTTTTCTGTTCCAAGAATTACTAGTAACGAGAACACATCCTACCCCACCAGCAAGCCCCAGTGTGATCGGTTTCTTTCGGCCTCCTTTGTCTCTTCCTCCCCCCGCCCCCCCCCCGCCAAAACCACTCAGGGATTGCGTGAAACAAACAATTGTTCAGCGAAACTAACCTGAAATTACACGTCTACTTTCTTTCCCAGGCTGGCGCTGAGATGGGCAGGTGCTGCAGCAGCCCGGCTGGAAGCGATGCAGCATCCAGGACGACGGAGGAAGGGGCAGAGAGGGACCTCCGCTTTCCAGGCTGCCTTTTATACTGCCTCTGGTCACCTGACATGGAACGTACCCTAACCTAATCAGTTACCTGTACCTTAATTGCAATTAACTTAATCCAATTACATGACCTGGAAAGGTCTATCTGCACAGCCCACTCTAAGATCCTGTCCACTGCTGACAGACATTCTAAAACCTACTTGTACAGCTGCAAGCTTTGAACAATAGATGTTCCCCGTCAGACATGTAACACTGGTGCCTGTACCCGTCTTCTTTTCCATCTTTTTTGTCGTTTAGTTTTGTTTTGTTTTAAAAAATGTGGTAAAATAGACACCTTTTAATTGGACCACATTTTGTCTATCTCGACGTAGGCCTCAGTGTCATCAAGGAGACTCTCCTTGACGTGCAGTCACGGCCATGATCCATCTTCAGAGCTTCTCTTTCTTCCCCAAGGTAAGTCTGTCAGCAGAGAACCCTGACCGCACCCTCATGTGTTTTCTCCCCCAGGAGGCGCTTGGAAACCACCGTGAATTGGACCGCACTGGGAAACACAGATGAGGAAAGTCAACAACGCTTTGTCCTTCAGTGCCTGGCTCCTTTTTCAGCTCCTCTTGCGACTCCAGGCATTATGCCTGAAAAGTCTCCCGGACGCCTGTGAGGCTCTAATTCCCTGGGTCCCATTGCCATGTCTCTGGATTTGCGAAGATCCACCGCACCTTCTGTGGAACTCCCGTGTCGGTGAACTTTAGTGCCACGGCCCCTAATTCTGCCCATGGTCATCCGCACCTGCACGACTTAGGGTCCATGTTCCTTGGACGGGAAGAGACAGGCAGGAGTCGGAATGATGAACCAGCACACTGGGGCATTTTCTCATGTAGCCCAAGTGACCCCATGGTCTTCTCGAGCTTTGGAACCAGTCGCGTCCCCTTTGACACTGCACCCGGCTCCCAGTCTCTCAATCTTGTTGGCCCTCCGGCGATCTCCCGTTGGATGAATTGCTCCTGCTGAAACTCGAGTCCCCTTTGATTTGCGCTTCATTAATTATTCATGATTCAGGTTGGAAGGCCTGCTGACGACCCCCTGTGGCCGTTCTCTGAGCTTTCCTGTCACATCGTTTCCTTCCACGCTCTTTGGTTCCTTATGGTCCTGCTCCTTCTGCTGTCAGAGGAGCAGAGAGTTGATCTTATTCATTCTGGATACGGATACTTTCTAGTTGATCTGGATAATCAAGATAACGACCCACAACAGCGGCGGAGAGGGAGCAGCCAGTTGGTGTGTCTCAGAAAATCCCACTGAGTTCCGAGGCCTCCTAGATGTGGAATCCTGCTGAGAGTTGTTCCCAGGTCAGAGAATGGAGAGAGCCTGTGCATGATGGGATATCCCCGCCTAGATCTTTCAGTGAGTCTCTGCCTCAGCTACTCTTAGGATCAGGGGGAGAACCATGGTGTCAGACATCCAGAAAGAAGACGGGATGAATGTTTTACCTCTGAGGTACATCCCAAATGTGGGAGTTAACTTCAGCTTTGCTGGGGTCTATTTGGCCAGTGAAACGCTGCCTGGTTCATTCGCACATCCGGAAGCCACTTCACGGGGGGCCGTCGCAACTGGAACCACACACTTGGCATCGGCGGTTGAGCCAAATGGGGACTCGTGGTGCAAGCAACGCTCCCCACGTGTTAGCGTGCGTGAGATGCGGTTGGCGGAATTTTACTAGGTGCGTGTTGGTAGAGTGGGGCTGAGGTTTTCTTGCTCCTGTGGATGTATAGGAAGTCAAAGGTCCTGCCCAGCCCTGCGGTCCCCTCAGTCAACTCTGTTTCGGAGACGTAACGATTTGGATTGCCAACAAGTCAAGAAATGTTCAAGCCCTTGGATGTAGGGTAAAGAAAGAGAGATCAGACTGTCACTGTGTCTATGTAGAAGGGGAAGACATAAGAGACTCCATTTTGAAAAAGACCTGTAGTTTAAACAATTGCTTTGCTGAGATGTTGATCATTTGTAGCTTTGCCGCAGCCCCTTCCTTTGACCCAACTTGGAGCTCACAAAAACCTGTGTTGTATAAAATCGAGGTTTAAGGGATCTAGGGCTGTGCAGGACGCGCCTTGTTAACCAAATGTTTACGAGCAGTATCCTTGGTAGGAGTCATTGCCATTCCCTAGTCTCAATAAACCAGGGGCGCAATGCACCGTGGAAAGCCACAGGGACCTCTGCCCTTGAAAGCAGGGTATTGTCCAAGGTTTCTCCCCATGTGACAGTCTGAAATATGGCCTCGTGGGATGGGAAAGTCCTGAATGTCCCCCAGCCTGACACCCGCAATGGGTCTGTGCTGAGGTGGATTAGTCAAAGAGGAACGCCTCTTGCAATTCAGATGGAGGAAGGCCACTGTCTCCTGCTTGCCCCTGGGAACTGAATGTCTCGGTGTAAAGCCCGATCGTACATTTGTTCAACTCTGAGCTCGGCGAAAAGCTGCCCTGTGGCGGGAGGCGAGACATGCTGGCAGTAATGCTGCCTTGTTATTCTTTACTCCGCTGAGATATTTGTGTGGAGAGAAACATAAATCTGGCCTACGTGCACGTCCAGGCATAGTACCTTCCCTTGAACTTAATAATGATATGGATTCTTTTGCTCACGTGTTTGTTTTTTGTTGTTGTTGTTGACCTTCCCCTTATTATCACCCTGCTCCCCTACTGCATTCCTTTGTGCTGAAATAATGAAAATCATAATCAATAAAAACTGAGGGAACTCAGAGGCCGGTGCCGGTGCAGGTCCTAGGTGTGCTGAGTGCCTGTCCCCTGGACCCACTGTTGTCTCCCTATACTTTGTCTCTGTGTCTGATTTCTTTTCTCCGTCTCTCATCCCACCCGACTAGAAACACCCACAGGTGTGGAGGGGCGGGCCACCCCTTCACTTGGAAAATCAGTTACACACAAACACGGAATGAGAGTCAAAAGACAATATGTCATCTTTTTGAGAATTTTATTCACTTCAAAACACATTAAACACACATATGTACAAAGGCATTCCAGAGCCCAGTTTTCGAGGCTGAGGAAAGACCCCGAGAGCGCTTCGCACAGCACGCTTCCCAGCGTCCGAAACACTGCTCTCAGGGCGGGGCACAGCGGAAGGGCTGCACCTCTCAGGGTTCCCTAACTTTTCCCTTATTCAGTCATCTAGACAGCAAATACACAGTAATTCCCCAGTTTCCTATTGACGTCCCAGCGGAAGTCTGACTCCTGCGCGTCACGCAGTTTCTGAGGCAACGAATCTCTGGCACGGAAGCTTTTCCTGGCGCGTTTCGGGAGAACCACGCCAACTACAACGTCCCTCACCAGAATTCAATGAGGCAGAGTCCCTGCATCTGCTCCCTGCCTGGCCTGGGCTCCCACATCCACAGAAGCGCCACAGCCGGGGAGCTTCGGAGTCACCGCACAGAGTGTGCTCTCTGCTCTGCGCTCCTCAGTCCCACAGTCCCCTCCAAGTCACGGGAGCTGGAGGCCAAGGAGCCCCTGCCACCTGCAGTCTCACTCCAGGTCAGAATCGCTGTCCTCTGAGGAGGAGGAAACCTGAAGGTCCTCATAGAGGACGCTCGGTGGGACACGAACACAGGGAGCCTCAGACTTCTCTGACACATGAGGGCTCTGAGCGAGGAAGGCTCCCGGCTTCTCAGGAGAGTGAAATGAGGGGGCGGCCAGGAGGCTGGAGCTCCAGCGTCCGTTTTCCAGTCTCCGGAAGAGCACTCTGAGAGGCTGGGCCCCATCATGGCCGGCCGCTGGGTGATGGGACATGGTGCAGGCCTGGGCAGTAGGCAGGCAAGGTGTGCTGTGCGGAGGCTGCCGGTCGACGCTGGGCACCTGGGCCGGTGTCCTCCTGCCCATCTGGGGCGACGTACTTGGTCCAAGTTCGGTTGCGGCTGGCGGAGGTTGGAGATTCTCCGGGGCCCGCAGCTCACCTCCCTGGATGGCGCTTTCGGGGATCTGGAAGGGACCCAGTCTCGGTTTCTTGGGGAAGTTCAGGCAAGCCTGAATCGGAGCCTGGGCAGGTCTCTTGGCTCCTGGCCCGAAGCTGAGATTGGAGCCTAGGCCCAAGCTGTGTGTGGCGGCTGGCGGGCAGGGCTGTGAGGTCACCGCAGGACGTTTGTCTTGTGCCTGGGGTCTGACGGCCTGGAGCAGGCCGTGGGTTTTGGAGGCAGCCTGGGGAACTTCTCGGCAGCCACCCTCAGGGCTGCTGTGTGTCGGCTTCACCACGAGGAGAGGCTCGGGGCCCTGGTGCCTGAATGCAGGCTGAGGGATGTCGGCCGCAGCCCCTGTCTGTCTTTCCTTTGGTCCAAGACTTGAGGAGGAGCTCAGGCTGGCTTTTCTGAGGGGAGACAGTGAAGCCAAGACGGAGCCCCTGCCAGACATTTCGGTAGCTGAGCGATCAGCGAGGACAGGGTCCACGCGCGGCCTCTTACTGGTTGTGTGGACCGGCATTGGCCCGCTTGCAACCTGAAAGAGAGGAAACAACACAGGTTAGAAGTTCCACGGCATGGAGCCAACGTGAAAATCAAACATATCCAAAGACAAGGTGCACACGCCATGAAATTCTTAGTACAGTATCGACAGGCGGTCCTTGGAAGTAGGGACAGATCCCTCCACCTGAGTGCTGATCAGGACAAGACACATGAAAGGTGCGCTCTCGAGCTATGTGTAGCTGATCTAAGCACACCATTGTTCAAAAGATCGCGTCTTGGGCATTAACTGGATCAAAGCGCCTCCACTCAGCCTTCCATGAAGTGGAACGGACTAATGCCCTTCCCGAGGCAGGTTGGTGGCTCAAGGGTACTCGGGACGTCTTCTCTGAACACATGCATGTTCCTGGGTTTAGCCTTCTCCACGTTTGGGGCCTCTGAGGGACTAATTTCCTCATGCCGCTAGGAACGTGTTGTTGGCAGGCTTGCCATAATTGGACAGAAAGAAAGCCACAGGAAATACGGCATCTTCAGATGCCTTCGCCTGGAATCCAATTGACCTGGAAGGATTGTGGAGTCCCTGACCCCAAGAAGGCAAGAAAGAGGGGTTCCCCGATTTCCTCCCACAGACGGGAAGCTGAAAGGAAATCAACCAGGGTGACCTAGAGGAGAAAAGGACCAGGGGCCCGGGGTGACACTCACCCTCAGATGCTCAGAAGATTCCGTGGATCCTTTTCCATTCGGCAGCGGCTTCTCTGGAGGTTTCCCGGAAAACATGTGGAGGAGAGCCTTCCTCTGCGGGTCTTGTTGCCTGCAGAACAGAAAAAGGTCAGGCGGTGCCCCCTGGTTTTCCCCAGGAGACAGGGAGAACCCCGTCTGGGGCCCAGCCCCATTCCGTGTTTTGTGATACAGAAATGGACATCTGGTGCCCTTTCCGCCTCTGCACCTTCCCTCACGTGCCAACCTTCCCATCCTCCAGGTGGCCCTCTAGGCTTCCCGACTAAGGACTGTGATTTGGATTCCATCGCTTTTCCCGCTGTCGTGGGGAACCTGCACGAAGCGCCCCCGCCTCTCCCCGTCCCTGAATCTCCCAGAGCCCAAGGAGCTCCTGGGTGTGGAACCCCGGAGGACACGGAGCTCCGGCCTATTTCTCTGCAGCGCTCCTTCCCTGGCCCGGAGACGGAAAGGCACACGGTGTGCAGGTGCAGAGACACCATCTCCTTAGGAGGCAGCACCCTAAGAGTGGTGAAACCCTCCCACTGCTCACCTTGGTCTCTCTTCCTTCTCTCCCTTATCCTTGTTTCAGGGCCCCCGGGTTGGCTTCAGCCCGGGGCTTCCATGGTTTCAGGTTTTCCTTCCCTTCCTTTTTTCCCCAGGTCGCTGGAACCAGGGCTGCCTTCCAGCACTTCATGGGGCACCTGGTACTTCTGGCCGTGTGGCCAAAGGCCCCGCAGTTTTTGCACTTGAGCTGTGGGTGGAAAGGAAGTGATGTCAGTGAGTGAGCTGAAGCCACAGGCAGCGATCCCACGTCAACATTGGGACGGATTGTGAATTCAGAGCTGAATAAGGATTCCGAAGAGGGGACACCGGCATGGGGGCCGTTAAGTGCTGGGAGAGTTCGGATACGATGTTCCCTCGCAAAGCCCTTGTGACGGAGTAACTCTGAAAGGAAGGACTCAAGGTTCCAAGGGGCACGATGGTGAAGCCGATGTCAACAACGCAGCCAAACGTGGCTACACAGGACTCGAAGTAGAAAGGGAGGTTGCCCCCAAGAGTCTCTCAAGGGACCTATCGGGCCGGGGAGAAGGTCCCAAGCCACGCCCACCTTGGATGGGAAAAGCAACCTGGCTGGTGGTGACAGAACTCTTTGGAATCCAACCCAGTCTCTGAGGACCGTGGGACACCGCCTCCCCCCGTCCCCACCCCCACCCCGATACCCAAGAGATCCAGGGCTAGACTTACCCTGGGATCTTCTTCATCGGGCGGGGGAGACCTTGGCCCAACTGGGGCCCTCCGCTGCTTCTGGAGGGTCTGGGCTCTCACCAGTCTCTTGGCCCAAGATTTGGGGTCCCGACGTGCCATCATCTTCGTCTCCTGGGGGTTTTATGACCGCCTTTTTCAGGGGTGGACTGTTGGGCCACCTGAAACACACACAAACACACACATGTCGATGGTTAAGCACGTTGGATATTCACACACCCACAGGAAGCCACCTGCTAACTCCCTGCCTGTGTGGTCATGAGGAGACCTCACCACCAGTCGGTCAAATCTGTAGAACACAATGTGCTGTGCGCATCCTCGGATATTGTGTGTTCCTCTGCCATGACTACCTAGTCCAAGAGTAAACCCCACCTGCCACAGGGCCCGTGGCCTAGGTATGGGGGGTTGAGCTTTCAACCCCAAACAAACAACTGATTCTGGAGACTGGACTTAGGTCTCTCACGATTCACTCCGGTAGAAGACACGGTGATTCTATCTCCCTTGACGGACAGAATGATCGAAGACACAGGGCATGGCGTGTGCCACCCTTTGGCAGGTCTGCTTGAAGTCACGGATAAGGGATGCTTCCTGTGACAACTTGAATCGCTACTCTTGCCATTTCATTAGGCAACTTCCAAACACAAATTCATACAGAGAAGTTACCTTCCTCTCTACCGCACTAGCAGGTGATGGTCTTTCCTGTTCTATCTTTTGGCTTTAGCTCCAGCCCCTCTTTATTTATTTTCCTGGTATTTTACGCACACCACACGAATTCATCTGAACAAACGGGGGAAGAAGTGCCGTATCGTATCGACGTCTTACACGGCTGAAGGGCAAAACCCCCTTTTTTCCAAAGTCCTTTTTCCATTTACCCACCAATTCAGCATGCTGCAGTACATTTCTTTTCGCATTCCCATCTTGGTCTTCTCCCACACGTGGAGACGGATATGTTTTCTCGTTTTCTGTTCCAAGAATTACTAGTAACGAGAACACATCCTACCCCACCACCAAGCCCCAGTGTGATCGGTTTCTTTCCTCCTTTGTCTCTTCCTCCCCCCGCCCCCCCCCCGCCAAAACCACTCAGGGATTGCGTGAAACAAACAATTGTTCAGCGAAACTAACCTGAAATTACACGTCTACTTTCTTTCCCAGGCTGGCGCTGAGATGGGCAGGTGCTGCAGCAGCCCGGCTGGAAGCGATGCAGCATCCAGGACGACGGAGGAAGGGGCAGAGAGGGACCTCCGCTTTCCAGGCTGCCTTTTATACTGCCTCTGGTCACCTGACATGGAACGTACCCTAACCTAATCAGTTACCTGTACCTTAATTGCAATTAACTTAATCCAATTACATGACCTGGAAAGGTCTATCTGCACAGCCCACTCTAAGATCATGTCCACTGCTGACAGACATTCTAAAACCTACTTGTACAGCTGCAAGCTTTGAACAATAGATGTTCCCCGTCAGACATGTAACACTGGTGCCTGTACCCGTCTTCTTTTCCATCTTTTTTGTCGTTTAGTTTTGTTTTGTTTTAAAAAATGTGGTAAAATAGACACCTTTTAATTGGACCACATTTTGTCTATCTCGACGTAGGCCTCAGTGTCATCAAGGAGACTCTCCTTGACATGCAGTCACGGCCATGATCCATCTTCAGAGCTTCTCTTTCTTCCCCAAGGTAAGTCTGTCAGCAGAGAACCCTGACCGCACCCTCATGTGTTTTCTCCCCCAGGAGGCGCTTGGAAACCACCGTGAATTGGACCGCACTGGGAAACACAGATGAGGAAAGTCAACAACGCTTTGTCCTTCAGTGCCTGGCTCCTTTTTCAGCTCCTCTTGCGACTCCAGGCATTATGCCTGAAAAGTCTCCCGGACGCCTGTGAGGCTCTAATTCCCTGGGTCCCATTGCCATGTCTCTGGATTTGCGAAGATCCACCGCACCTTCTGTGGAACTCCCGTGTCGGTGAACTTTAGTGCCACGGCCCCTAATTCTGCCCATGGTCATCCGCACCTGCACGACTTAGGGTCCATGTTCCTTGGACGGGAAGAGACAGGCAGGAGTCGGAATGATGAACCAGCACACTGGGGCGTTTTCTCATGTAGCCCAAGTGACCCCATGGTCTTCTCGAGCTTTGGAACCAGTCGCGTCCCCTTTGACACTGCACCCGGCTCCCAGTCTCTCAATCTTGTTGGCCCTCCGGCGATCTCCCGTTGGATGAATTGCTCCTGCTGAAACTCGAGTCCCCTTTGATTTGCGCTTCATTAATTATTCATGATTCAGGTTGGAAGGCCTGCTGACGACCCCCTGTGGCCGTTCTCTGAGCTTTCCTGTCACATCGTTTCCTTCCACGCTCTTTGGTTCCTTATGGTCCTGCTCCTTCTGCTGTCAGAGGAGCAGAGAGTTGATCTTATTCATTCTGGATACGGATACTTTCTAGGTGATCTGGATAATCAAGATAACGACCCTCAACAGCGGCGGAAAGGGAGCAGCCAGTTGGTGTGTCTCAGAAAATCCCGCTGAGTTCCGAGGCCTCCTAGATGTGGAATCCTGCTGAGAGTTGGTCCCAGGTCAGAGAATGGAGAGAGCCTGTGCATGATGGGATATCCCCGCCTAGATCTTTTAGTGAGTCTCTGCCTCAGCTACTCTTAGGATCAGGGGGAGAACCATGGTGTCAGACATCCGGAAAGAAGACGGGATGAATGTTTTACCTCTGAAGTACATCCCAAATGTGGGAGTTAACTTCAGCTTTGCTGGGGTCTATTTGGCCAGTGAAACTCTGCCTGGTTCCTTCGCACATCCGGAAGCCACTTCACGGGGGGCCGTCGCAACTGGAACCACACACTTGGCATCGGCGGTTGAGCCAAATGGGGACTCGTGGTGCAAGCAACGCTCCCCACGTGTTAGCGTGCGTGAGATTCGGTTGGCGGAATTTTACTAGGTGCGTGTTGGTAGAGTGGGGCTGAGGTTTTCTTGCTCCTGTGGATGTATAGGAAGTCAAAGGTCCTGCCCAGCCCTGCGGTCCCCTCAGTCAACTCTGTTTCGGAGAGGTAACGATTTGGATTGCCAACAAATCAAGAAATGTTCAAGCCCTTGGATGTAGGGTAAAGAAAGAGAGATCGGACTGTCACTGTGTCTATGTAGAAGGGGAAGACATAAGAGACTCCATTTTGAAAAAGACCTGTACTTTAAACAATTGCTTCACTGAGATGTTGATCATTTGTAGCTTTGCCGCAGCCCCTTCCTTTGACCCAACTTGGAGCTCACAAAAACCTGTGTTGTATAAAATCGAGGTTTAAGGGATCTAGGGCTGTGCAGGACGCGCCTTGTTAACCAAATGTTTACGAGCAGTATACTTGGTAGAAGTCATTGCCATTCTCTAGTCTCAATAAACCAGGGGCGCAATGTACCGTGGAAAGCCACAGGGACCTCTGCCCTTGAAAGCAGGGTATTGTCCAAGGTTTCTCCCCATGTGACAGTCTGAAATATGGCCTCGTGGGATGGGAAAGTCCTGAATGTCCCCCAGCCTGACACCCGCAATGGGTCTGTGCTGAGGTGGATTAGTCAAAGAGGAACGCCTCTTGCAGTTCAAATGGAGGAAGGCCACTGTCTCCTGCTTGCCCCTGGGAACTGAATGTCTCGGTGTAAAGCCCGATCGTACATTTGTTCAACTCTGAGCTCGGAGAAAAGCTGCCCTGTGGCGGGAGGTGAGACATGTTGGCAGTAATGCTGCCTTGCTTTCTTTACTCCGCTGAGATATTTGTGTGGAGAGAAACATAAATCTGGCCTACGTGCACGTCCAGGCATAGTACCTTCCCTTGAACTTAATAATGATATGGATTCTTTTGCTCACGTGTTTGTTTTTTGTTGTTGTTGTTGACCTTCCCCTTATTATCACCCTGCTCCCCTACTGCATTCCTTTGTGCTGAAATAATGAAAATCATAATCAATAAAAACAGAGGGAACTCAGAGGCCGGTGCCGGTGCAGGTCCTAGGTGTGCTGAGTGCCTGTCCCCTGGACCCACTGTTGTCTCCCTATACTTTGTCTCTGTGTCTTATTTCTTTTCTCCGTCTCTCATCCCACCCGACTAGAAACACCCACAGGTGTGGAGGGGCAGGCCACCCCTTCACTTGGAAAATCAGTTACACACAAACACGGAATGAGAGTCAAAAGACAATATGTCATCTTTTTGAGAATTTTATTCACTTCAAAACACATTAAACACACATATGTACAAAGGCATTCCAGAGCCCAGTTTCCGAGGCTGAGGAAAGACCCCGAGAGCGCTTCGCACAGCACGCTTCCCAGCGTCCGAAACACTGCTCTCAGGGCGGGGCACAGCGGAAGGGCTGCACCTCTCAGGGTTCCCTAACTTTTCCCTTATTCAGTCATCTAGACAGCAAATACACAGTAATTCCCCAGTTTCCTATTGACGTCCCAGCGGAAGTCTGACTCCTGCGCGTCACGCAGTTTCTGAGGCAACGAATCTCTGTCACGGAAGCTTTTCCTGGCGCGTTTCGGGAGAACCACGCCAACTACAACGTCCCTCACCAGAATTCAATGAGGCAGAGTCCCTGCATCTGCTCCCTGCCTGGCCTGGGCTCCCACATCCACAGAAGCGCCACAGCCGGGGAGCTTCGGAGTCACCGCACAGAGTGTGCTCTCTGCTCTGCGCTCCTCAGTCCCACAGTCCCCTCCAAGTCACGGGAACTGGAGGCCAAGGAGCCCCTGCCACCTGCAGTCTCACTCCAGGTCAGAATCGCTGTCCTCTGAGGAGGAGGAAACCTGAAGGTCCTCATAGAGGACGCTCGGTGGGACACGAACACAGGGAGCCTCAGACTTCTCTGACACATGAGGGCTCTGAGCGAGGAAGGCTCCCGGCTTCTCAGGAGAGTGAAATGAGGGGGCCGCCAGGAGGCTGGAGCTCCAGCGTCCGTTTTCCAGTCTCCGGAAGAGCACTCTGAGAGGCTGGGCCCCATCATGGCCGGCCGCTGAGTGATGGGACATGGTGCAGGCCTGGGCAGTGGGCAGGCAAGGTCTGCTGTGCGGAGGCTGCCTGTCGACGCTGGGCACCTGGGCCGGTGTCCTCCTGCCCATCTGGGGCGACGTACTTGGTCCAAGTTCGGTTGCGGCTGGCGGAGGTTGGAGATTCTCCGGGGCCCCCAGCTCACCTCCCTGGATGGCGCTTTCGGGGATCTGGAAGGGACCCAGTCTCGGTTTCTTGGGGAAGTTCAGGCAAGCCTGAATCGGAGCCTGGGCAGGTTTCTTGGCTCCTGGCCCGAAGCTGAGATTGGAGCCTAGGCCCAAGCTGTGTGTGGCGGCTGGCGGGCAGGGCTGTGGGGTCACCGCAGGACGTTTGTCTTGTGCCTGGGGTCTGGAGGCCTGGAGCAGGCCGTGGGTTTTGGAGGCAGCCTGGGGAACTTCTTGGCAGCCACCCTCGGGGCGGCTGTGTGTCGGCTTCACCTCGAGAAGAGGCTCGGGGCCCTGGTGCCTGACTGCAGGCTGAGGCATGTCGGCCGCAGCCCCAGTCTGTCTTTCCTTTGGTCCAAGACTTGAGGAGGAGCTCAGGCTGGTTTTTCTGAGGGGAGACAGTGAAGCCAAGACGGAGCCCCTGCCAGACATTTCAGTTGCGGAGCGATCAGCGAGGACAGGGTCCAAGCGCGGCCTCTTACTGGTTGTGTGGACCGGCATTGGCCCGCTTGCAACCTGAAAGAGAGGAAACAACACAGGTTAGAAGTTCCTCAGCATGGAGCCAACGTGAAAATCAAGCACATCCAAAGACAAGGTGCACACGCCATGAAATTCTTAGTACAGTATCGACAGGCGGTCCTTGGAAGTAGGGACAGACCCTCCACCTGAGTGCTGATCAGGACAAGACACATGAAAGATGCGCTCTCGAGCTATGTGTAGCTGATCTAAGCACACCATTGTTCAAAAGATCGCGTCTTGGGCATTAACTGGATCAAAGCGCCTCCACTCAGCCTTCCATGAAGTGGAACGGACTAATGCCCTTCCCAAGGCAGGTTGCTGGCTCAAGGGTACTCGGGACGTCTTCTCTGAACACATGCCTGTTCCTGGGTTTCGCCTTCTCCACGTTTGGGGCCTCTGAGGGACTAATTTCCTCATGCCGCTAGGAACGTGTTGTTGGCAGGCTTGCCATAATTGGACAGAAAGAAAGCAACAGGAAATACGGCATGTTCAGATGCCTTCGCCTGGAATCCAATTGACCTGGAAGGATCGTGGAGTCCCTGACCCCAAGAAGGCAAGAAAGAGGGGTTCCCCGATTTCCTCCCGCAGACGGGAAGCTGAAAGGAAATCAACCAGGGTGACCTAGAGGAGAAAAAGACCAGGGGCCCGGGGTGACACTCGCCCTCAGATAATCAGAAGATTCCGTGGATCCTTTTCCATTTGGCAGCGGCTTCTCTGGAGGTTTCCCGGAAAACATGTGGAGGAGAGCCTTCCTCTGCGGGTCTTGTTGCCTGCAGAACAGAAGAAGGTCAGGCCGTGCCCCCTGGTTTTCCCCAGGAGACAGGGAGAACCCCGTCTGGGGCCCAGCCCCATTCCGTGTTTTGTGATACAGAAATGGACATCTGGTGCCCTTTCCGCCTCTGCACCTTCCCTCACGTGCCAACCTTCCCATCCTCCAGGTGGCCCTCTAGGCTTCCCAACTAAGGACTGTGATTTGGATTCCATCGCTTTTCCCGCTGTCGTGGGGAACCTGCACGAAGCGCCCCCGCCTCTCCCCGTCCCTGAATCTCCCAGAGCCCAAGGAGCTCCTGGGTGTGGAACCCCGGAGGACACGGAGCTCCGGCCTATTTCTCTGCAGCGTTCCTTCCCTGGCCCGGAGACGGAAAGGCACACGGTGTGCAGGTGCAGAGACACCATGTCCTTAGGAGGCCGTACCCTAAGAGTGGTGAAAACCCCTCCCACTGCTCACCTTGGTCTCTCTTCCTTCTCTCCCTTATCCTTGTTCAAGGGCCCCGGGTTGGCTTCAGCCCGGGGCTTCCATGGTTTCAGGTTTTCCTTCCCTTCCTTTTTCCCCAAGGTCGCTGGAACCAGGGCTGCCTTCCAGCACTTCATGGGGCACCTGGTACTTCTGGCCGTGTGGCCAAAGGCCCCGCAGTTTTTGCACTTGAGCTGTGGGTGGAAAGGAAGTGATGTCAGTGAGTGAGCTGAAGCCACAGGCAGCGATCCCACGTCAACATTGGGACGGATTGTGAATTCAGAGCTGAATAAGGATTCCAAAGAGGGGACACCGGCATGGGGGCCGTTAAGTGCTGGGAGACTTCGGATACGATGTTCCCTCGCAAAGCCCATGTGACGGAGGAACTCTGAAAGGAAGGACTCAAGGTTCCAAGGGGCACGATGGTGAAGCCGATGTCAACAACGCAGCCAAACGTGGCTACACAGGACTCTAAGTAGAAAGGGAGGTTGCCCCCAAGAGTCTCTCAAGGGACCTATCGGGCC
The DNA here is from genome assembly GCF_000001405.40 of Homo sapiens. Lineage (NCBI taxonomy): Eukaryota > Metazoa > Chordata > Mammalia > Primates > Hominidae > Homo > Homo sapiens. Next base: position 257,822 of record NT_187570.1, read on the forward strand.
GGGGAGAAGGTCCCAAGCCACGCCCACCTTGGATGGGAAAAGCAACCTGGCTGGTGGTGACAGAACTCTTTGGAATCCAACCCAGTCTCTGAGGACCGTGGGACACCCCCTTCCCCCCGTCCCCACCCCCACCCCGATACCCAAGAGATCCAGGGCTAGACTTACCCTGGGATCTTCTTCATCGGGCGGGGGAGCCCTTGGCCCAACTCGGGCCCTCCGCTGCTTCTGGAGGGTCTGGGCTCTCACCAGTCTCTTGGCCCAAGATTTGGGGTCCCGACGTGCCATCATCTTCGTCTCCTGGGGGTTTTATGACCGCCTTTTTCAGGGGTGGACTGTTGGGCCACCTGAAACACACACAAACACACACATGTCGATGGTTAAGCACGTTGGATATTCACACACCCACAGGAAGCCACCTGCTAACTCCCTGCCTGTGTGGTCACGAGGAGACCTCACCACCAGTCGGTCAAATCTGTAGAACACAATGTGCTGTGCGCATCCTCGGATATTGTGTGTTCCTCTGCCATGACTACCTAGTCCAAGAGTAAACCCCACCTGCCACAGGGCCCGTGGCCTAGGTATGGGGGGTTGAGCTTTCAACCCCAAACAAACAACTGATTCTGGAGACTGGACTTAGGTCTCTCACGATTCACTCCGGTAGAAGACACGGTGATTCTATCTCCCTTGACGGACAGAATGATCGAAGACACAGGGCATGGCGTGTGCCACCCTTTGGCAGGTCTGCTTGAAGTCACGGATAAGGGATGCTTCCTGTGACAACTTGAATCGCTACTCTTGCCATTTCATTAGGCAACTTCCAAACACAAATTCATACAGAGAAGTTACCTTCCTCTCTACCGCACTAGCAGGTGATGGTCTTTCCTGTTCTATCTTTTGGCTTTAGCTCCAGCCCCTCTTTATTTATTTTCCTGGTATTTTACGCACACCACACGAATTCATCTGAACAAACGGGGAAGAAGTGCCGTATCGTATCGACGTCTTACACGGCTGAAGGGCAAAACCCCCTTTTTTCCAAAGTCCTTTTTCCATTTACCCACCAATTCAGCATGCTGCAGTACATTTCTTTTCGCATTCCCATCTTGGTCTTCTCCCACACGTGGAGACGGATATGTTTTCTCGTTTTCTGTTCCAAGAATTACTAGTAACGAGAACACATCCTACCCCACCAGCAAGCCCCAGTGTGATCGGTTTCTTTCGGCCTCCTTTGTCTCTTCCTCCCCCCGCCCCCCCCCCGCCAAAACCACTCAGGGATTGCGTGAAACAAACAATTGTTCAGCGAAACTAACCTGAAATTACACGTCTACTTTCTTTCCCAGGCTGGCGCTGAGATGGGCAGGTGCTGCAGCAGCCCGGCTGGAAGCGATGCAGCATCCAGGACGACGGAGGAAGGGGCAGAGAGGGACCTCCGCTTTCCAGGCTGCCTTTTATACTGCCTCTGGTCACCTGACATGGAACGTACCCTAACCTAATCAGTTACCTGTACCTTAATTGCAATTAACTTAATCCAATTACATGACCTGGAAAGGTCTATCTGCACAGCCCACTCTAAGATCATGTCCACTGCTGACAGACATTCTAAAACCTACTTGTACAGCTGCAAGCTTTGAACAATAGATGTTCCCCGTCAGACATGTAACACTGGTGCCTGTACCCCTGTCTTCTTTTCCATCTTTTTTGTTGTTTTGTTTTGTTTTGTTTTAAAAAATGTGGTAAAATAGACACCTTTTAATTGGACCACATTTTGTCTATCTCGACGTAGGCCTCAGTGTCATCAAGGAGACTCTCCTTGACATGCAGTCACGGCCATGATCCATCTTCAGAGCTTCTCTTTCTTCCCCAAGGTAAGTCTGTCAGCAGAGAACCCTGACCGCACCCTCATGTGTTTTCTCCCCCAGGAGGCGCTTGGAAACCACCGTAAATTGGACCACACTGGGAAACACAGATGAGGAAAGTCAACAACGCTTTGTCCTTCAGTGCCTGGCTCCTTTTTCAGCTCGTCTTGCGACTCCAGGCATTATGCCTGAAAAGTCTCCCGGACGCCTGTGAGGCTCTAATTCCCTGGGTCCCATTGCCATGTCTCTGGATTTGCGAAGATCCACCGCACCTTCTGTGGAACTCCCGTGTCGGTGAACTTTTGTGCCACGGCCCCTAATTCTGCCCATGGTCATCCACACCTGCACGACTTAGGTTCCATGTTCCTTGGACGGGAAGAGACAGGCAGGAGTCGGAATGATGAACCAGCACACTGGGGCGTTTTCTCATGTAGCCCAAGTGACCCCATGGTCTTCTCGAGCTTTGGAACCAGTCGCGTCCCCTTTGACACTGCACCCGGCTCCCAGTCACTCAATCTTGTTGGCCCTCAGGCGATCTCCCGTTGGATGAAATGCTCCTGCTGAAACTCGAGTCCCCTTTGATTTGCCTTCATTAATTATTCATGATTCAGGTTGGAAGGCCTGCTGACGACCCCCTGTGGCCGTTCTCTGAGCTTTCCTGTCACATCGTTTCCTTCCACGCTCTTTGGTTCCTTACGGTCCTGCTCCTTCTGCTGTCAGAGGAGCAGAGAGTTGATCTTATTCATTCTGGATACGGATACTTTCTAGTTGATCTGGATAATCAAGATAACGACCCTCAACAGCGGCGGAGAGGGAGCAGCCAGTTGGTGTGTCTCAGAAAATCCCGCTGAGTTCCGAGGCCTCCTAGATGTGGAATCTTACTGAGAGTTGTTCCCAGGTCAGAGAATGGAGAGAGCCTGTGCATGATGGGATATCCCCGCCTAGATCTTTTAGTGAGTCTCTGCCTCAGCTACTCTTAGGATCAGGGGGAGAACCATGGTGTCAGACATCCGGAAAGAAGACGGGATGAATGTTTTACCTCTGAAGTACATCCCAAATGTGGGAGTTAACTTCAGCTTTGCTGGGGTCTATTTGGCCAGTGAAACTCTGCCTGGTTCCTTCGCACATCCGGAAGCCACTTCACGGGGGGCCGTCGCAACTGGAACCACACACTTGGCATCGGCGGTTGAGCCAAATGGGGACTCGTGGTGCAAGCAACGCTCCCCACGTGTTAGCGTGCGTGAGATTCGGTTGGCGGAATTTTACTAGGTGTGTGTTGGTAGAGTGGGGCTGAGGTTTTCTTGCTCCTGTGGATGTATAGGAAGTCAAAGGTCCTGCCCAGCCCTGCGGTCCCCTCAGTCAACTCTGTTTTGGAGACGTAACGATTTGGATTGCCAACAAATCAAGAAATGTTCAAGCCCTTGGATGTAGGGTAAAGAAAGAGAGATCAGACTGTCACTGTGTCTATGTAGAAGGGGAAGACATAAGAGACTCCATTTTGAAAAAGACCTGTACTTTAAACAATTGCTTTACTGAGATGTTGATCATTTGTAGCTTTGCCGCAGCCCCTTCCTTTGACCCAACTTGGAGCTCACAAAAACCTGTGTTGTATAAAATCGAGGTTTAAGGGATCTAGGGCTGTGCAGGACGCGCCTTGTTAACCAAATGTTTACGAGCAGTATACTTGGTAGAAGTCATTGCCATTCTCTAGTCTCAATAAACCAGGGGCGCAATGTACCGTGGAAAGCCACAGGGACCTCTGCCCTTGAAAGCAGGGTATTGTCCAAGGTTTCTCCCCATGTGACAGTCTGAAATATGACCTCGTGGGATGGGAAAGTCCTGAATGTCCCCCAGCCTGACACCCGCAATGGGTCTGTGCTGAGGTGGATTAGTCAAAGAGGAACGCCTCTTGCAGTTCAAATGGAGGAAGGCCACTGTCTCCTGCTTGCCCCTGGGAACTGAATGTCTCGGTGTAAAGCCCGATCGTACATTTGTTCAACTCTGAGCTCGGAGAAAAGCTGCCCTGTGGCGGGAGGTGAGACATGTTGGCAGTAATGCTGCCTTGCTTTCTTTACTCCGCTGAGATATTTGTGTGGAGAGAAACATAAATCTGGCCTACATGCACGTCCAGGCATAGTACCTTCCCTTGAACTTAATAATGATATGGATTCTTTTGCTCACGTGTTTGTTTTTTGTTGTTGTTGTTGACCTTCCCCTTATTATCACCCTGCTCCCCTACTGCATTCCTTTGTGCTGAAATAATGAAAATCATAATCAATAAAAACAGAGGGAACTCAGAGGCCGGTGCCGGTGCAGGTCCTAGGTGTGCTGAGTGCCTGTCCCCTGGACCCACTGTTGTCTCCCTATACTTTGTCTCTGTGTCTTATTTCTTTTCTCCGTCTCTCATCCCACCCGACTAGAAACACCCACAGGTGTGGAGGGGCAGGCCACCCCTTCACTTGGAAAATCAGTTACACACAAACACGGAATGAGAGTCAAAAGACAATATGTCATCTTTTTGAGAATTTTATTCACTTCAAAACACATTAAACACACATATGTACAAAGGCATTCCAGAGCCCAGTTTTCGAGGCTGAGGAAAGACCCCGAGAGCGCTTCGCACAGCACGCTTACCAGCGTCCGAAACACTGCTCTCAGGGCGGGGCACAGCGGAAGGGCTGCACCTCTCAGGGTTCCCTAACTTTTCCCTTATTCAGTCATCTAGACAGCAAATACACAGTAATTCCCCAGTTTCCTATTGACGTCCCAGCGGAAGTCTGACTCCTGCGCGTCACGCAGTTTCTGAGGCAACGAATCTCTGTCACGGAAGCTTTTCCTGGCGCGTTTCGGGAGAACCACGCCAACTACAACGTCCCTCACCAGAATTCAATGAGGCAGAGTCCCTGCATCTGCTCCCTGCCTGGCCTGGGCTCCCACATCCACAGAAGCGCCACAGCCGGGGAGCTTCGGAGTCACCGCACAGAGTGTGCTCTCTGCTCTGCGCTCCTCAGTCCCACAGTCCCCTCCAAGTCACGGGAACTGGAGGCCAAGGAGCCCCTGCCACCTGCAGTCTCACTCCAGGTCAGAATCGCTGTCCTCTGAGGAGGAGGAAACCTGAAGGTCCTCATAGAGGACGCTCGGTGGGACACGAACACAGGGAGCCTCAGACTTCTCTGACACATGAGGGCTCTGAGCGAGGAAGGCTCCCGGCTTCTCAGGAGAGTGAAATGAGGGGGCCGCCAGGAGGCTGGAGCTCCAGCGTCCGTTTTCCAGTCTCCGGAAGAGCACTCTGAGAGGCTGGGCCCCATCATGGCTGGCCGCTGGGTGATGGGACATGGTGCAGGCCTGGGCAGTAGGCAGGCAAGGTCTGCTGTGCGGAGGCTGCCGGTCGACGCTGGGCACCTGGGCCGGTGTCCTCCTGCCCATCTGGGGCGACGTACTTGGTCCAAGTTCGGTTGCGGCTGGCGGAGGTTGGAGATTCTCCGGGGCCCCCAGCTCACCTCCCTGGATGGCGCTTTCGGGGATCTGGAAGGGACCCAGTCTCGGTTTCTTGGGGAAGTTCAGGCAAGCCTGAATCGGAGCCTGGGCAGGTCTCTTGGCTCCTGGCCCGAAGCTGAGATTGGAGCCTAGGCCCAAGCTGTGTGTGGCGGCTGGCGGGCAGGGCTGTGGGGTCACCGCAGGACGTTTGTCTTGTGCCTGGGGTCTGGCGGCCTGGAGCAGGCCGTGGGTTTTGGAGGCAGCCTGGGGAACTTCTCGGCAGCCACCCTCGGGGCGGCTGTGTGTCGGCTTCACCACGAGGAGAGGCTCGCGGCCCTGGTGCCTGACTGCAGGCTGAGGCATGTCGGCCGCAGCCCCAGTCTGTCTTTCCTTTGGTCCAAGACTTGAGGAGGAGCTCAGGCTGGCTTTTCTGAGGGGAGACAGTGAAGCCAAGACGGAGCCCCTGCCAGACATTTCGGTTGCGGAGCGATCAGCGAGGACAGGGTCCAAGCGCGGCCTCTTACTGGTTGTGTGGACCGGCATTGGCCCGCTTGCAACCTGAAAGAGAGGAAACAACACAGGTTAGAAGTTCCTCAGCATGGAGCCAACGTGAAAATCAAGCACATCCAAAGACAAGGTGCACACGCCATGAAATTCTTAGTACAGTATCGACAGGCGGTCCTTGGAAGTAGGGACAGACCCTCCACCTGAGTGCTGATCAGGACAAGACACATGAAAGATGCGCTCTCGAGCTATGTGTAGCTGATCTAAGCACACCATTGTTCAAAAGATCGCGTCTTGGGCATTAACTGGATCAAAGCGCCTCCACTCAGCCTTCCATGAAGTGGAACGGACTAATGCCCTTCCCAAGGCAGGTTGCTGGCTCAAGGGTACTCGGGACGTCTTCTCTGAACACATGCATGTTCCTGGGTTTCGCCTTCTCCACGTTTGGGGCCTCTGAGGGACTAATTTCCTCATGCCGCTAGGAACGTGTTGTTGGCAGGCTTGCCATAATTGGACAGAAAGAAAGCAACAGGAAATACGGCATGTTCAGATGCCTTCGCCTGGAATCCAATTGACCTGGAAGGATCGTGGAGTCCCTGACCCCAAGAAGGCAAGAAAGAGGGGTTCCCCGATTTCCTCCCGCAGACGGGAAGCTGAAAGGAAATCAACCAGGGTGACCTAGAGGAGAAAAAGACCAGGGGCCCGGGGTGACACTCGCCCTCAGATAATCAGAAGATTCCGTGGATCCTTTTCCATTCGGCAGCGGCTTCTCTGGAGGTTTCCCGGAAAACATGTGGAGGAGAGCCTTCCTCTGCGGGTCTTGTTGCCTGCAGAACAGAAGAAGGTCAGGCCGTGCCCCCTGGTTTTCCCCAGGAGACAGGGAGAACCCCGTCTGGGGCCCAGCCCCATTCCGTGTTTTGTGATACAGAAATGGACATCTGGTGCCCTTTCCGCCTCTGCACCTTCCCTCACGTGCCAACCTTCCCATCCTCCAGGTGGCCCTCTAGGCTTCCCAACTAAGGACTGTGATTTGGATTCCATCGCTTTTCCCGCTGTCGTGGGGAACCTGCACGAAGCGCCCCCGCCTCTCCCCGTCCCTGAATCTCCCAGAGCCCAAGGAGCTCCTGGGTATGGAACCCCGGAGGACACGGAGCTCCGGCCTATTTCTCTGCAGCGTTCCTTCCCTGGCCCGGAGACGGAAAGGCACACGGTGTGCAGGTGCAGAGACACCATGTCCTTAGGAGGCCGTACCCTAAGAGTGGTGAAAACCCCTCCCACTGCTCACCTTGGTCTCTCTTCCTTCTCTCCCTTATCCTTGTTCAAGGGCCCCGGGTTGGCTTCAGCCCGGGGCTTCCATGGTTTCAGGTTTTCCTTCCCTTCCTTTTTCCCCAAGGTCGCTGGAACCAGGGCTGCCTTCCAGCACTTCATGGGGCACCTGGTACTTCTGGCCGTGTGGCCAAAGGCCCCGCAGTTTTTGCACTTGAGCTGTGGGTGGAAAGGAAGTGATGTCAGTGAGTGAGCTGAAGCCACAGGCAGCGATCCCACGTCAACATTGGGACGGATTGTGAATTCAGAGCTGAATAAGGATTCCAAAGAGGGGACACCGGCATGGGGGCCGTTAAGTGCTGGGAGACTTCGGATACGATGTTCCCTCGCAAAGCCCATGTGACGGAGGAACTCTGAAAGGAAGGACTCAAGGTTCCAAGGGGCACGATGGTGAAGCCGATGTCAACAACGCAGCCAAACGTGGCTACACAGGAACCTAAGTAGAAAGGGAGGTTGCCCCCAAGAGTCTCTCAAGGGACCTATCGGGCCGGGGAGAAGGTCCCAAGCCACGCCCACCTTGGATGGGAAAAGCAACCTGGCTGGTGGTGACAGAACTCTTTGGAATCCAACCCAGTCTCTGAGGACCGTGGGACACGCCTCCCCCCGTCCCCACCCCCACCCCGATACCCAAGAGATCCAGGGCTAGACTTACCCTGGGATCTTCTTCATCGGGCGGGGGAGACCTTGGCCCAACTGGGGCCCTCCGCTGCTTCTGGAGGGTCTGGGCTCTCACCAGTCTCTTGGCCCAAGATTTGGGGTCCCGACGTGCCATCATCTTCGTCTCCTGGGGGTTTTATGACCGCCTTTTTCAGGGGTGGACTGTTGGGCCACCTGAAACACACACAAACACACACATGTCGATGGTTAAGCACGTTGGATATTCACACACCCACAGGAAGCCACCTGCTAACTCCCTGCCTGTGTGGTCATGAGGAGACCTCACCACCAGTCGGTCAAATCTGTAGAACACAATGTGCTGTGCGCATCCTCGGATATTGTGTGTTCCTCTGCCATGACTACCTAGTCCAAGAGTAAACCCCACCTGCCACAGGGCCCGTGGCCTAGGTATGGGGGGTTGAGCTTTCAACCCCAAACAAACAACTGATTCTGGAGACTGGACTTAGGTCTCTCACGATTCACTCCGGTAGAAGACACGGTGATTCTATCTCCCTTGACGGACAGAATGATCGAAGACACAGGGCATGGCGTGTGCCACCCTTTGGCAGGTCTGCTTGAAGTCACGGATAAGGGATGCTTCCTGTGACAACTTGAATCGCTACTCTTGCCATTTCATTAGGCAACTTCCAAACACAAATTCATACAGAGAAGTTACCTTCCTCTCTACCGCACTAGCAGGTGATGGTCTTTCCTGTTCTATCTTTTGGCTTTAGCTCCAGCCCCTCTTTATTTATTTTCCTGGTATTTTACGCACACCACACGAATTCATCTGAACAAACGGGGAAGAAGTGCCGTATCGTATCGACGTCTTACACGGCTGAAGGGCAAAACCCCCTTTTTTCCAAAGTCCTTTTTCCATTTACCCACCAATTCAGCATGCTGCAGTACATTTCTTTTCGCATTCCCATCTTGGTCTTCTCCCACACGTGGAGACGGATATGTTTTCTCGTTTTCTGTTCCAAGAATTACTAGTAACGAGAACACATCCTACCCCACCAGCAAGCCCCAGTGTGATCGGTTTCTTTCGGCCTCCTTTGTCTCTTCCTCCCCCACACCCCCCGCAAATACCCCTCAGGGATTGCGTGAAACAAACAATTGTTCAGCGAAACTAACCTGAAATTACACGTCTACTTTCTTTCCCAGGCTGGCGCTGAGATGGGCAGGTGCTGCAGCAGCCCGGCTGGAAGCGATGCAGCATCCAGGACGACGGAGGAAGGGGCAGAGAGGGACCTCCGCTTTCCAGGCTGCCTTTTATACTGCCTCTGGTCACCTGACATGGAACGTACCCTAACCTAATCAGTTACCTGTACCTTAATTGCAATTAACTTAATCCAATTACATGACCTGGAAAGGTCTATCTGCACAGCCCACTCTAAGATCATGTCCACTGCTGACAGACATTCTAAAACCTACTTGTACAGCTGCAAGCTTTGAACAATAGATGTTCCCCGTCAGACATGTAACACTGGTGCCTGTACCCCTGTCTTCTTTTCCATCTTTTTTGTTGTTTTGTTTTGTTTTGTTTTAAAAAATGTGGTAAAATAGACACCTTTTAATTGGACCACATTTTGTCTATCTCGACGTATGCCTCAGTGTCATCAAGGAGACTCTCCTTGACATGCAGTCACGGCCATGATCCATCTTCAGAGCTTCTCTTTCTTCCCCAAGTTAAGTCTGTCAGCAGAGAACCCTGACCGCACCCTCTTGTGTTTTCTCCCCCAGGAGGCGCTTGGAAACAACCGTGAATTGGACCGCACTGGGAAACACAGATGAGGAAAGTCAACAACGCTTTGTCCTTCAGTGCCTGGCTCCTTTTTCAGCTCGTCTTGCGACTCCAGGCATTATGCCTGAAAAGTCTCCCGGACGCCTGTGAGGCTCTAATTCCCTGGGTCCCATTGCCATGTCTCTGGATTTGCGAAGATCCACCGCACCTTCTGTGGAACTCCCGTGTCGGTGAACTTTTGTGCCACGGCCCCTAATTCTGCCCATGGTCATCCGCACCTGCACGACTTAGGGTCCATGTTCCTTGGACGGGAAGAGACAGGCAGGAGTCGGAATGATGAACCAGCACACTGGGGCGTTTTCTCATGTAGCCCAAGTGACCCCATGGTCTTCTCGAGCTTTGGAACCAGTCGCGTCCCCTTTGACACTGCACCCGGCTCCCAGTCACTCAATCTTGTTGGCCCTCCGGCGATCTCCCGTTGGATGAATTGCTCCTGCTGAAACTCGAGTCCCCTTTGATTTGCGCTCCATTAATTATTCATGATTCAGGTTGGAAGGCCTGCTGAAGACCCCCTGTGGCCGTTCTCTGAGCTTTCCTGTCACATCGTTTCCTTCCACGCTCTTTGGTTCCTTACGGTCCTGCTCCTTCTGCTGTCAGAGGAGCAGAGAGTTGATCTTATTCATTCTGGATACGGATACTTTCTAGTTGATCTGGATAATCAAGATAACGACCCTCAACAGCGGCGGAAAGGGAGCAGCCAGTTGGTGTGTCTCAGAAAATCCCGCTGAGTTCCGAGGCCTCCTAGATGTGGAATCCTGCTGAGAGTTGGTCCCAGGTCAGAGAATGGAGAGAGCCTGTGCATGATGGGATATCCCCGCCTAGATCTTTCAGTGAGTCTCTGCCTCAGCTACTCTTAGGATCAGGGGGAGAACCATGGTGTCAGACATCCGGAAAGAAGACGGGATGAATGTTTTACCTCTGAAGTACATCCCAAATGTGGGAGTTAACTTCAGCTTTGCTGGGGTCTATTTGGCCAGTGAAACTCTGCCTGGTTCCTTCGCACATCCGGAAGCCACTTCACGGGGGGCCGTCGCAACTGGAACCACACACTTGGCATCGGCGGTTGAGCCAAATGGGGACTTGTGGTGCAAGCAACGCTCCCCACGTGTTAGCGTGCGTGAGATTCGGTTGGCGGAATTTTACTAGGTGCGTGTTGGTAGAGTGGGGCTGAGGTTTTCTTGCTCCTGTGGATGTATAGGAAGTCAAAGGTCCTGCCCAGCCCTGCGGTCCCCTCAGTCAACTCTGTTTCGGAGACGTAACGATTTGGATTGCCAACAAGTCAAGAAATGTTCAAGCCCTTGGATGTAGGGTAAAGAAAGAGAGATCAGACTGTCACTGTGTCTATGTAGAAGGGGAAGACATAAGAGACTCCATTTTGAAAAAGACCTGTACTTTAAACAATTGCTTTGCTGAGATGTTGTTCATTTGTTGCCTTGCCTCATCCACTTTGCCCCAGCCCCCTTGACCCAACTTGGAGCTCAGAAAACCTGTGTTGTATAAAATCGAGGTTTAAGGGATCTAGGGCTGTGCAGGACGTGCTTTGTTAACCAAATGTTTGCGAGCAGTATACTTGGTAAAAGTCATTGCCATTCTCTAGTTTCAATAAACCAGGGGCACTATGCACCGTCGAAAGCCGCAGCGACCTCTGCCCTTGAAAGCAGGTTATTGTCCAAGGTTTCTCCCCATGTAACAGTCTGAAATATGGCCTCGTGGGATGTTAAAGACCTGACTGGCCCCCAGCCTGAGACCCGTAAAGGGTCTGTGCCGAGGTGGATTAGTCAAAGAGGAAAGCCTCTTGCAATTTAGATGGAGGACAGCCGCTGTCTCCCGCAGCCCCTCTTGCTTCCCTGGCTCTTAGGACCCCCATCGCAGGGTGTGAGGCACTCCCCCCATTTCGGGTTGTAAGAGCCAAACCCTCTTGCCCCCCTGGCTCTTAGTTTCCCCCATCGCAGCGGGGTGAGTCACGTCCTGCTATGCTTGGGGTAAGAGCCAGCCCCTCTTGCCCCCCTGGCTCTCAGGACCCCCATCGCAGTGGTGTGAGGCACGCCCCTTGATGCGGGTATTAAGAGCCTTCCCATCTTACCTCCTGGCTCTTAGGACCCCCATCGCAGGGGGTGAGGCACGCCCCGCCATGCGGAGAGTAAGAGCTAACCCCTCTTGCCCCCCTGGTTTTTAGGATCCGCGGTGGACTCACAGCCTGTTTATCATATTGTGAGTAATATCGTCTCCCGCTCTGGAGATTGTGAACTGTTTCACCCACCGGTGTTCACCCCGGCGTACAGAGGTTGTACACCCGTCTGTATTGGGAGTCATATCATCCTCTTCCTCTCTGAATATTAAGAACAGTATCACAGGGGTGTTTCTACTCCCTGGGATATCGCGTGTCATATCATCCTCTCCCACGTTGCAATTAGAAACAATATCAGTGGGGGCGTGTCCACCTTCTGTGATACTGAAAGTAATATCATCCTCTTCCCTCCAGGATCGTGGGAACAATATCCTTGGGGGTGTCCACTTTCTGCCATATGTGTAGTCATATCACCCCCTCCGCCTTGGAATATTATTAAGAACCATGTCACACGGGGGTGTACACTTCCTACGATGTTGGGAGTAATAGCATTCTCTTCTTCCATGAATGTTAGGAACAAAATCACCGGGTGGATGCACACCCAGTGCTATATTGGGAGTAATGTTATACTCCACCCCCTGGAGATTATATTCGGATCAATATCACCGGCTGGGTGTGCACCTGCTGCGATATTGTACGTAATATCATGCTCTCTCACTCCCTGAACATTAGGAACAATATCACAGGTGGGTGTACACCCACTGAGGTATTAGGGCATACTATTAGTATGAATTATTCCTTGTTTTTTATTAACATGAATATGAATGGCCGATATTAATATTAATATTAAGAAGTAATTGCTAATAAAAAGTTCTCAGATTATTAATATTAATATTAATTATTAGGAGCTAATATTACTATTTTCTAATGAATAAGATCCGTATCAGTTATTAATATCAGGCGTCATAATCATTAATATTAATCATGTATTGTTATTGTTAGTATAACTATTTAATATTAATTATCATTAGTATCGGTATTGATTTTAAAAATTATATTATGGGTTATTAATATTGATAATTATTAGTGTCAGTTAATAATTGAGATTATTAATTGCGGTAAGTCGCATTGCGCCATTCCACCCCTTCCTCGGCAGCTCGTTTACGACCCAAAACGGGGACACAAATGCCCCTGAGAGAGCAGCGGTATACTGGGATAGATGAAAATGCTCATGTAGTGGAGAGACGTGTTTTTGGGTACCAGCCCTTCACCTGCGTCGACCTTCTCAACTGGAAAAACAATACATCGCCCTATACCGAAAAGCCACAAGCCCTAATTGATTTGCTCCAAACTGTTATCCAGACCCACAACCACACCTGGACCGATTGGCACCAGTTGCTCATTTTCCTCTTTAACAGTGAAGAAAGGCAGAGAGTCCTCCAAGCAGCAACTAAGTGGCTAGAGGAACATGCACCAGCTGATTATCAAAACCCCCAATAGTATGGAAGGACCCAGTTGCCAGGAACCGACCCCCAGTTGGACCCACATGAAAGAGAGGAGATGCAAAGGCTAAACCGAGACAGGGAAGCTCTCTTGGAAGGATTAATGAGGGGAGCTCAGAAGGCCACAAACGTTAACAAGCTCTCTGAGGTCATTCAGGGAAAAGAAGAAAGTCCAGCACAATTCTACGAGAGACTGTATGAGGCCTATCATATGTATACTCCCTTTGATCCCGATAGCCCTGAAAATCAGCGCATGATTCACATGGCTTTAGTCCATCAAAGTGCAGAAGACATGAGAAGAAAACTGCAGAAACAGACTGGGCTTGCAGGGAAGAATCCATCCCAATTACTAGAAATAGCTAGCCAGGTGTTTGTAAACAGGTATGCAGTAAGCCGTAAGGAAAACGGCAAAGAGGATGGAGGTCAGTCCCGGCCACACGCCGACCTGTTTGTCAGCTGCAGCAATCAGAGGGGCCCCCGCAAAGAGGCAAGGGAAAGGGGGCCCTGGGAAAGAAACTCAGCTTGGCTGTCAGAGTTTGCAGCGTAACCAGTGTGCTGATTGTAAAGAAATAGGACAGTGGAAGAACAAATGCCCTCAGCTCAAAAGAAAAGAAGGTGACTCAGAGCCGGAGGCCCCGGACAAGGAGGAAGGGGCCCTGCTCAACCTGGCAGAAGGGTTCTTGGACTGAGGGAGACCGGGCTCAAGCATCCCCATTCTGACATCTGTTCAGAATGACAGTCAGGGGTGGAGACATTAACTTTCTTGTAGATAGCGGTGCTGAACATTCGCTAGTAACCGCCCCGGTCGTCCCCTTACCGAAAAAGACTACTGACGTCATCGGAGCCACGGGGGTTTCAGCAAAGCAAGCTTTCTGCTTGCCTTGGACTTGTCCTGTAGGAGGACATAAAGTCATTCATCAGTTTTGTTACATGCCTGACAGTCTCTTGAACTTTTCAGGAAGGGACTTGCTCAGCAAGCTGAGAGCCACTGCCTCTTTCACAGAGCATGGCTCTTTGCTGCTAAAGTTACCCGGAATGGGAGTCATTATGACGCTTATGGTCCCCCGAGAGGAGGAATGGAGACTTTTCTGAACTGACCCGGGCAAAGAGAAAAGACCAGCTCTGGCTAAGCGCTGGCCAAGAGTTCGGGCAGAAGAGAACCCTCCAGGATTGGCCAGTTAAGACTGGGGCCCAGCCGGTGAGGCAAAAACCGGACTCGGTCCCCAGAGAAGCCCTTCAAGGTATCCAGGTCCATCTCAAGCACCTAAGAACGTTTGGAATGATTGTTCCTTGTCAGTCTCCATGGAACACTCCCCTCCTGCCTGTTCCCAAGCCACGGACCAAGGACTACCGGCCGGTACAGGATTTGCGCTTGCTTCATCAAGCCACACTGACTTTACATCCAACAGTACCTAACCCGTCCACATTGTTGGGGTTGCCGCCAGCTGAGGACAGCTGGTTCACCTGCTTGGACCTAAAAGACGCTTTCCTTCCTATCAGATTAGCCCCTGAGAGGCAGAAGCTGTTTGCCTTTCAGTGGGAAGATCCGGAGTCAGGTGTCACTACTTAGTACACTTGGACCGGGCTTCCCCAAAGGTTCAAGAACTCCCCCACCATCTTCGGGGAGGCATGGGCTCGAGACCTCCAGAAGTTTCCTAGCAGAGACCTAGGATGCTTGTTGCTCCAGTAGGTTGATGACCTTCTGCTGGGACACCCCACGGCAGTCGGGTGTGCCAAGGGAACAGATGCCCTACACCGCACCTGGAGGACTGTGGGTAGAAGGTGTCCAAGAAAAAAGCTCAGATCTGCCGACAGCAGGTACGTTACTTGGGATTTACTATCCGACAGGGGTCGGAACGCAGCCCGGGATCAGAAAGAAAGCAGGTCATTTGCCATCTAGCGGAGCCTAAGAGCAGAAGGCAGGTAAGAGAATTCTTAGGAGCTGTGGGGTTTTGTAGACTGTGGATCCCAAACTTTGCAGTATTAGCCAAGTTTTTGTATGAGGTCACAAGGGGGGCGGGGACGGTGAATCTTTGGAATGCGGATCCCAACAACAGCAAGTATTTCATGAGTTAAAGGAAAAACTTCTGGCAGCACCAGCCCTGAGGCTACCCGATCTGACAAAGCCTTTTCCATTGTATGCATCAGAGAGAGAAAGGATGGCAGCTGGACTTTGAACCCAAACTGTGGGGCCCTGGCTGAGGCTGGTGGCCTACCTCTGTAAACCACTAGACGGGGTTTCTAAAGGATGGCCCCCCTGTTGGAGGGCCTTGGCAGCAACTGCCCTGCTAGTATAAGAAGCAAATAAGCTGACTCTTGGGCGAAACCTGAACATAAAGGCCTCCCGTGCTGTGGTGATGAATACTAAAGGACGTCATTGGCTAACGAATGCCAGGCTCACCAAGTACCAAACTTTGGTCTGTGAAAATCCCCGTATAACCATTGAAGTTTGTAACACCCTACACCCCGCCACCTTGCTGCCGGTATCAGGGAGCCCTGTCGAGCCTGATTGTGTAGAAGTGTTGGACTCAATTGACTCTAGCAGACCTGAGCTCCGGGACCAGACTTGGGCATCAGTAGACTGGGAACCACACGTGGATGGGAGCAGCTTCTTCAACCCCCAAGGAGAGAGAGGTGCAGGGTATGCAGTGATAACTCTGGACACTGTTGTTGAAACCAGGTCGTTGCCCCAGGCCACTTCAGCCCAGAAAGCTGAACTCAATGCTTTCATTTGGGCCTTAGAACTCAGTGAGGGTGAGACTGTCAACACTTACACTGATTCTCGGTATGTCTTTTTAACCCTTCAAGTGCATGGAGTGTGATAGAAAGAAAAGGGCCTATTGAATTCTGGGGGGAAAGACAGAAAATATCCACAAGAAATCTTGCAATGATTAGAAGCAGTATGGAAACCCCACAAGGTGGCAGTTAGGCATTGCAGAGGACACCAGCGAGCTTCCACCTTGCTGTGTTTGGGGAATTCCCGCGCTGAGTCAGAGGCTCGAAAAGCAGCAACTGCCCCCTTCTGGGCATCAGTGCTCCCTCAAGCACCTGATCTTGGACCTGCTTCTTCTAAAGAAGAAAGGACTTTCTCCAGGTAGAGGGAAGGACAAGTGATGGAGGAAGGATGGATTCAGTTACCAGATAGGAGAGTAGCTGTGCCACAGCTGCTAGGAGCTGCAGTTGTACTGGCTGTGCAAGAAAACACCCATCGAGGTCAGGAGTCACTGGAAAAGTTGTTAGGCCGGTATTTCTACATCTCGCCTTTGTCAACCCTTGCCAAAACGGTGAGGCAGCGGTGTGTTACCTGCTGACAGCATGATGGGAGTCAAGGTCCAGCCGTTCCGCCCGGCATACGAGCTTGTGGAGCAGCCCCCTTTGAAGGTCTCCAGGTGGACTTCACAGAGATGCCAAAGTGTGGAGGTAACAAGCATGTACTGGTTCTTGGGCGTACCTACCCTGGGTGGGTGGAGGCCTATCCAACACGAACTGAGAAAGCTGGTGAAGTAACCCCTGTGCTTCTTCGAGATGTGATTCCTAGATTTCGACCGCCCTTATGGATCGGCTCAGACAACGGGCCTGCGTTTTTGGCTGCCTTGGTACAGAAAACGGCAAAGGTATTGGGGATCACACGGAAACTACATGCCGCCTCCCGGCCTCAGAGTTCCGGAAAGGTGGAGAGGATGAATCGGACTATCAAAAATAGTACTACTGTCTTCCCCGCTGGATATTTAAAACAACAGCACAAGGGGCGTCAAACCACCTGCTAAATTGGAGGCAATGTTATCCTCTCCCCTCCTCCCCCGGCCCCGGATATTAGAGACAACAACACAGGGGTGATGTACACCCACTGCTTTATTGTGAGTAATATCATCCTCTCCCTTCTTGGATAGTAGGAACAGTATCACACTGTGCGTGTAGGCCTGTCGCGAAATTCAATGGAATGTCATCCTGCGCCTCCCTGGATATGACGAACAATATCACGGGGGATGTACAACTTCTGAGATATTGGGAGTGATGTCATCCTCTCCCCTCTGGAAGTTAGGGACAATATCACAGGGGTAGTGTACACCCTCTGGGATGTTGGGACTAATATCTCACAGATGTCTGAGAATTCCTCCTCCTGGGACTCTCAGAGGATCCAGAACTGCAGCCGGTCCTCGCTTTGCTGTCCCTGTCCCTGTCCATGTATCTGGTCACGGTGCTGAGGAACCTGCTCAGCATCCTGGCTGTCAGCTCTGACTCCCCCCTCCACACCCCCATGTACTTCTTCCTCTCCAACCTGTGCTGGCCTGACATCGGTTTCACCTCGGCCATGGTTCCCAAGATGATTGTGGACACGCAGTCGCATAGCAGAGTCATCTCTCATGCGGGCTGCCTGACACAGATGTCTTTCCTGCTCCTTGTTGCATGTATAGAAGGCATGCTCCTGACTGTGATGGCCTATGACTGCTTTGTAGCCATCTGTCGCCCTCTGCACTACTCAATCATCGTGAATCCTCACCTCTGTGTCTTCTTCGTTTTGGTGTCCTTTTTCCTTAGCCTGTTGGATTCCCAGCTGCACAGTTGGATTGTGTTACAATTAACCATCATCAAGAATGTGGAAATCTCTAATTTGGTCTGTGACCCCTCTCAACTTCTCAAACTTGCCTGTTCTGACAGCGTCATCAATAACATATTCATATATTTCGATAGTACTATGTTTGGTTTTCTTCCCATTTCAGGGATCTTTTTGTCTTACTATAAAATTGTCCCCTCCATTCTAAGGATTTCATCGTCAGATGGGAAGTATAAAGCCTTCTCCACCTGTGGCTGTCATCTAGCAGTTGTTTGCTGGTTTTATGGAACAGGCATTGGCTTGTACCTGACTTCAGCTGGGTCACCACCCCCCAGGAATGGTGTGGTGGCTTCAGTGATGTACGCTGTGGTCACCCCATGCTGAACCTTTTCATCTGCAGCCTGAGAAACAGGGACATACAAAGTGCCCTGCGGAGGCTGCGCAGCAGAGCAGTCGAATATCATGATCTGTTCCATCCTTTTTCTTGTGTGGGTGAGAAAGGGCAACCACATTAAATCTCTACATCTGCAAATCCTGCCCCTCAGTCACATTCTTTTTGTGGCTTGATGGCTTTTATTCCTTTCCGCATTTCCTTTGTGAATATTGCTTTCTTCGTTATGCCTTTATCTGGAATGAGTGACGATTCTGGGATCCTTGGTTTAGCAGAAACCTCATGACAGAATCTTCTATACCTAGGTGGCCTCTTTTAGTCTCTGAGCAATAACCATGCCATCCAGGTGGAATCACAACCATCATTTTATATACACGAAGTCCTCACTTCGTTTTGGAATTCCCTGAAAACTGACTTTATGGAAACAATGTACAGAAGGTCCTCCAACAGCATTGGTTGTTCAAAGTCGTGTAGTTATACTGTTGATGAAAAATAAGTGGTTTCACTATACATAATTTTGCTTCAAGGTGAAGTTTCCAAGAGACTTTCAAAGATGTTAAGTGAGGACATACTGTACATCAAATTCATATCCTCTTCCACAGTTCATGTGGAATTTCTTTATAAACTTCTTCTAGAGAATCTATTTAGGCAGGTTCTGTGTAGATATCCATGTCGCCGTTCCTCAATCTTGGCTTTGAGTCAAATCACCTGGGCAGCTTACACATGATGAGGACTGGTTCTCAATACCTGAGATTCTGATTTCCTTGCACCTGTGTGAGTGTGTGGATTTTTTTTTTTCTTTTAAAGCACCAGAGGTGGTTCCAATGACGAAGTTTTTAGAGGCATCAAGCTGCAATGAGTAAGAACAGAAATTAATTGTAATATGATTTCTTCAAATATTATCTTCAAATGCATTGTCCATCAACACCATACGAATGTTTATTATGCTGTTTTTTCTTACCATTTCGCATTTTCTATTTCCTTCTTGTCCTTTTTTTTTTTTTTTTTTTTTTTTTTTTTGAGTCAGAGTTTCACTCTTGTTGCCCAGGCTGGAGTTCAATGGCACGGTCTCGGCTCACTGCAACCTCTGCCTCCCGTATTCAAGCAATTCTCCTGTCTCAGCCTTCCAAGTAGCTGGGATTACAGGCATGCGCTACCATGCCTGGCTATCTTTTTGTTGTTGTTGTTGTTGTTGTATTGTTAGTAGAGACAATGTTTCTCCATTTTGGTCAGGCTGGTCTTGAACTCCCGACCTCAGGTGATCCGGCCGCTTCCGCCTCCCAAAGTACTGGGATTACACGCATGAGGGACCGCGCCCAGCCACCACTTAGCATTTACATTTTGCAATTGTTGAAGTTATCGATTTATACACACATCAATTGCTGCTTTGTTATACACTTGCAGATACATAAGATGGGAAATAGAAAAGAATAAAATGGGCACGGTATCCCTGAAGTTTCACATTCTGAGACTTTAAAAATATTTGCTCTTTAGAAATTTGTTTCAATAAAGAAACTGTGGTATACACACCCAATGAAGTATTATTCAGCCTAAAGAGGAAGAAAATCCTCTCCGCTGCAGACAAAATGGATGAGATTGCAGGTCTGTATATTAAATGAAATAAGCCAGGCACAGAATGTCAAATATTTCATGTCCTCACTTCTACGTAGGAAGAAAAAAGGAAACCTTGACCAGGCGTGGTGGCTCAGACCTGTAATCCCAGCACTCTGGGATGCCGAGTCGCAGGGATCACTTGAGTCCAGGGGTTCGAGACCCGCTTGGCCAACATGGTGAAACCCCGTCTCTACGGAAAAAACAAGCAATTAGCCGGGCGTGGTGACGCGTGCCTCTAGTCTCAGCTACTCGGAGGGCTGAGGCCCAAGAAGCGCTTGAACTCGGGAGGCGGAGCTTTCAGTGAGCCCGGATTGTGCCTGTGTACTCCAACCTGGGCAACATAAAGAGACTCCATCACACACCTACACACAAAAGGAATCTCAGGAAGGTGGAAAGTATAAAGGTGGTTAGCAGACGCTAGGAAGAAAAGGGGTGGGATGGGGAATGAAGACAAGTGGATAATTGGGTCCCAAAATACAGAAAGATGGAATAAGTGAGTTCTAGTGTTTGATTGTACAGTATGAAAATTTTAGTTCACAAGAATTTCTTGAATATTTCCAGATGCTTTGGTAAGAAACTTCCTAATTTTCTCATTATGCTGGTTTTTCAGCTCTTCTCTTTCTGCTCTTGAAATCATGCTGGTTTTTTGTTTTTTGTTTTTTGTTTTGAGATGGAGTTTTGCTCTTGTTGCCCAGGCTGGAGTGTCATGGTGCAATCTTGGCTCACCGCAACCTCTGCCTCCTGGGTTCAAGCGATTCTCCTGTCTCCACCTCCCGAGTAGCTGGGATTACAGGCACGCGCCTGTAGTAGAGACGGGGGTTTCTCCCTGTCGGTCAGGCTGGTCTTCAACTCCTGACATCAGGTGATCCGCCCACCTCGGCCTCCCAAAGTGCTGGGATTACAGGCGTGAGCGACGGGCCCGGCCCATGCTGTAACATTATCTGTTGTCTGCTGTTGTTTGTTTATTTTGGAGCCCAGAAATAACTTGTCACCTGTATGTTCAAACGATTTTTAACATGAGTGGTAAGAAAGCTCATTGGTGGAAAAACAGCCTTTTCAAGAAATGGTGTTGGAGAAACTTGATTTCCACATGCAGAAGAATGAAGGTGGACACTATGTCACACCAGGGGCAAAAATTAACACAAACTGGATCAAAGACCTCACCCCAAGCGCTAAAAGAATCATTCGCCTAAAGGAAAACATTGGCCATGCTTTCATGACATCAGATTGGGCAATGTTCTCTGGGATATGACACCAAAAGCATAGGCAACAAAAGAAAATTAGATTCCTTGGATTACATCGAAATGACAGACACTTTTGTGCAGCAAAATCACGGCAAACTGAGTGAAAAGATAACCCATGGATTAGGAAAAATATTTTCAAAGCATATATCTGAAAAGAGGCTGATATCCATCATACATAAAGAACAGGCAGAACTAAAGAACAAGAAACCCAAAGCATCCCATCAATAATGGTCAGAAGACTCAAGTAGACGTGTTCCTAAAGAAGATATAGCAATGGCCAATAAGCATCTAAAATGATGTTCAAAATCACTCATCATAGGGAAGCGCAAATCAAACCAAGAATGTGACACCACACATTAGGATGGATATGATAAACAAACAGGATTGGTGAGACTAGAGGGAAGTAGGAATGCTCGAATCTGATCAGAAGGAATGTAAAACCGTGAAGGAACGGGGAAAATAGTATGGCGTCTACTGGAAAAATTAGAAACAGGATGATCATATGTTGCCGCAGTTGCATTTGTGGGTACCTACAAAAAGAAGCCAGGAGTGGAAGACAGATTTGTGTACACCCATATTCATAGCAGCATTATTCACAAGAGCCAAAATGTGGAAGCAACCCAAGGGTTCGTGGACAGATGAATGAAAAAGCCCACTGCAGTTCCTTCATACAATGGAAGACTATTCAGCCTTCAAAAGGCAGGCACTTCTGGCCGGTGCGGTGGCTCACGCCTGTAATCGCAGCGTCTTGGAAGACCGAGGTGGGCGGATCATCTGAGGTCAGGAATTCAAGACCAGCCTGGCCATCTTGGGGAAACCCTGTCCCTACTGAAAATGCAAAAAATGAGATGAGCATGGAGGCGTGTGCCTATAGTCCCAGCTACTCGGGAGGATGTGGCACAAGAATCACTGGAACCCGGGAAGCGGAGGTGAGCCCAGATTGTGCCACTGTACTCCAGCCTGTGCGACAGAGTGAGACTCTATGGAAACACAAAACAAAACAAAGTCAAACGAACAAACAAAAAACAACAAAAAAAAAACAGACAGGCACTTCTGAGGCAGGCCGCAACATGGATGAACCTTGAAGACATTATCGTCAGTGAAATAAATAAATCCCAAAAGGATAAACAGGCCCAGGCTCAGTGGCTCGCACCTGTAACACCAGCACTTTGGGAGGCTGAGCCAGGCGGATCACTTCAGGTCAGGAGTTCGAGACCAGCCTGGCCAATATGGTGAAAGCTCGTCTCTATTAAAAATACAAAAATTAGCAGGGTGTGGTGGCGCACGCCTGTAATCCCAGCCTCTCGGGAGACTGAGACACAAGAATCGCTTGAACCCACGATGTGGAGGTTGCAGTGAGCCGAGATCACACCACTGCACTCCAGACTGGGTGAGAGAGAAAGACTCTGTCTCCAAAACAAAAAAAAAAACACGGTATGATTCCACTTATCTATCAAGTGTCTAGAGTAGTTAAACTCATAGAGTTGCAAACTAGAAAGGTGGCCCCCAGGGGTGGGCGAGAGAAAGGAATGGAGAGCTTGGTGAATGGGTGGAATTTCCATTTTGAAAGATAAAACTGTTCCTGAGATGATGGCGGTGATGCTTGCTAAATAATGTTAACGTACTTAATGTCATTAATCTGTAAACTGAAAAAGAGTGGAAATTGTAAATGTTTATACTGGCCATTCTATATGAACTAATATATATTTATAATTTTTAATATTTATACGTGGTATATTTTCCCATTATAAAAGATGAAAATTAAAGCAGTTGGATGTTTAAAAAGAAAAGAAAGAAGCGAAGAATACACACCAGCTTTCTTCTGATTAGAGGAAGAGCCCCAAAGTTTCTATGGACACTCACTTTTCTCTTCTTCTTGCATTATTATGAGGACATCCTTAGAGGCTGGGGAACTTGGGCGGCTTTGGCTAATGAGGAGCTCTGTGCCTGAGCCCCCCAGGCCACAGGATAGTAAATACTCAGTCTGTGCCTCCAGCCCTGCAGTGTGAGGTTGCAGTCCTGTGGGCTCCACAGCCGTCACCTGTATCAGGAGGCTCATGTCTCACCCTGTCTTCTTGCCAGCCTTGAGGACGGAGCCTGAGCCTCCATGGTGCACCACGCAGGGAGGACAGTGGACCTGTTCTCCGTGGTCATGTCCCAGCAGAGGGGAGAGGCAGTTCAGTGAGTGTAGGGAAAAGAAAGAGAGATCAGACTCTTACTGTGTCTATGCAGAAAGGAAAGACATAAGAGACTCCATTTTGAGAAAGACCTGTACTTTCAACAATTGCTTTGCTGAGATGTTGTTAATCTGTAGCTTTGCCCCAGCCACTTTGACCCAACCTGAAGCTCACAAAAACATGTGTTGTATGAAATCAAGGTTTAAGGGATCTAGGGTTATGCAGGACTTGCCTTGTTAACAAGATGTTTCCAAGCAGTATACTTTGTAAAAGTCATCGCCATTCTCTAGTATCAATAAACCAGGGGCACAATACACTGTGGAAAGCCGCAGGGAGCCCTGCCCTTGAAAGCAGGGTATTGTCCAAGGTTTCTCCCCATGTGATAGTCTGAAATATGGCCTGGTGGGATGAGAAAGACCTGACCATCCCCCAGCCCGCCCCCCGTAAAGGGTCTGTGCTGAGGTGGATTAGTCAAAGAGGAAAGCCTCTTGCAGTTGAGAGAGAGGAAGGCCGCTGTTTCCTGCCTGCCCCTGGGAACTGAATGTCTCGGTATAAAACCCGATTGTACATTTGTTCAATTCTGAGATGGGAGAAAAACCGCCCTATGGTAAGAGGCGAGACATGTTTGCAGCAATGCTGCCTTGTTATTCTTTACTCCACTGAGATGTTTGGGTGGAGAGAAACATAAATCTGGCTTACGTACACATCCAGTCATAGTACCTTTCCTTGAAATTCCTTATGAAATAGATTCTATTTCTCACATGTTCGTTGCTGACCTTCTCCTTATTATCACCCTGCGCTCCTACTACATTCCTTTTTGCTAAAATAATAAAAATAATAGTCAATAAAAACTGAGGGAACTCAGAGTCCTGTGCCGGTGCAGGTCCTTGGTATGCTGAGCGGCGGTCCCCTAGGCCCACTGTTGTTTCTCCATACTTTGTCTCTGTATCTTATTTCTTTTCTCAGTCTCTCGTCCTACCCGACTGGAAATACCCACAGCTGTGGAGGAGGAGGCCACCCCTTCAAGTGAGTGCTGAGGGACGGTCGGGAGACTTGTTTGTTTCCTCATCCTCAGGACAAACAGGAGAGTGCGGTGGGCAGATGTGAGGAGACCAATGTGCAACTCTCTGCTCAGCAGACTGTGCAGTTTATGTTCTTGGTTGTGCTGGGGGTCTCAGAAATCTTATTCAAAATTTTGCTTTCCTCCCCCACTGGTTGTCCTTTTCATAAACATCTCACCCATGATAGCAGGGAATCAGTCCCTCTAACTATTCCCTAAGAACAACAAAGAGATTATGAAGGTGATGATGAGGATAAAGAGGATGACGACAGACACCATGGCATCATGAACCCTTACTGAGGGCTTCCTAAAGGCCAGGCTCTGAGCTCTGTGCTCTATGCAGCTTGTTTCATTTCATCTGCATAGTCTCCACGTTATTAGTGCACATTTCATGATGATTTTACAGACTAGAAAAAGCGCAACGGATTTTCATGCAGCTTGTACCAGATCACGAAGTCAAAAAGGGCGAAGTCCAATTTGAACCAGGCAGTCTAAGTCCAGACACATGGCATTTGGCAAGTCCTCTCCCTGCAACCAACCTGCCCTCTCAAATCCTCGTCACTCAGGCGGATGCCCCTACTCACTGTGCCCTTCCCTTTGTGGGTTCCTTGTTGACCACAGCTAGACCAGTGGGTGCCACAATCACTGTGTCATGTATAGAAAGGGCAGCTGAGATCACATCAAGGATTCCAGAAAGAATTTGCACAGGATCATTCGGGACGCATCTCTCCCTTGCCCCTGTTCCTGGCTTTCCTTACAGCTCTCAACTTCCTCAAAGGAGTCATCAATTCGGAGTTTGGCTTCCATTCCTATTGAGGAAGCTGGAAAGTGTTTCAAAAATGCTCCTCCGATGTGCCTGTGGTTAAGACCTCTGAGCTCTGCTTAAAACTCTTTGAAGCTGGGCGCGTTGGCTCAAGTGTGTAATCCCAGCCCTTTGGGAGGCTGAGGCAGGCGAATCACAAGGTCAGGATTTCGAGACCAGCCTGGCCAACATGGTGAAACCCTGTTTCTACTAAAAATACCAAAAAAACTCAAAAAAATTAGCCAGGCATGGTGGCATACGCCTGTCATCCCAGCTACTGGGGAGGCTGAGACAGGAGACTCCTTTGAAGCCGGGAGACAGAGGTTGCAGTGAATCGAGATCACGCCACTGCACTCCTGCCTGGGCAACAGAGCAAGACTCCGTCTCAAAAAAATAAATAAATAAAAATTACGAAAAAATGGCAAACTTTAGCCGTTAGCTCACGTACCACTTTGGAAGGGCATACCTTTAGTCACTTCACCCTTTAATCCCTTTGCTCAAGACTAAAGTTCTGAGAGGAAGACTAATCGGCTGAGTTGTGTCCATGTGGGCAGTGCAGGAAAGGATGCAGCGGGACGCTGCTCCAGGGATGTCTTTGGCTTCCATCATGGGGGAGCAGGCGCCTGGATTACCCACCCTAACAAATCTGGACAAAGGAAAACGAGGTTCTCCGAGGAAGGAGACATAGAGCCCAAGGAGCTAACCAAGAGACAAATGGTCATCCTGTCTTGTCATTTTCTTTTACACATGTGTGTACATTATCTTACACTTATCACTTTGTTTTCTTTCTCTCCTTTAATTGCACGCTGCTGCCAAAAGTTAAAATAAAATGAAAGTATTGAGATAGCTCAGTAACTGACTTTTGGTCAATTGCCTTTTCATATAGTGAACAGGTGCCCAAACGATTGTCTCTGTCACTGTGCAAATTTGCAAGCGTTTGCATGATCACTCCCACTCCCCCAATACAGAGCTGTGTTACAGCACAATTTAGTTCAGTGTTTTGCTCTCTGCAACAGGGAGGTTCTCATCCATTACACGTTGCAGTAAAAACAGGGGTACCATAAGCAACCAGCTCTTTCCTCAAAGAGGTGATGAAAGCAAAAGCCAAGTAGCTCCATGTATCCAACTTAAAAATATAAAAGTTACGCCCGTGGGCTGCAGTTGGAGCTATGGCGGCGGCAGCTGTCACTGGGCCTAGCCCGGGGTGTGGACCTGGGGACTCCCCAGAAGGGCCCGAGGGGGAGGCTCAAGGAGCGTCGGTGGAAGGCGGACAGGATGCTGAAGTTTTACAACGGCCTCTCGGAAGTGGAGGCGGTGGGACTCCCTGCGGGGACCGACCCCCTGGACCCCACTGATATGAACGGGGTACACTTCGACCCGGAAGTTTACCTAGACAAGCTTCCTAGAGAGTGCCCTCTGGCCCAGCTGATGGATAGTGAGACGGACATGGTGCAGCAGATCCGGGCTCTAGACAGCAACATGCAAACCCTGGTCTATGAGAACTACGATAAGTTCTCATAGACCCAGCCACAGAAATTGACACACAGCATAAAACTGTAAGAGGAATTGCAGGAGACCCAGAATTTCCCAAATAACCTTGTAAAAGAAGAACAAATTTGGAAGACTCACAAAAAATATATATATATATATATATATATATATATATATATATACATATTATATATATATACATATATATATAAAGTTGTGTTTTCATTCAGTTGTAAATGTTTAGTAATTTCTATTGTGATTTTTCATTTAACTCATGAAAGGATATTTTTAATTTTCCAAATATATGCTTGTGTTTAGCTATCTTCTTGCTGTTGACTTCTAATTTTGTGGCATTATGGTCAGGAAAATGTGGTCTGGACACTGTCAATCGTATAGTGGATTTTGTTGAGACTTCTTTATGGCCTAATATGTGGCCAGTTTTTTTTTTTTTTTTTTTTTTTTTGCAAATTTGCCACATGTGGTTAAAAGGAATGTGGATTTTTTTTTTAGGAGAGTTTTTATTTTGAAATAGATAAGGTTCTCAGTGTAATTGAAATCTAACTTCAGTTAACAATATGCTAGACCTCTCAAACCTCAGGATGTTAGTCAGTGTAACAATAGACTGCTGCTGAGACGAATAAACCCTGAACTCTCAGTGGGTTGACACCCATAGCATAGTCTGGTGCAGGGCAGGGGTTCTCCTTGGGGGCCCTTGTCCAACAGTGATTCAGAGATTCTGGAGGTTTCCATCTTTTAATTCTGCCATCTCAGAGTTTTTCACTTGTAGCCATATGGATAGGAAGAGAGGGAACATAGCTCACACTTTGATAACCTTGGCCCAGAAGTGATTTCTTACATTCCTATTGGTGGAAATGCAGTCACATGGTTCCAAACTAACTGCAAATGAGGCTGGGAAATGTAGTCTTTCTGCATGTCCAGGAAGAGGAATGGTGTGAACACAGTATTGTCTTTGACACACTAAGCATGTGCTGAAGAGTTCTTACTCTCATAGGAGGTTTGTCTGTCCTGTGTAACTTTCTCAGTTTTTGCTTAGATAGTTTCAGGCAATGCTGTTTGGTGCATTCAGCTTGATGATTATTATGTCCTCTTGGCAAAGTAGTCAAGATTCCCATCAGTTTGAATGAAAGTGTTTTACAGATAGGTCAGGAAATGTTAATACTTTAAAAGGCCCTTCTATTCCTCCACTCTACATATAAGAAAAACAGAGTCCTAGAGAGAGGAGGTCATGGGTCTCACTCATGAGTGGCAGAATTGAAACCAATGTGGCACTAACTTTGCCTTTCCCCCATCATGTTGTTCTCCTTCTATCTTCACTCTGCTGATTTCTTCACTTGCTCCATACAGACCTCCCAGTGCCAAGTGTATAAGTGTGTCCAGAATTGGTGGGTTCTTGGTCTCACTGACTTCAAGAACGAAGCTGTGGACCCTCCTGGTGAGTGTTACAGTTCTTAAAGGTGGCGTGTCTGGAGTTTGTTCCTTCTGATGTTCGGATGTGTTTGAAGTTTCTTCCTTCAGGTGGGGCTCGTGGTCTCGCTGGCTCAGGAGTGAAGCTGCAGATCTTCACGGTGAGTGTTACAGCTCTTACGGCTGCAGGTCTGGAGTTGTTCATTTCTCCCAGTGGGTTCATGGTCTTGCTGGCTTCAGGAGAGAAGCTGCAGACCTTCTCGGTGAGTGTTACAGCTCATAAAGTCAGTGTGGACCCAAAGAGTGAGCAGCAACAAGATTTATTGCAAAGAGCAAAAGAACAAAGCTTCCACAGTGTGGAAGGGGACCCCAGTGGGTTGCCACTGCTGGCTCGGGCAGCCTGCTTTTATTCTCTTACCTGGCCCCACCCACATCCTGCTGATTGGTCCATTTTACAGAGAGCCTGAGTGGTCTGTTTTGACAGGGCACTGATTGGTGCGTTTACAATCCCTGAGCTAGACACAAATGCTCCCCACGTCCCCACTAGATTAGCTAGATACAGAGTGTCCACACAAAGGTTCTCCAAGTCCCCACCCTAGTAGCTAGATACAGAGTGTCAATTGGTGCATTCATAAACCCTGAGCTAGATACAGGGTGCTGATTAGTGTGTTTACAAACCTTGAGCTAGATACAGAGTGCCAATTGGTGTATTTCCAATCCCTTACCTAGACATAAAGTTCTACAAGTCCCCACCAGACTCAGGAGCCCAGCTGGCTTCACCCAGTGGACCCAGCACAGGAGCTGCAGGTGGAGCTGCCTGCCAGTCCCTCTCCATGCACCCACACTCCTCAGCCCTTGGGTGGTCGATGGGACTGGGCGCCATGGAGCAGGGGGCGGTGCTCATCGGGGAGGCTTGGGCCGTACAGGAGCCCACAGAGGGGGGAGGCTAAGGAATGGCAGGCTGCAGGTCCCGAGCCCTGCCCCGCAGGGAGGCAGCTAAGGCCCGGTGAGAAGTCGAGCACAGCAGCTGCTGGCCCAGGTGCTAAGCCCCTCACAGCCCCGGCCGGCAAGGCCAGCCGGCAGCTCCTAGTGCAGGGCCACCAAGCCCACGCCCATCCAGAACTCCAGCCGGCAGGCAAGCAGCACACGTAGCCCCAGTTCCAGCTCATGCCTCTCCCTCCATGCCTCCCTGCAAGCTGAGGGAGCCAGCTCTGACCTCGGCCAGCCCAGAAAGGGGCTCCCACCATGCAGCCGTGGGCTGAAGGGCTCCTCAAGTGCTGCCAAAGTGGGAGCCCAGGCAGAGGAGGTGCCGAGAGTGAACGAGGGCTGTGAGGGCTGCCAACACGCTGTTACCTCTCATAAGGAGTGATTAATCTGAGCTTCTCCAGAAAGTCCATTCCTGGTAGGCACTGGGAATAAGAAATCTCAGAGTATAAAAAAACATCAAGTGGTAGCACTTTTGTGAGTGGCTCCCAAATTAGATCCTTTACCTTTTTTTCATGAAGCACAGTTGCCCAAAACACGCTTAGCCTGAGGTGAAGCACATATTAGAGAAAAGTTCTCTCTATAGCATTATGTATTACTCAAATGAGCATTAAAAAGAGGAGACGGGATATGCTCTCTCTAGCTATTATTACCTGCACTATAGAGTTGACATACACAAGCTCATTATTGCATTATGTTTTATTCAACAAAATAACTTTAATGTTGAAGCTTAAATTGAATTCGCTAAAACATCTTTGTCTCCAGCATAGTGTGCCTCAAGTGTCTCCTTGGTGCCTGAATTTTCTCCAGAATTATAGTGCTGAAACTATGGAAATGGTGAAATTATATGCAATCTGCAAAACAATGTGGCTATAACGTGGTAATTGGCCTTCCACATAATTAAAGGAACATTTCCTCATCAGAGCTGTTCCATCAGAGACCCAAAGGCTATCGTTGTACAAATCACCCACTTAGGAAAACCTTTATTCCCAGTAGCCTATAAAAATCTGCTTATGCAAACAGATTTGCTTATTCAGTAACATTAATGGCTTCTCATAATTAAAAAGTCATCAATGTGATTGACCTATAATCTGCTTCCTCTGTGACCAAGTGTCATTTTTATTTTGACAGTTAGGAGCCTTTTGACTCTTTCACAGCTGGCATGAAGGCACAGGGAGGGAAATCTCAAAAACCAACAACCTGTGTATTCCCAGCCTATTAATCAATAGAAAATCACTTCAACTGGATTAGGGTCTTGTACCTGGCAGAAAGGCTCTTATGGACATTGGAATTGGATTTTTACACTTGATATGACACCTCCTTGAGTCAGATCAGATTCGTGTTTGATAGACTCTTGCCGAAAAATTGCTCCAGGGTCTGTGCAGTAGCTAAAGCCTTTTTATTGTTGTTGTTTTAAAAGCAGCATTAAATGTTTTCATGAAGACCTTCCCAGCAGTTATTTTATTGGGAATATGGTCTTTAGCTCTGGTCCTGAATAACTCACACTGAGGAAACCTCTAACAAGTGTTTTATTGGAAGATGTCTGATGGATGGTTGGTTTTAATAACAAATCTCTTCCCTTTTTCTGTCCCCTGTGTTCTATGCTCCTTTCTTACACATTATTCTGGGAGGATTCACCTATTCCCAAAGTCCTTTCCTCTTTATTTCCATTCCAGAGCTCTCTGTATAACTCCAGGCTGATGAATCCAACTGCCCAGTTGTTATCTCCACTTGGCTGTCTGTCTTGCATTGACCTCATCTTACCTTTCCTCTCCTGATTTCCTCTTCTGCCAGGGCTCACCACGTCAGATTCACACCACCATCCACCCAGCTTCCAAATCACCTGGGCCTCCTCCTTCATTCCTCCCTCTTTCTCAGTCAAGTTAGTCTACTGTCTCCTCTCCATCCTCACTGCCACAGCCTTGGTCCAGCCAACCATCTTGTCTCACTTGGCGTATTGCAGCCTCCTACCTGGTCTACTCACCACCCACTCTCCTCCAGCCAGACTGCTCTTCTTCTAGCACAAAGTGGATCATTACTCCCCTGCATAAAAACATCTACTGTCTCCCTTTCTCTACAGGATAGACACGACAAAGAGCCTTTAAGATTTGCCTCCAACTTACCTCTATATTACTCACTTTTTACAATTATATGAACATCTCTCAGCTCCTCACCCTCTCACGTCTCGATTTTTACACATGCTCTTCCCTCTGCTGAGAATGATCTTCCACACCTCTCCTATCGACCTGGCTAGTTCCTACCATTTTCTAGTCTTCAACTGAGGAGTCCTGTGGTGGAGAAGGATTTCTCACCACCCGATATAGATTGCATGCCCACCCACCTCCGAGCTTTTTCTTTTTTCTTTCTTTTTTTTTTTTTTTGAAAGAGTCTCGCTCTGACCATGCAAGCTGGAATGCAGTGGTGCGATCTTGGCTCACTGCAATCTCCACCACCCGGGTTCAAGCAATTCTCCCACCTCAGCCTTCTGAGTATCTGGAATTACAGGTGCCCCCCACCACATCTGGCTAATTTTTTTGTATTTTTAGTAAAGATAGGATTTCACCATGTTGGCCAGGCTGTTTTCGAACTCCTGGCCTCAAGTGATCCACCCACCTTGGCCTCCCGAAGTGCTGGGAATACAGGCATGAACAACTGCACCTGGCCGATTGGGTGCCCCTTCTATGTGCTCCCATTGCCCCAGGCATACTGTCACCATAACTCTTACCATTCTGAGTTGAAAATGATTTTTTTTTTTGCTTTTTATTTCTCTCATTAAATGAAAGCTTATTGAAAAGAGGACAGTGGTTGTTCACTGTTGTACTCCTAACCTTTGACTCAGTGTCCTTAGGTTGGCTCTACAGCTGTGCACACATGTTCAGACATTGGAGCACATCTTGTCTAGCACCTCTTTTGTGGTGGCTTAGAGAAAAGTCAGTAGGTACTTCCCCAAGGATGAAACAGAAGCTTCACCTAAAGCAGTTCTTCAACTTCAGCCTGCATTAGAATCCTCTGAGACCTTGTTAAAAATACCATCTCCTGGAGCCCACTCTTCAAGAGTCGGTGAGTTGCTTCATCATCAAAATATACACAGAATTCAGGCAGTCTTCAGCCCCAGCCTGGTCTGAACCTCTGTGGACTCCCACCTGCAGAATGTCCCTGCTGGTCTCCTTGCTTCTGCTCTTACCTTCTTATTACCCATTCGAGTAGCCGGGGTGATCCTTTTTAAAAAATTTTTTAAATTTTTTTGTGATGAAGTCTCACTCTGTTGCCCAGGCTGGAGTGCAGTGGTGCTATCTCAGCTTGCTGCAGCTCTATCTCCTGGGCTCAAGCAATCCTCCCACCTCAGTCTCTTGGGTAACTGGGACCACAGACATACACCACCACACCCGGCTAATTTTTGTATTTTTTGTAAAGACACGGTCTTGCTGTGTTGCCCAGGCTAGTCTTGAACTTCTGTGTGCACCCACCTCAGCCTCCTGCATTTTTAGGAGGCTCCTCTTGTAGGGATTTTGATCCAGATGCCTGGGTGCCTCATGTCTCCTCCCATCTCTCTCTGTCTTTCTGTCTCTGTCTCTCTCTCTCTTTCTCTTTGCCTTATAGCTGCCCTGGGGTCTAGACTCTGCCTTAGGCATCCCTCTGGCTCTTGTTTGCTTTTATACTGAGGCTGCTTTAAATTGCACCTTGATCTGAAGCCTTGGGCTTCTGTTTCTATTCCTTGCTTTTGTTGGAAGGGCCATGCAGCTTCTTGACAAATTGCAAAGGTGCCCACGAGTTTCCAAGTCCCCAAGAACCAAACCAGATGACAAACAAGGATGCAGTCCACAGCTGGGGAGACAGATTTCATGTCCACACAGAGACTCCAAGATGCTGAACTGAAATCCACCTCGAAACCTGTTTTCTCTCTCATTTAAGTTCATTGTCACCTGGGGGCTTGCAGGGCAGAGCTGGTGACCATTCTCAGGGCAAAGATGCTTTGAAATGTCAACTGAGAATGGTGTGGTGGTTGACAGATGGCACGTCAGAGCATAGATTAACATGGAAAGAGAAATTCACCCCTTGGGGGGAGTGTGTGAGGCTGGCAGCCACACAGAGGGCTTTTCCTGTGAGCTCTTGCATAGATGCAAACAGCCAGGAGGTTTTGCTTTCTGATCCTAAGTGGAAGCATGTTCTTCCCTGCACATTGCCGCTCTGCAGCAAATGTTTATTCCTGTTGCATTGATTAAAAGTGCTTACCAGGCCGGGCGCGGTGGCTCACGCCTGTAATCCCAGCACTTTGGGAGGCCGAGGCAGGCAGATCACAAGGTCAGGAGATTGAGACCATCCTGGATAACACGGTGAAACCCCGTCTCTACTAAAAATACAAAAAATTAGCCGGGCATGGTGGCGGGCACCTGTAGTCCCAGCTACTTGGGAGGCTGAGGCAGGAGAATGGCATGAACCCAGGAGGCGGGGCTTGCAGTGAGCCGAGATTGTGCCACTGCACTCCAGCCTGGATGACAGAGCAAGACTCCGTCTCAAAAATACAAAGTGCTTACCGAAGTGGTTTGAGGGCAGCGGTGACACTGTGAGTTATGGCTCTGCCGGCAGCCAGTGGAGCCAGCCTCTCTGCACAGCTGTGCAAGGGTGTTTTGAAAAGTGGCTCAGCCGGCCAGGAGTGACTGGCTGTAAATATTGCTGCCAGAACATCTTGTAGCCTGATTGGGGCCGTGTTTGCAGAACCCCTAAACCACTACACTTGTTCAGGCTTAAAAATAAGCTTACTTTTTTTTGTTTGTTTTGTTTTGTTTTATGAGATGGAGTCTAATTCTGTCACCGGGTTGGAATGCAGTGGCATGATCTCGGCCCACTGCAACCTCTGCCTCCTGCGTTCAAGTGATTCTCCTGCCTCAGGCTCCCGAGTAGCTGGGACTATAGGCGTGTGCCATCATGGCCAGCTAATTTTTGAATTTTTAGTACAGACGGGGCTTCACCTTTTTGGTCAGGATGGTGCGATCTCTTGACCTCGTGATCTGCCCGCCTTGGCTTCCCAAAGTGCTAGGATTACAGGCG
Organism: Homo sapiens; assembly: GCF_000001405.40. NCBI lineage: Eukaryota > Metazoa > Chordata > Mammalia > Primates > Hominidae > Homo > Homo sapiens. The sequence goes on from NT_187570.1 coordinate 291,805, forward strand.
TGAGCCACCGTGCCTGGTCAAACATAAACTTACTTTCTTACCTCTTCTGCTGAACTCTATGTGCTTCTTTTCGCAACTTCTGCTGAACTCTATTTTGCTTCTTTTTCCTGGATAAGGCTCTTGTTTATCCAGAAGAACTTTTAGCAACAAAGTTACCCAATGCCTTTCCCTAGTCTCTCCTTGCAACTGACTCTCAGTGGTGGGGGGGGGTGGGTAGGAGGAAATCCTTGACAGAACCAATTTACATGACTGTTTGGAGGACTCTCACTAGCCCCAGGAGGTGTTTACATTTTTAAATTGGTTACTAGTGTCAGAATGTTTCATGAGTAAGAGCACAGCCTCTAAGTTGGATACCCTGAATTTAAGTCTCAACATGGCCATTTTGTATATAAGCAGAGGACGGATTTGGGGACCCAATGGATCTACCATGACATGAACTTGGACCAACATTCACCTGAACTCCAAAATGCCTATTCTGACTGGTAGACCCTAGTCTCGCCCTAGTGCCAGTTCAGAGCCTGTGTCCAGTGGTCTTGCACAGGTCCCATTAGTTCTTTTTCTCCTATTCAGTCATCCTGGTAAAGGCTGTGTATTCCCTTGGGGACAGGCTGGGAGAAAGATTGACAGTATAAATTTTTGGCAGTGGAGCAGAGTCCTTTCTGGAGGGGACCTGGCTTCCCATTCAGACAAGGGACTCCAGGTCTGTGAACTGGCTTATGTCTGGGAATTGACGGGGGACTGTGACTCTGTTTTTATGATTCAGATTAGACTTCTGCTCACCTGACCTAGAATTCTTCTTCAAACACAGATCAAGTAAAAATGTGGCAGGCTTCTTATCTATTTCAGTTCTAGGAAAGCCACGATCAGCCGGCACCATAGGTCTCTGCGAGTCAGGCTATTCTGGTTGCAGCTTTGACTCTGCTGTCTTTTATGGTAACTGCATCCACCTTGCCTTTGGGGATTGAGTGCTCTGATCACTTGACCCCAGCCCCTGTACTGTGCGTATGTCACTTACCCTCTTTATACCTCAGTCTCCTCCTCTATAAAATGGGCATCCTCATTGCACCCACCCCCAGGGCTGCTGTGAGGTATAGATGGATTAGCATATGGAAGGTAATAGAAGAGGGTCTCAAAGCCCATGTGTCGTTATCAGAATTATTTCGTGACAGGGGAGAGCTGGAGGAGAGAGGAAGGTGCTGAGCAGACCCACGTGCTCTCCCACCAGTGTTTCCTGAGCACCCACTATGTGCTGCCCACTGTGAGAGCTGTTAGGGTTGAAATAGGGAGAACAGCAGGATAGGGGTTGCCATCAGGAGCTTAGTGGGGAGACCGTTGTGCAACATGGTTACAGTGCTTGGGGGTGGGGAAGCCCAGGGACTACAGGGGCCTAGGATCCAGGGCAGAATCATGGAAAGGACACAGCCGCCCCAGCCTCCCCTGCCTCCCCTGCCTCCCTGACCTCCTCTGTTCCCTGGCCTCTCCTGCCTTCCTGGCTTCCCCTTCCACCCCGGCCTCCCCAGTCTCCCCTGTCTTTCCTGCTTTTGAGGTGGGCCAGGAGCTGCTGGTGCTCACTTAGCCTGTCCTGGACTCTGGGTGTAGCACTTCGGTGTCCAGAAAATACCCCCGGGTTCAGCTTATCACACAGCCAAGAAAGGAGCTCCACACTGACACTAAGGGTGCATCCTGGGCTCATTCATCAGGGCATGCCTCCAAAATATTTCTCCACGTCTCCTCCCTTTGCCCACCTGCATTGTCTCTGTGCCTCAGCCCCAGCTGGGGGCCTGCAAGGATCCTCTATCTCCTCTGCCCCTGCACGGCTGGGTCCCAGGCAATCTGTCTGCCCACCACACCTCTCTCCTGTTGCCCACCACGCTCCAGCCCCACAGTCCTCTTTCTGCTTCTTTCCCAGCCTCTGGGCTTTTGCACACGCTGTTCCTTCTGCCTGAACACCCTCCACTGGGCTGAGAACAACTCTCTGAGACCTCTCTCAGCTGTTGCTTCCTTTGGAAAAGCCGCTGCTGCTGTCCCTCTCCCAGCTCCAAGACCTGCTGAGCCTCCTGTCTTTTTCAGTTCCCATGCCCCCAGCACTTCTCCTTGGCCTCCTTTGGCCCAACTGACAATGTCCATTCTCAATGCCTTCCCACCCAGCGCTGAGCCCCACTTGGTGAAGGCAATGCCTGTCATGTTCACCACAATATCCCCTCCCCCATCACCACGACTGGTCCACAGTGATGCTCAAAAAAGATCTGTTGGTAGGCAATGGGAAGGTGCATTCATGTCATCCTGCAGGCGGAATTCTCCACGAGTTTTGAGCAGCCTCGGGTTTCCCACCACCTCCAAATCATGGAAGACACACGGTAAGAGCAAAGACAAGGTGGCTGTGGCCGATGTCCACCCTCTCGTGGCGTCCCTTCTCTTCTCTCCTCCTTGGGCAGGGAGACCATCGGGGTGCAACCTGGCTGGGGCGGGGAGGTGGTGCAGGGCATTGCCAGAGCGGGCCTGTCCATGGGCAAGGGACAGCGACCTCCTGGGCCAGGACATGTGACAGCTGCGCAGGCCTGGGCCCGGCGTGGCAGAGGTGCGCGAGAGCGGCCAGAAGAGGGCGCCAGAGAGCCAGGCGCGGCCCGCGGAGGAGCCCGGGCCGGCCCCGATACCCAGCTCCGCGCCGCGCGGACCCACCGAGCCCGTGCTCAGACGCCCCAGCTCCGCCGAGAAGCCGCTTGAGCCGGGTCCTTCTTCTTCCCCAAGTTCAGGCAGAGCCCGCGGAGCCATGGCCAGCCCTTCCAGCAGCTCCGAAGCCACTGGCAAGCCCCGAGGCAGGGATGGCAGTCCCAGGATGGGGGAGGAGGACGTCCCTCCCGAAGAGAAGAGGCTGGGGCTGTAGCTGGAGGGGGGAAGCGCACAGCCCGAGGACTGCGAGGACGGGGAGGACCCGCCGCTGCCAGGCAGGAAGGAGACCGGCACCCAGACAGGTGGCGACGGCAAAGGAGTAAGTGATGCGGGCGCGGGGGTCCGGGAGTGCCGGGGGCTCGGGGGTGCCGGGGACGCGACGAAGGGGCGTCGGGAGGCTCCGTGGCCGTCCCCGGGTTGAAGTTGGGAGTGCAGCCTTCATTCTGAACCCATTTAGGCAGCATGGGCAGCCCTCCTCGCCATGGGCAGGATCAGAGCCCCCCCGCCCAGTCTTGGGGTTGCTCCTGGATGCTGTCTGGGAGGCTTGCTCATGGTGACATCCTCATCTCCCCGTCCACGTTACCGCATTCAGAGCTTGGGTCACCTGGACACTGAACTCAGGTGAATTTTCTCTGAGATCCCGGGAGAAGGAGGACAGTTCTTTGGAAGGTTTTCCAGGGCCGATCACGGAAAGGATGAGAAGGGAGAGGTCCTGGTCGGGGACACAATTATGGTGTCAGTGTAACGCCGGGAAACTTTATTGCATGAAGTCCCTCTCACTCCCTCTACCTCCCTCTTTTACGTGGACTCTGCCAAAGACCAGGATACCAGAATGCGGTGGAGAGGCCAAGTGTAGTGAGACCTTGGGAATGCGATTCTGGAGCCAGGCGGCTGGGGTTTGCATCCTGGTTCTGCCCCTCCTTAGCTGGCTGACATGGCACAAGCCACTTACCCTGTCTGAGCCTTACTGTCTTCAGTGGCAAATGGATCTGTCAACAGGCTCCATTGCCTGGGGTTGTTGCTGCTGAGATTAAGGGAAGCTCGTCCATAGAAGCACTTAGCGTTGTGCCTGGCACATAGTGTATGGTGGATAAGTGGGACTTAAGACTAAAACTCATGCCCTGATGTGTTTTTGCAGTGATGTTTTGTTCTGGAGTACGTCACAAGAGACAAGGTTCTTGGCTGGGCATGGTGGCTGAAGCCAATAATCCCAGCACTTTGAGAGGCCGAAGGGGGAGGATCGCTTGAGCCCAGGAGTTTAAGACCAGCCTGAGCAACATGGTGAAGCCTCATATCTCCCAAAAAAAAAAAAAAAAAAAAAAGGCAGTTATGGTGGTGAGTGCCTGCAGTCTCAAGTACTTGGGAGGCTGAGGTGGGAGGATTGCTAGAGCCTAGAAGGTCAGGCTGCAGTGAGCTGTGATCATGCCACTGCACTCCAGCCTGGGTGACAAAGTGAGACCGTTTCAAGGAAAAGAGAGAGAGACAGACCCACAAAAGTCTTAAGCCAGAATCTCCATGTTAAAATGCTTTCTGGAGGCTAAAAGGATGATATGTTGATAATGAAATGTTTAAAAGGCAGAAACCCCACTGAATTGTTTGGTCCACAGAGGGAAATGGGAATCGCATGACCTGAAGGATGATGGAGGAACTGAACAGAAACCATCCTTGTTTCCTGAATCTGAACATGGCACGCTCTTTTCACGGTGCCTGTATCTGCTCAGTCCGGCAGCCCCTTGAAAAGAGGGAATCTTGATTTTCAAACTTAAAATTTGGCCCAAAGCTCACTGCTGCCCACAATGCCCGCCAGACACATTCCTCTTCCCTTTTAGTTCCTATGGGAATACTCTCTTTGAAGAACCCATGAAGCAGTGTCAGGCTGGTACGAGGATCAGCAGTGATTTCTTTGAGGAGGAGAGCCCGTTTCTTCACTCACAGGCCATGTCTGAGTGGATCAAGAAGAACAGAGTGCCCTTTTATGAGATTTTGTCTGCGTAGACCACTAGCTTGGTAAAAATGTCAAAACCATCCTCGTTCTTTAATAACAGATTATTTTGGACTTTTCTCTGCAAGAAGCAGCATGGGCATTCAGATGCTTTTAAGGATAAAATGTTCTTTCTCATCACCAGGACTGGTGCTCTGGATGGCTGAGGTTTTAATGTGACTGGATGTCCCTTGGAGTGGCTCCCAGGCTGTGCTCTTGTGGTTGGGTGGCAAGCGGTTGCTTTATTCGGTGGTGGCTAGAGGATGTTTTAGCAGATTAATCGGGACCCCAGGAGCCCCTGAGTGTCAAGTCCTGCTGCAGGGCATGTGTTTATGGTGGGGAGGTGGGGGAGGGTGGAGGGGGGGGCATTGATTTCCTCCCAATATCAGAAGTTTCACAGGCTTCTTGTTTATCCACAAACACCCACCCCATTGAGAAGGCCTAGAAAATCTGCCCCTCCTCAAGCCTTTATTGACCGCTTGTGAATGATCCCAGTGTGTGTCTGACCCACAGCTCCTCCTGGAGGGAGAGAAAAGTCTCTCCTAGGTATTTGGTTGTCCACCTCAACCACTTGCTGAGTCTTCCGCAAGACCAGGCACCTCGGCAGAGATTTCTGGGTTGTCAGGCAGAACCGAGCATTCAAGGGTGATAACTCACTGGAGTCCCTGAAATCCCTGATGGACGCACCAGGTAAAAGCATCCAGGGTTGAAACCAGATCAGGAAGGTTATTGTCAGCCTGGGGCTCCTGTAGAGGTGCATCCACGTTGCAGGGATTTTCCTTCTTGCTGAGGAGAAACCTGGGTTTCTCAGCTTTGGCACAGTCAGAATATTTGTGGTGAGACCATTCGTGGTGCTGGTGGTGGGGCTGTCCTGTGTATTGAAGGATGGTTAGCAGCATCTGTGGTCTCCATCCTCTAGGTGCCATTCTACCCTCCCTGCTATGGCTACCCCAGACGTCTCCAGATGGTTTCAAATAATGTGGGGCAAGGGAGCGGTACGTGAGCAAAACCACCCCAGTTGAGAGCCATTGGTCCACACTTGTATAAATGTTTGAGGGTGAGAGTGTCGAGCTTGGGTCCCTGCTGTACCCTTTATGAGCAATGCGGTCTTGGAAAATTAATACTACTCCAGGGGCCTCAGTTTTCTCATCTATAAAATGGAGATAAATGAGATACACTTTCATAGGAAGGTTATATGGGATTCACCGAGATAATAAGACAGTACATGGAAAATGCTGCGCATAGCATTTATTTATTTTAATTTTTTTTTAAGACAGAGTCTTACTCTGTTGCCCAGGTTGGAGTGCAGTGGCATGATCTCCGCTCACTGCAATCTCCACCTCCTGGGTTCAAGTGATTCTCCTGCCTCAGGCTACCGAGTAACTGGGACTACAGGCGCGCGCCATCATGCCCATCTAATTTTTGAATTTTTAGTAGAGACGGGGCTTCACCATGTTGGCCAGGATAGTCCGATCTCTTGACCTCGTGATCTGCCCGCCTCGGCCTTCTCAAGTGCTGGGATTACAGGCGTGAGCCACCGTGCCTGGCCAAACATAAACTTACTTTCTTACCTCTTCTGCTGAACTCTATTTGCTTCTTTTCCCATACGTCTTTATCCAGAAGAGCTTTTAGCAACAAAGTTACCCAATGCCCTTCCCTAGTCTCTCCTTACAACTGGCTCTCAGCAGGGGGTGGGAGGAAATTCTTGACAGAACCAATTTACATGACTGTTTTGGGGACCCATTCTAGTCCCAGGAGGTGTTTACACTTTTAAATTGGTTACTAGTGTCAGAATGTTTCATGAGTAAGAGCCCAGGCTCTATGTCGGATGCCCTGAATTTGAATCTCAGCATTGCCGCTTTGTATATAACCAGAGGATGGATTTGGGGACCCAATGGACCTACCGTGACATGAACTTGCACCAACATTCACCTGACCTCCAAAATGCCTATTCTGACTGGTAGAACCTAGTCTCGCCCTAGTGCCAGTTCAGAGCCTGTGTCCAGTGATCCTGCACAGGTCTCATTAGTTCCTTTTCTCCTGTTCAGTCATCCTGGCGAAAGGCTGTGTATTCCCTTGGGGGCAGGTTGGGAGAAAGACTGACAGTATAAATTTTTGGCAGTGGAGCAGAGTCCTTTCTGGAGGGGACCTGGCTTCTCATTCAGACAAGGGACTCCAGGTCTGTGAACTGGCTTATGTCTGGAAATTGACTGGGGACTGTGACTCTGTTTTTATGATTCAGATTAGACTTCTGCTCACTTGACCTAGAGCACTTCTGCAAACACAGATCAAGTGAAATGTGGCAGGCTTCTTATCTATTTCACTTCTAGGAAAGCCACGATCAGCAGGCACCATAGGTCGCTGGGAGTCAGGCTATTCTGGTTGCAGCTTTGACTCTGCTGTCTTTTATGATAACTGCATCTACCTTGCCTTTGGGGATTGAGTGCTCTGATCACTTGGCCCCAGCCCCTGTAGTGTGCGTATGTCACTTACCCTCTTTATACCTCAGTCTCCTCCTCTATAAAATGGGCATCCTCATTGCACCCTCCCCCAGGGCTGCTGTGAGGTATAGATGCATTAGCATATGGAAAGTAATAGAAGAGGGTCTCAAAGTCCATGTGTCGTTATCAGAATTATTTCATGATGGGGAGAGCTGGAGGAGAGAGGAAGGTGCTGAGCAGACCCACGTGCTCTCCCACCAGTGTTTCCTGAGCACCTACTATGTGCTGCCCACTGTGAGAGCTGTTAGGGTTGAAATAGGGAGCACAGCAGGGTAGGGGCTGCCATCAGGAGCTTAGTGGGGAGACCATTGTGCAACCTGGTTCCAGCGCTTGGGGTGGGGAAGCTCAGGGAGTTCAGGGGCCTAGGATCCAGGGCAGAATCATGGAAAGGACATAACCTCCCCAGCCTCTCCTGCCTCCATTGCCTCCCTGGCCTCCTCTGCTTCCCTGGCCTCTCCTACCTTCCTGGCTTCCCCTTCCACCCCGGCCTCCCCAGTCTCCCCTGTCTCTCCTGCTTTTGAGGTGGGCCAGGAGCTGCTAGTGCTCACTTAGCCTGTCCTGGGCTCTTGGTGTAGCACCTCAATGTCCAGAAAATACCCCCGAGTTCAACTCATCACACAGTCAAGGAAGGAGCTCCACACTGACACTAAGGGTGCATCCTGGGCTCATTCATCAGGGCATGCCTCCAAAATATTTCTCCACGTCTCCTCCCTTTGCCCACCTGCATTGTCTCTGTGCCTGAGCCCCGGCTGGGGGCCTGCAAGGATCCCCTATCTCCTCTGCCCCTGCACAGCTGGGTCCCAGTCAATCTGTCTGCCCACCACACCTTCCTCCCCTTGCCCACCATGCTCCAGCCCCACAGTCCTCTTTCTGCTTCTTTCCCAGCCTCTGGGCTTTTGCACACGCTGTTCCCTCTGCCTGAACACCCTCCACTGGGCTGAGAACAACTCTCCGAGACCTCTCTCAGCTGTTGCTTCCTTTGGAACAGCCGCTGCTGCTGTCACTTTCCCAGCTCCAAGACCTGCTGAGCCTCCTGTCTTTTTCAGTTCCCATGCCCCCAGCACTTCTCCTTGGCCTCCTTTGGCCCAATTGACAATGTCCATTCTCAATGCCTTCCCACCCAGCGCTGAGCCCCACTTGGTGAAGGCAATGCCTGTCATGTTCTCCACAATATCCCCTCCCCCATCACCACACCTGGTCCACAGTGATGCTCAAAAAAGGTCTGTTGGTAGGCAATGGGAAGGTGCATTCATGTCATCCTGCAGGCGGAATTC